>NC_000006.12:59439514-59739514 GCF_000001405.40 Homo sapiens
TTTATTTTATTTATCTATTTTTTTGAGATGGAATCTCGCTCTATCGCCCAGGCTGGAGTGCAGTGGTGCGATCTCGGCTCACTGCAACCTCCGCCTCCCGGGTTCAAGTGATTTTCCTGCCTCATCCTCCCGAGTAGCTGGGACTACAGGCACGTGCCACCACGCCCGGATAATTTTAGTGTTTCAACACTGCTCTATAAAGAGAAAAGTTCCACTCTGTGAGTTGAATGTACACATCACAAAGTAGTTTCTGAGATTGCTTCAGATTTTCAGAAACCTCATTGTGATGTGTGCGTTCATCTCACAGAGTGGAGTCTTCCGTTTGATAGAGAAGTTTTGAAACCCTGTTCTTGTAGGATTTCCAAGTGGATATTTAGACCACTTTGAAGCCTATGATAGAAAAGGAAACATCTTCATGGAAAACATAGATAGAATCATTCTCAGAAACAACTTTGTGATGTGTGCGTTGAACTCACCGTCTTTAACCTTTCTTTTGGTAGAGAAGTTTTGAAACACTCTCTTTGTAAAGTCTACAAGTGGATATTTTGAGCCCTTGGAGGCATTCTTTGGAAAAGGGAATGTCTTCACATAAAAGGCAGACAGAAGTGTTCTCAGAAACTGCTTTGTGATGTCTGTGTTCAACTCACAGAGTTTAACATTTCCTTTGAGAGAGCGGTTTAGTAACACTCTCTTTGTAGAATTTGGAAGTGTATACTAAGAGCGCTTTGAGGCCTATGGTAGAAAAGGAAATATCTTTCCATAAAAGCTAGACAGAAGCAATCTCAGAAACTCCTTTGTGATGTCTGCATTCAACTCACCGAGTGGAACATTCCTCTTGATAGAGCAGTTTGGAAACACTCTTTCTGTAGAATCAGCTTGTTTGTATTTGGACCTCCTTGAGGCCTTCGTTGGAAACGGGTTTTCATCTTATAAACCCAGACAGAAGAATTCTCAGAGTCTTCTTTGTGATGTGTGCTTTCAACTCACCGAGATAAAGATTTCTCTTGATAGAGCAATTTGGAAACACTCTTTTTGTAGAATTTGCAAGGGTACATTGAGAGCGCTTTCAGGCCTATGGTAGAAAAGGGAATATCTTTCCATAAAAGGTAGACAGAAGCAATCTCAGAAACTACTTTGTCATGTGTGCATTCAACACACCGAGTGCAACATTCCTCTTGACCGAGCAGTTTGGAAACATTGTTTCTGTAGAATCTGCAAGTGGATATATGGACCGCTTTGAGGCCTTCGTTGGAAACGGGATTTCTTCCTATAAACCCAGACAGAAGAATTCTCAGAGACTTCTTTGTGATGTGTGAATTCAACTCACAGTGTGGATCCTTCCTTTTGATAGAGCAGTTTTGAAACACTGTTTTTGTAGTATTTCCAAGCGGATATTTGGAACGCCTTGAAGCGCATGGTAGAAAAGGAAATATCTTCCCATAAAACCTAGACAGAACCAATCTCAGAAACGACTTTGTGATGTCTGCATTCAACTCACAGAGTTGAACATTTCTCTTGATAGAGCAGTTTTGAAACCCTCTTTCTGAAGGATCTGCAAGTGGATATTTGGAACTCCTTTGGGTCTTCGTTGGAAACGGGATTTCTTCGTAGAAATCTAGACAGAAGAATTCTCCGAAACTTCTTTGGTTGTGTGCATTCAAGTCACAGGGTGGAACCTTCCTTTGGGTAGAGCAGTTTGAAACGCTGTGGTTGTAGTGTTTCCAAGCGGATATTAGAGCGCCTTGAGGCCTATGGTAGAAAAGGAAATATCTTCCCATAAAACCTAGACGGAAGCAATCTCAGAAACTACTGTGTGATGGCTGCATTCCACACACACGGTGGAACATTTCTCTTGATAGAGCAGTTTTGAAACACTCTTTCTGTAGAATCTGCAAGTGGATAATTGGACCGCCTTGAGGCCTTCGTTGGAAACGGGATTTCTTCATGTTACTCTAGACAGAAGAATTCTCAAACACTGCTATGTGATGTTTGCATTCAAGTCACAGAGTGCAACATTCCTCTTGATAGAGCAGTTGGGAAACACTCCTTTTGTAGAATTTGCAATGGGATATTTGGACTTCTTTGAGGCCTTCGTTGGAAACGGGATTTCTTCGTATGCATCTAGACAGAAGAATTCTCAGAAACTTCCTTGTGATGTGTGCATTCAACTCAGCGAGTGGCACCTTCCTTTCGATACAGCAGTTTTGAAACACTGTTTTTGTAGTATTTCCAAGCGGATATTTAGAGCGCCTTGAAGCCTATGCTAGAAATGGAAATATCTCCCCATAAAACCAAGACAGAAGCAATCTCAGAAACTAATGTGTGATGGCTGCATTCCACACACACGGTGGACCATTTCTCTTGATAGAGCAGTTTTGAAACACTCTTTCTGTAGAATCTGCAAGTGGATAATTGGACCTCCTAGAGGCCTTCGTTGGAAACGGGATTTCTTCATCTAAACCTACAGAGAAGAATTCTCAGTAACTTCTTCGGATGTGTGCATTCGACTCACAGAATGGAACATTCCCTTTGATAGAGCAGTTTTGAGACACCGTTTTTGTAGAATTCCCAAGTGGATATTTAGAGCACTTTGAAGTCTCTGCTAGAAAAGGAAACATCTTCATGTAAAAAGTAGATAGAATCATTCTCAGAAGGTGCTTAGTGACGTGTGTGTTCAACTCACAGAGTTTAACGTTTCTTTTGATAGAGCGTTTCTGAAACACCCTTCTTGTAGTAGCTGCAAGTGGATATTTGGACCTATTTGAGGCCTTCTTTGGAAACGGGATTTCTTCATGTAACTCTAGATTGAAGAATTTTCAGAAACTCCTTTGTGATGTGTGCATTCAATTCAAAGAGTGAAACCTCCCTTTTCACAGAGCAGTTTTGAAACACTGTTTTTGTAGGATTTCCAAGGGGATATTTATAGCGCATTGAGCCTATGGCAGAAAAAGAAACATCTTCCTATAAAAACTAGACAGAATAATTCTCAGAATCTGCTTTGCGATGTGTGCGTTCAACTCACAGAGTAAAACTTTTCTTTTGATAGAGCAGTTTTGAAACACTCTTTTTGTAGTATTTGCATGTGTATATTTAGAGCGCATTGAAGCCCACAGTAGAAAAGGAAATAACTTCACCTAAAACCTAGACAGAAGCAATCTCAGAAACTACTTTGTGATGTGTACATTCAACTCACAGAGTGGAACTTTTCTCTTTATAGAGCAGTGTTGAAACACTCTTTTTGTAGAAACTGCAAGTGGATATTTGGACCTCTTTGAGGCCTTCGTTGGAAACGGGATTTCTTCCTATAACCCTAGACAGAAGAATTTTCAGAAACCTCATTGTGATGTGTGCGTTCATCTCACAGAGTGGAGTCTTCCGTTTGATAGAGAAGTTTTGAAACCCTGTTCTTGTAGGATTTCCAAGTGGATATTTAGACCACTTTGAAGCCTATGATAGAAAAGGAAACATCTTCATGGAAAACATAGATAGAATCATTCTCAGAAACAACTTTGTGATGTGTGCGTTGAACTCACCGTCTTTAACCTTTCTTTTGGTAGAGAAGTTTTGAAACACTCTCTTTGTAAAGTCTACAAGTGGATATTTTGAGCCCTTGGAGGCATTCTTTGGAAAAGGGAATGTCTTCACATAAAAGGCAGACAGAAGTGTTCTCAGAAACTGCTTTGTGATGTCTGTGTTCAACTCACAGAGTTTAACATTTCCTTTGATAGAGCAGTTTAGTAACACTGTCTTTGTAGAATTTGGAAGTGTATACTAAGAGCGCTTTGAGGCCTATGGTAGAAAAGGAAATATCTTTCCATAAAAGCTAGACACAAGCAATCTCAGAAACTCCTTTGTGATGTCTGCATTCAACTCACCGAGTGGAACATTCCTCTTGATAGAGCAGTTTGGAAACACTCTTTCTGTAGAATCAGCTTGTTTGTATTTGGACCTCCTTGAGGCCTTCGTTGGAAACGGGTTTTCATCTTATAAACCCAGACAGAAGAATTCTCAGAGTCTTCTTTGTGATGTGTGCTTTCAACTCACCGAGATAAAGATTTCTCTTGATAGAGCAATTTGGAAACACTCTTTTTGTAGAATTTGCAAGGGTACATTGAGAGCGCTTTCAGGCCTATGGTAGAAAAGGGAATATCTTTCCATAAAAGGTAGACAGAAGCAATCTCAGAAACTACTTTGTGATGTGTGCATTCAACTCACCGAGTGCAACATTCCTCTTGACCGAGCAGTTTGGAAACATTGTTTCTGTAGAATCTGCAAGTGGATATTTGGACCTCTTTGAAGCCTTCGTTGGAAACGGGATTTCTTCCTATAAACCCAGACAGAAGAATTCTCAGAGACTTCTTTGTGATGTGTGAATTCAACTCACAGTGTGGATCCTTCCTTTTGATAGAGCAGTTTTGAAACACCGTTTTTGTAGTATTTCCAAGCGGATATTTGGAACGCCTTGAAGCGTATGGTAGAAAAGGAAATATCTTCCCATAAAACCTAGACAGAACCAATCTCAGAAACGACTTTGTGATGTCTGCATTCAACTCACAGAGTTGAACATTTCTCTTGATAGAGCAGTTTTGAAACCCTCTTTCTGAAGGATCTGCAAGTGGATATTTGGAACTCCTTTGGGTCTTCGTTGGAAACGCGATTTCTTCGTATAAATCCAGACAGAAGAATTCTCCGAAACTTCTTTGGTTGTGTGCATTCAAGTCACAGGGTGGAACCTTCCTTTGGGTAGAGCAGTTTGAAACGCTGTGGTTGTAGTGTTTCCAAGCGGATATTAGAGCGCCTTGAGGCCTATGGTAGAAAAGGAAATATCTTCCCATAAAACCTAGACGGAAGCAATCTCAGAAACTACTGTGTGATGGCTGCATTCCACACACACGGTGGAACATTTCTCTTGATAGAGCAGTTTTGAAACACTCTTTCTGTAGAATCTGCAAGTGGATAATTGGACCGCCTTGAGGCCTTCGTTGGAAACGGGATTTCTTCATGTTACTCTAGACAGAAGAATTCTCAAACACTGCTATGTGATGTTTGCATTCAAGTCACAGAGTGCAACATTCCTCTTGATAGAGCAGTTGGGAAACACTCCTTTTGTAGAATTTGCAATGGGATATTTGGACTTCTTTGAGGCCTTCGTTGGAAACGGGATTTCTTCGTATGAATCTAGACAGAAGAATTCTCAGAAACTTCCTTGTGATGTGTGCATTCAACTCAGCGAGTGGCACCTTCCTTTGGATACAGCAGTTTTGAAACACTGTTTTTGTAGTATTTCCAAGCGGATATTTAGAGCGCCTTGAAGCCTATGCTAGAAATGGAAATATCTCCCCATAAAACCAAGACAGAAGCAATCTCAGAAACTAATGTGTGATGGCTGCATTCCACACACACGGTGGACCATTTCTCTTGATAGAGCAGTTTTGAAACACTCTTTCTGTAGAATCTGCAAGTGGATAATTGGACCTCCTAGAGGCCTTCGTTGGAAACGGGATTTCTTCATCTAAACCTACAGAGAAGAATTCTCAGGAACTTCTTCGGATGTGTGCATTCGACTCACAGAATGGAACATTCCCTTTGATAGAGCAGTTTTGAGACACCGTTTTGTAGAATTCCCAAGTGGATATTTAGAGCACTTTGAAGTCTCTGCTAGAAAAGGTAATATCTTCATGTAAAAAGTAGATAGAATCGTTCTCAGAAAGTGCTTAGTGACGTGTGCGTTCAACTCACAGAGTTTAACGTTTCTTTTGATAGAGCGTTTCTGAAACACCCTTCTTGTAGTAGCTGCAAGTAGATATTTGGACCTATTTGAGGCCTTCTTTGGAAACGGGATTTCTTCATGTAACTCTAGATTGAAGAATTTTCAGAAACTCCTTTGTGATGTGTGCATTCAATTCAAAGAGTGAAACCTCCCTTTTCACAGAGCAGTTTTGAAACACTGTTTTTGTAGGATTTCCAAGGGGATATTTATAGCGCATTGAGCCTATGGCAGAAAAAGAAACATCTTCCTATAAAAACTAGACAGAATAATTCTCAGAATGTGCTTTGCGATGTGTGCGTTCATCTCACAGAGTAAAACTTTTCTTTTGATAGAGCAGTTTTGAAACACTCTTTTTGTAGTATTTGCATGTGTATATTTAGAGCGCATTGAAGCACACAGTAGAAAAGGAAATAACTTCACCTAAAACCTAGACAGAAGCAATCTCAGAAACTACTTTGTGATGTGTACATTCAACTCACAGAGTGGAACTTTCCTCTTTATAGAGCAGTGTTGAAACACTCTTTTTGTAGAAACTGCAAGTGGATATTTGGACCTCTTTGAGGCCTTCGTTGGAAACGGGATTTCTTCCTATAACCCTAGACAGAAGAATTTTCAGAAACCTCATTGTGATGTGTGCGTTCATCTCACAGAGTGGAGTCTTCCGTTTGATAGAGAAGTTTTGAAACCCTGTTCTTGTAGGATTTCCAAGTGGATATTTAGACCACTTTGAAGCCTATGATAGAAAAGGAAACATCTTCATGGAAAACATAGATAGAATCATTCTCAGAAACAACTTTGTGATGTGTGCGTTGAACTCACCGTCTTTAACCTTTCTTTTGGTAGAGAAGTTTTGAAACACTCTCTTTGTAAAGTCTACAAGTGGATATTTTGAGCCCTTGGAGGCATTCTTTGGAAAAGGGAATGTCTTCACATAAAAGGCAGACAGAAGTGTTCTCAGAAACTGCTTTGTGATGTCTGTGTTCAACTCACAGAGTTTAACATTTCCTTTGAGAGAGCGGTTTAGTAACACTCTCTTTGTAGAATTTGGAAGTGTATACTAAGAGCGCTTTGAGGCCTATGGTAGAAAAGGAAATATCTTTCCATAAAAGCTAGACAGAAGCAATCTCAGAAACTCCTTTGTGATGTCTGCATTCAACTCACCGAGTGGAACATTCCTCTTGATAGAGCAGTTTGGAAACACTCTTTCTGTAGAATCAGCTTGTTTGTATTTGGACCTCCTTGAGGCCTTCGTTGGAAACGGGTTTTCATCTTATAAACCCAGACAGAAGAATTCTCAGAGTCTTCTTTGTGATGTGTGCTTTCAACTCACCGAGATAAAGATTTCTCTTGATAGAGCAATTTGGAAACACTCTTTTTGTAGAATTTGCAAGGGTACATTGAGAGCGCTTTCAGGCCTATGGTAGAAAAGGGAATATCTTTCCATAAAAGGTAGACAGAAGCAATCTCAGAAACTACTTTGTGATGTGTGCATTCAACTCACCGAGTGCAACATTCCTCTTGACCGAGCAGTTTGGAAACATTGTTTCTGTAGAATCTGCAAGTGGATATTTGGACCTCTTTGAGGCCTTCGTTGGAAACGGGATTTCTTCCTATAAACCCAGACAGAAGAATTCTCAGAGACTTCTTTGTGATGTGTGAATTCAACTCACAGTGTGGATCCTTCCTTTTGATAGAGCAGTTTTGAAACACTGTTTTTGTAGTATTTCCAAGCGGATATTTGGAACGCCTTGAAGCGTATGGTAGAAAAGGAAATATCTTCCCATAAAACCTAGACAGAACCAATCTCAGAAACGACTTTGTGATGTCTGCATTCAACTCACAGAGTTGAACATTTCTCTTGATAGAGCAGTTTTGAAACCCTCTTTCTGAAGGATCTGCAAGTGGATATTTGGAACTCCTTTGGGTCTTCGTTGGAAACGGGATTTCTTCGTATAAATCTAGACAGAAGAATTCTCCGAAACTTCTTTGGTTGTGTGCATTCAAGTCACAGAGTGGAACCTTCCTTTGGATAGAGCAGTTTGAAACGCTGTGGTTGTAGTATTTCCAAGCGGATATTAGAGCGCCTTGAGGCCTATGGTAGAAAAGGAAATATCTTCCCATAAAACCTAGACGGAAGCAATCTCAGAAACTACTGTGTGATGGCTGCATTCCACACACACGGTGGAACATTTCTCTTGATAGAGCAGTTTTGAAACACTCTTTCTGTAGAATCTGCAAGTGGATAATTGGACCGCCTTGAGGCCTTCGTTGGAAACGGGATTTCTTCATGTTACTCTAGACAGAAGAATTCTCAAACACTGCTGTGTGATGTTTGCATGCAAGTCACAGAGTGCAACATTCCTCTTGATAGAGCAGTTGGGAAACACTCCTTTTGTAGAATTTGCAATGGGATATTTGGACTTCTTTGAGGCCTTCGTTGGAAACGGGATTTCTTCGTATGAATCTAGACAGAAGAATTCTCAGAAACTTCTTTGTAATGTGTGCATTCAACTCAGCGAGTGGCACCTTCCCTTGGATACAGCAGTTTTGAAACACTGTTTTTGTAGTATTTCCAAGCGGATATTTAGAGCGCCTTGAAGCCTACGCTAGAAATGGAAATATCTCCCCATAAAACCAAGACAGAAGCAATCTCAGAAACTAATGTGTGATGGCTGCATTCCACACACACGGTGGACCATTTCTCTTGATAGAGCAGTTTTGAAACACTCTTTCTGTAGAATCTGCAAGTGGATAATTGGACCTCCTAGAGGCCTTCGTTGGAAACGGGATTTCTTCATCTAAACCTACAGAGAAGAATTCTCAGTAACTTCTTCGGATGTGTGCATTCGACTCACAGAATGGAACATTCCCTTTGGTAGAGCAGTTTTGAGACACCGTTTTTGTAGAATTCCCAAGTGGATATTTAGAGCACTTTGAAGTCTCTGCTAGAAAAGGAAACATTCTTCATGTAAAAAGTAGATAGAATCGTTCTCAGAAAGTGCTTAGTGACGTGTGCGTTCAACTCACAGAGTTTAACGTTTCTTTTGATAGAGCGTTTCTGAAACACCCTTCTTGTAGTAGCTGCAAGTGGATATTTGGACCTATTTGAGGCCTTCTTTGGAAACGGGATTTCTTCATGTAACTCTAGATTGAAGAATTTTCAGAAACTCCTTTGTGATGTGTGCATTCAATTCAAAGAGTGAAACCTCCCTTTTCACAGAGCAGTTTTGAAACACTGTTTTTGTAGGATTTCCAAGGGGATATTTATAGCGCATTGAGCCTATGGCAGAAAAAGAAACATCTTCCTATAAAAACTAGACAGAATAATTCTCAGAATCTGCTTTGCGATGTGTGCGTTCAACCCACAGAGTAAAACTTTTCTTTTGATAGAGCAGTTTTGAAACACTCTTTTTGTAGTATTTGCATGTGTATATTTAGAGCGCATTGAAGCCCACAGTAGAAAAGGAAATAACTTCACCTAAAACCTAGACAGAAGCAATCTCAGAAACTACATTGTGATGTGTACATTCAACTCACAGAGTGGAACTTTCCTCTTTATAGAGCAGTGTTGAAACACTCTTTTTGTAGAAACTGCAAGTGGATATTTGGACCTCTTTGAGGCCTTCGTTGGAAACGGGATTTCTTCCTATAACCCTAGACAGAAGAATTTTCAGAAACCTCATTGTGATGTGTGCGTTCATCTCACAGAGTGGAGTCTTCCGTTTGATAGAGAAGTTTTGAAACCCTGTTCTTGTAGGATTTCCAAGTGGATATTTAGACCACTTTGAAGCCTATGATAGAAAAGGAAACATCTTCATGGAAAACATAGATAGAATCATTCTCAGAAACAACTTTGTGATGTGTGCGTTGAACTCACCGTCTTTAACCTTTCTTTTGGTAGAGAAGTTTTGAAACACTCTCTTTGTAAAGTCTACAAGTGGATATTTGGAGCCCTTGGAGGCATTCTTTGGAAAAGGGAATGTCTTCACATAAAAGGCAGACAGAAGTGTTCTCAGAAACTGCTTTGTGATGTCTGTGTTCAACTCACAGAGTTTAACATTTTCCTTTGAGAGAGCGGTTTAGTAACACTCTCTTTGTAGAATTTGGAAGTGTATACTAAGAGCGCTTTGAGGCCTATGGTAGAAAAGGAAATATCTTTCCATAAAAGCTAGACAGAAGCAATCTCAGAAACTCCTTTGTGATGTCTGCATTCAACTCACCGCGTGGAACATTCCTCTTGATAGAGCAGTTTGGAAACACTCTTTCTGTAGAATCAGCTTGTTTGTATTTGGACCTCCTTGAGGCCTTCGTTGGAAACGGGTTTTCATCTTATAAACCCAGACAGAAGAATTCTCAGAGTCTTCTTTGTGATGTGTGCTTTCAACTCACCGAGATAAAGATTTCTCTTGATAGAGCAATTTGGAAACACTCTTTTTGTAGAATTTGCAAGGGTACATTGAGAGCGCTTTCAGGCCTATGGTAGAAAAGGGAATATCTTTCCATAAAAGGTAGACAGAAGCAATCTCAGAAACTACTTTGTGATGTGTGCATTCAACTCACCGATTGCAACGTTCCTCTTGATAGAGCAGTTTGGAAACATTGTTTCTGTAGAATCTGCAAGTGGATATTTGGACCTCTTTGAGGCCTTCGTTGGAAACGGGATTTCTTCCTATAAACCCAGACAGAAGAATTCTCAGAGACTTCTTTGTGATGTGTGAATTCAACTCACAGTGTGGATCCTTCCTTTTGATAGAGCAGTTTTGAAACACTGTTTTTGTAGTATTTCCAAGCGGATATTTGGAACGCCTTGAAGCGTATGGTAGAAAAGGAAATATCTTCCCATAAAACCTAGACAGAACCCATCTCAGAAACGACTTTGTGATGTCTGCATTCAACTCACAGAGTTGAACATTTCTCTTGATAGAGCAGTTTTGAAACCCTCTTTCTGAAGGATCTGCAAGTGGATATTTGGAACTCCTTTGGGTCTTCGTTGGAAACGGGATTTCTTCGTATAAATCCAGACAGAAGAATTCTCCGAAACTTCTTTGGTTGTGTGCATTCAAGTCACAGAGTGGAACCTTCCTTTGGATAGAGCAGTTTGAAACGCTGTGGTTGTAGTATTTCCAAGCGGATATTAGAGCGCCTTGAGGCCTATGGTAGAAAAGGAAATATCTTCCCATAAAACCTAGACGGAAGCAATCTCAGAAACTACTGTGTGATGGCTGCATTCCACACACACGGTGGAACATTTCTCTTGATAGAGCAGTTTTGAAACACTCTTTCTGTAGAATCTGCAAGTGGATAATTGGACCGCCTTGAGGCCTTCGTTGGAAACGGGATTTCTTCATGTTACTCTAGACAGAAGAATTCTCAAACACTGCTGTGTGATGTTTGCATGCAAGTCACAGAGTGCAACATTCCTCTTGATAGAGCAGTTGGGAAACACTCCTTTTGTAGAATTTGCAATGGGATATTTGGACTTCTTTGAGGCCTTCGTTGGAAACGGGATTTCTTCGTATGAATCTAGACAGAAGAATTCTCAGAAACTTCCTTGTGATGTGTGCATTCAACTCAGCGAGTGGCACCTTCCTTTGGATACAGCAGTTTTGAAACACTGTTTTTGTAGTATTTCCAAGCGGATATTTAGAGCGCCTTGAAGCCTATGCTAGAAATGGAAATATCTCCCCATAAAACCAAGACAGAAGCAATCTCAGAAACTAATGTGTGATGGCTGCATTCCACACACACGGTGGACCATTTCTCTTGATAGAGCAGTTTTGAAACACTCTTTCTGTAGAATCTGCAAGTGGATAATTGGACCTCCTAGAGGCCTTCGTTGGAAATGGGATTTCTTCATCTAAACCTACAGAGAAGAATTCTCAGTAACTTCTTCGGATGTGTGCATTCGACTCACAGAATGGAACATTCCCTTTGATAGAGCAGTTTTGAGACACCGTTTTTGTAGAATTCCCAAGTGGATATTTAGAGCACTTTGAAGTCTCTGCTAGAAAAGGAAACATCTTCATGTAAAAAGTAGATAGAATCGTTCTCAGAAAGTGCTTAGTGACGTGTGTGTTCAACTCACAGAGTTTATCGTTTCTTTTGATAGAGCGTTTCTGAAACACCCTTCTTGTAGTAGCTGCAAGTGGATATTTGGACCTATTTGAGGCCTTCTTTGGAAACGGGATTTCTTCATGTAACTCTAGATTGAAGAATTTTCAGAAACTCCTTTGTGATGTGTGCATTCAATTCAAAGAGTGAAACCTCCCTTTTCACAGAGCAGTTTTGAAATACTGTTTTTGTAGGATTTCCAAGGGGATATTTATAGCGCATTGATCCTATGGCAGAAAAAGAAACATCTTCCTATGAAAACTAGACAGAATAATTCTCAGAATCTGCTTTGCGATGTGTGCGTTCAACCCACAGAGTAAAACTTTTCTTTTGATAGAGCAGTTTTGAAACACTCTTTTTGTAGTATTTGCATGTGTATATTTAGAGCGCATTGAAGCCCACAGTAGAAAAGGAAATAACTTCACCTAAAACCTAGAGAGAAGCAATCTCAGAAACTACTTTGTGATGTGTACATTCAACTCACAGAGTGGAACTTTCCTCTTTATAGAGCAGTGTTGAAACACTCTTTTTGTAGAAACTGCAAGTGGATATTTGGACCTCTTTGAGGCCTTCGTTGGAAACGGGATTTCTTCCTATAACCCTAGACAGAAGAATTTTCAGAAACCTCATTGTGATGTGTGCGTTCATCTCACAGAGTGGAGTCTTCCGTTTGATAGAGAAGTTTTGAAACCCTGTTCTTGTAGGATTTCCAAGTGGATATTTAGACCACTTTGAAGCCTATGATAGAAAAGGAAACATCTTCATGGAAAACATAGATAGAATCATTCTCAGAAACAACTTTGTGATGTGTGCGTTGAACTCACCGTCTTTAACCTTTCTTTTGGTAGAGAAGTTTTGAAACACTCTCTTTGTAAAGTCTACAAGTGGATATTTTGAGCCCTTGGAGGCATTCTTTGGAAAAGGGAATGTCTTCACATAAAAGGCAGACAGAAGTGTTCTCAGAAACTGCTTTGTGATGTCTGTGTTCAACTCACAGAGTTTAACATTTCCTTTGAGAGAGCGGTTTAGTAACACTCTCTTTGTAGAATTTGGAAGTGTATACTAAGAGCGCTTTGAGGCCTATGGTAGAAAAGGAAATATCTTTCCATAAAAGCTAGACAGAAGCAATCTCAGAAACTCCTTTGTGATGTCTGCATTCAACTCACCGAGTGGAACATTCCTCTTGATAGAGCAGTTTGGAAACACTCTTTCTGTAGAATCAGCTTGTTTGTATTTGGACCTCCTTGAGGCCTTCGTTGGAAACGGGTTTTCATCTTATAAACCCAGACAGAAGAATTCTCAGAGTCTTCTTTGTGATGTGTGCTTTCAACTCACCGAGATAAAGATTTCTCTTGATAGAGCAATTTGGAAACACTCTTTTTGTAGAATTTGCAAGGGTACATTGAGAGCGCTTTCAGGCCTATGGTAGAAAAGGGAATATCTTTCCATAAAAGGTAGACAGAAGCAATCTCAGAAACTACTTTGTGATGTGTGCATTCAACTCACCGAGTGCAACATTCCTCTTGATAGAGCAGTTTGGAAACATTGTTTCTGTAGAATCTGCAAGTGGATATATGGACCGCTTTGAGGCCTTCGTTGGAAACGGGATTTCTTCCTATAAACCCAGACAGAAGAATTCTCAGAGATTTCTTTGCGATGTGTGAATTCAACTCACAGTGTGGATCCTTCCTTTTGATAGAGCAGTTTTGAAACACCGTTTTTGTAGTATTTCCAAGCGGATATTTGGAACGCCTTGAAGCGTATGGTAGAAAAGGAAATATCTTCCCATAAAACCTAGACAGAACCCATCTCAGAAACGACTTTGTGATGTCTGCATTCAACTCACAGAGTTGAACATTTCTCTTGATAGAGCAGTTTTGAAACCCTCTTTCTGAAGGATCTGCAAGTGGATATTTGGAACTCCTTTGGGCCTTCGTTGGAAACGGGATTTCTTCGTATAAATCCAGACAGAAGAATTCTCCGAAACTTCTTTGGTTGTGTGCATTCAAGTCACAGAGTGGAACCTTCCTTTGGATAGAGCAGTTTGAAACGCTGTGGTTGTAGTATTTCCAAGCGGATATTAGAGCGCCTTGAAGCCTATGGTAGAAAAGGAAATATCTTCCCATAAAACCTAGACGGAAGCAATCTCAGAAACTACTGTGTGATGGCTGCATTCCACACACACGGTGGAACATTTCTCTTGATAGAGCAGTTTTGAAACACTCTTTCTGTAGAATCTGCAAGTGGATAATTGGACCGCCTTGAGGCCTTCGTTGGAAACGGGATTTCTTCATGTTACTCTAGACAGAAGAATTCTCAAACACTGCTATGTGATGTTTGCATTCAAGTCACAGAGTGCAACATTCCTCTTGATAGAGCAGTTGGGAAACACTCCTTTTGTAGAATTTGCAATGGGATATTTGGACTTCTTTGAGGCCTTCGTTGGAAACGGGATTTCTTCGTATGAATCTAGACAGAAGAATTCTCAGAAACTTCCTTGTGATGTGTGCATTCAACTCAGCGAGTGGCACCTTCCTTTGGATACAGCAGTTTTGAAACACTGTTTTTGTAGTATTTCCAAGCGGATATTTAGAGCGCCTTGAAGCCTATGCTAGAAATGGAAATATCTCCCCATAAAACCAAGACAGAAGCAATCTCAGAAACTAATGTGTGATGGCTGCATTCCACACACACGGTGGACCATTTCTCTTGATAGAGCAGTTTTGAAACACTCTTTCTGTAGAATCTGCAAGTGGATAATTGGACCTCCTAGAGGCCTTCGTTGGAAACGGGATTTCTTCATCTAAACCTACAGAGAAGAATTCTCAGTAACTTCTTCGGATGTGTGCATTCGACTCACAGAATGGAACATTCCCTTTGATAGAGCAGTTTTGAGACACCGTTTTTGTAGAATTCCCAAGTGGATATTTAGAGCACTTTGAAGTCTCTGCTAGAAAAGGAAACATCTTCATGTAAAAAGTAGATAGAATCGTTCTCAGAAAGTGCTTAGTGACGTGTGTGTTCAACTCACAGAGTTTAACGTTTCTTTTGATAGAGCGTTTCTGAAACACCCTGCTTGTAGTAGCTGCAAGTGGATATTTGGACCTATTTGAGGCCTTCTTTGGAAACGGGATTTCTTCATGTAACTCTAGTTTGAAGAATTTTCAGAAACTCCTTTGTGATGTGTGCATTCAATTCAAAGAGTGAAACCTCCCTTTTCACAGAGCAGTTTTGAAACACTGTTTTTGTAGGATTTCCAAGGGGATATTTATAGCGCATTGAGCCTACGGCAGAAAAAGAAACATCTTCCTATAAAAACTAGACAGAATAATTCTCAGAATCTGCTTTGCGATGTGTGCGTTCAACCCACAGAGTAAAACTTTTCTTTTGATAGAGCAGTTTTGAAACACTCTTTTTGTAGTATTTGCATGTGTATATTTAGAGCGCATTGAAGCCCACAGTAGAAAAGGAAATAACTTCACCTAAAACCTAGACAGAAGCAATCTCAGAAACTACTTTGTGATGTGTACATTCAACTCACCGAGTGGAACTTTCCTCTTTATAGAGCAGTGTTGAAAGACTCTTTTTGTAGAAACTGCAAGTGGATATTTGGACCTCTTTGAGGCCTTCGTTGGAAACGGGATTTCTTCCTATAACCCTAGACAGAAGAATTTTCAGAAACCTCATTGTGATGTGTGCGTTCATCTCACAGAGTGGAGTCTTCCGTTTGATAGAGAAGTTTTGAAACCCTGTTCTTGTAGGATTTCCAAGTGGATATTTAGACCACTTTGAAGCCTATGATAGAAAAGGAAACATCTTCATGGAAAACATAGATAGAATCATTCTCAGAAACAACTTTGTGATGTGTGCGTTGAACTCACCGTCTTTAACCTTTCTTTTGGTAGAGAAGTTTTGAAACACTCTCTTTGTAAAGTCTACAAGTGGATATTTTGAGCCCTTGGAGGCATTCTTTGGAAAAGGGAATGTCTTCACATAAAAGGCAGACAGAAGTGTTCTCAGAAACTGCTTTGTGATGTCTGTGTTCAACTCACAGAGTTTAACATTTCCTTTGAGAGAGCGGTTTAGTAACACTCTCTTTGTAGAATTTGGAAGTGTATACTAAGAGCGCTTTGAGGCCTATGGTAGAAAAGGAAATATCTTTCCATAAAAGCTAGACAGAAGCAATCTCAGAAACTCCTTTGTGATGTCTGCATTCAACTCACCGAGTGGAACATTCCTCTTGATAGAGCAGTTTGGAAACACTCTTTCTGTAGAATCAGCTTGTTTGTATTTGGACCTCCTTGAGGCCTTCGTTGGAAACGGGTTTTCATCTTATAAACCCAGACAGAAGAATTCTCAGAGTCTTCTTTGTGATGTGTGCTTTCAACTCACCGAGATAAAGATTTCTCTTGATAGAGCAATTTGGAAACACTCTTTTTGTAGAATTTGCAAGGGTACATTGAGAGCGCTTTCAGGCCTATGGTAGAAAAGGGAATATCTTTCCATAAAAGGTAGACAGAAGCAATCTCAGAAACTACTTTGTGATGTGTGCATTCAACCCACCGAGTGCAACATTCCTCTTGATAGAGCAGTTTGGAAACATTGTTTCTGTAGAATCTGCAAGTGGATATATGGACCGCTTTGAGGCCTTCGTTGGAAACGGGATTTCTTCCTATAAACCCAGACAGAAGAATTCTCAGAGACTTCTTTGTGATGTGTGAATTCAACTCACAGTGTGGATCCTTCCTTTTGATAGAGCAGTTTTGAAACACTGTTTTTGTAGTATTTCCAAGCGGATATTTGGAACGCCTTGGAGCGTATGGTAGAAAAGGAAATATCTTCCCATAAAACCTAGACAGAACCAATCTCAGAAATGACTTTGTGATGTCTGCATTCAACTCACAGAGTTGAACATTTCTCTTGATAGAGCAGTTTTGAAACCCTCTTTCTGAAGGATCTGCAAGTGGATATTTGGAACTCCTTTGGGTCTTCGTTGGAAACGGGATTTCTTCTTTAAATCTAGACAGAAGAATTCTCCGAAACTTCTTTGGTTGTGTGCATTCAAGTCACAGAGTGGAACCTTCCTTTGGATAGAGCAGTTTGAAACGCTCTGGTTGTAGTATTTCCAAGCGGATATTAGAGCGCCTTGAAGCCTATGGTAGAAAAGGAAATATCTTCCCATAAAACCTAGACGGAAGCAATCTCAGAAACTACTGTGTGATGGCTGCATTCCACACACACGGTGGAACATTTCTCTTGATAGAGCAGTTTTGAAACACTCTTTCTGTAGAATCTGTAAGTGGATAACTGGACCGCCTTGAGGCCTTCGTTGGAAACGGGATTTCTTCATGTTACTCTAGACAGAAGAATTCTCAAACACTGCTATGTGATGTTTGCATTCAAGTCACAGAGTGCAACATTCCTCTTGATAGAGCAGTTGGGAAACACTCCTTTTGTAGAATTTGCAATGGGATATTTGGACTTCTTTGAGGCCTTCGTTGGAAACGGGATTTCTTCGTATGAATCTAGACAGAAGAATTCTCAGAAACTTCCTTGTGATGTGTGCATTCAACTCAGCGAGTGGCACCTTCCTTTGGATACAGCAGTTTTGAAACACTGTTTTTGTACTATTTCCAAGCGGATATTTAGAGCGCCTTGAAGCCTATGCTAGAAATGGAAATATCTCCCCATAAAACCAAGACAGAAGCAATCTCAGAAACTAATGTGTGATGGCTGCATTCCACACACACGGTGGACCATTTCTCTTGATACAGCAGTTTTGAAACACTCTTTCTGTAGAATCTGCAAGTGGATAATTGGACCTCCTAGAGGACTTCGTTGGAAACGGGATTTCTTCATCTAAACCTACAGAGAAGAATTCTCAGTAACTTCTTCGGATGTGTGCATTCGACTCACAGAATGGAACATTCCGTTTGATAGAGCAGTTTTGAGACACCGTTTTTGTAGAATTCCCAAGTGGATATTTAGAGCACTTTGAAGTCTCTGCTAGAAAAGGAAACATCTTCATGTAAAAAGTAGATAGAATCGTTCTCAGAAAGTGGTTAGTGACGTGTGTGTTCAACTCACAGAGTTTAACGTTTCTTTTGATAGAGCGTTTCTGAAACACCCTGCTTGTAGTAGCTGCAAGTGGATATTTGGACCTATTTGAGGCCTTCTTTGGAAACGGGATTTCTTCATGTAACTCTAGTTTGAAGAATTTTCAGAAACTCCTTTGTGATGTGTGCATTCAATTCAAAGAGTGAAACCTCCCTTTTCACAGAGCAGTTTTGAAACACTGTTTTTGTAGGATTTCCAAGGGGATATTTATAGCGCATTGAGCCTACGGCAGAAAAAGAAACATCTTCCTATAAAAACTAGACAGAATAATTCTCAGAATCTGCTTTGCGATGTGTGCGTTCAACTCACAGAGTAAAACTTTTCTTTTGATAGAGCAGTTTTGAAACACTCTTTTTGTAGTATTTGCATGTGTATATTTAGAGCGCATTGAAGCCCACAGTAGAAAAGGAAATAACTTCACCTAAAACCTAGACAGGAAGCAATCTCAGAAACTACTTTGT
The DNA here is from genome assembly GCF_000001405.40 of Homo sapiens. Classification (NCBI taxonomy): domain Eukaryota; kingdom Metazoa; phylum Chordata; class Mammalia; order Primates; family Hominidae; genus Homo; species Homo sapiens. The sequence goes on from NC_000006.12 coordinate 59,457,974, forward strand.
GATGTGTACATTCAACTCACAGAGTGGAACTTTCCTCTTTATAGAGCAGTGTTGAAACACTCTTTTTGTAGAAACTGCAAGTGGATATTTGGACCTCTTTGAGGCCTTCGTTGGAAACGGGATTTCTTCCTATAACCCTAGACAGAAGAATTTTCAGAAACCTCATTGTGATGTGTGCGTTCATCTCACAGAGTGGAGTCTTCCGTTTCATAGAGAAGTTTTGAAACCCTGTTCTTGTAGGATTTCCAAGTGGATATTTAGACCACTTTGAAGCCTATGATAGAAAAGGAAACATCTTCATGGAAAACATAGATAGAATCATTCTCAGAAACAACTTTGTGATGTGTGCGTTGAACTCACCGTCTTTAACCTTTCTTTTGGTAGAGAAGTTTTGAAACACTCTCTTTGTAAAGTCTACAAGTGGATATTTTGAGCCCTTGGAGGCATTCTTTGGAAAAGGGAATGTCTTCACATAAAAGGCAGACAGAAGTGTTCTCAGAAACTGCTTTGTGATGTCTGTGTTCAACTCACAGAGTTTAACATTTCCTTTGAGAGAGCGGTTTAGTAACACTCTCTTTGTAGAATTTGGAAGTGTATACTAAGAGCGCTTTGAGGCCTATGGTAGAAAAGGAAATATCTTTCCATAAAAGCTAGACAGAAGCAATCTCAGAAACTCCTTTGTGATGTCTGCATTCAACTCACCGAGTGGAACATTCCTCTTGATAGAGCAGTTTGGAAACACTCTTTCTGTAGAATCAGCTTGTTTGTATTTGGACCTCCTTGAGGCCTTCGTTGGAAACGGGTTTTCATCTTATAAACCCAGACAGAAGAATTCTCAGAGTCTTCTTTGTGATGTGTGCTTTCAACTCACCGAGATAAAGATTTCTCTTGATAGAGCAATTTGGAAACACTCTTTTTGTAGAATTTGCAAGGGTACATTGAGAGCGCTTTCAGTCCTACGGTAGAAAAGGGAATATCTTTCCATAAAAGGTAGACAGAAGCAATCTCAGAAACTACTTTGTGATGTGTGCATTCAACTCACCGAGTGCAACATTCCTCTTGACCGAGCAGTTTGGAAACATTGTTTCTGTAGAATCTGCAAGTGGATATATGGACCGCTTTGAGGCCTTCGTTGGAAACGGGATTTCTTCCTATAAACCCAGACAGAAGAATTCTCAGAGACTTCTTTGTGATGTGTGAATTCAACTCACAGTGTGGATCCTTCCTTTTGATAGAGCAGTTTTGAAACACTGTTTTTGTAGTATTTCCAAGCGGATATTTGGAACGCCTTGAAGCGTATGGTAGAAAAGGAAATATCTTCCCATAAAACCTAGACAGAACCCATCTCAGAAACGACTTTGTGATGTCTGCATTCAACTCACAGAGTTGAACATTTCTCTTGATAGAGCAGTTTTGAAACCCTCTTTCTGAAGGATCTGCAAGTGGATATTTGGAACTCCTTTGGGTCTTCGTTGGAAACGCGATTTCTTCGTATAAATCTAGACAGAAGAATTCTCCGAAACTTCTTTGGTTGTGTGCATTCAAGTCACAGAGTGGAACCTTCCTTTGGATAGAGCAGTTTGAAACGCTGTGGTTGTAGTATTTCCAAGCGGATATTAGAGCGCCTTGAGGCCTATGGTAGAAAAGGAAATATCTTCCCATAAAACCTAGACGGAAGCAATCTCAGAAACTACTGTGTGATGGCTGCATTCCCCACACACGGTGGAACATTTCTCTTGATAGAGCAGTTTTGAAACACTCTTTCTGTAGAATCTGCAAGTGGATAATTGGACCGCCTTGAGGCCTTCGTTGGAAACGGGATTTCTTCATGTTACTCTAGACAGAAGAATTCTCAAACACTGCTATGTGATGTTTGCATGCAAGTCACAGAGTGCAACATTCCTCTTGATAGAGCAGTTGGGAAACACTCCTTTTGTAGAATTTGCAATGGGATATTTGGACTTCTTTGAGGCCTTCGTTGGAAACGGGATTTCTTCGTATGAATCTAGACAGAAGAATTCTCAGAAACTTCCTTGTGATGTGTGCATTCAACTCAGCGAGTGGCACCTTCCTTTGGATACAGCAGTTTTGAAACACTGTTTTTGTAGTATTTCCAAGCGGATATTTAGAGCGCCTTGAAGCCTATGCTAGAAATGGAAATATCTCCCCATAAAACCAAGACAGAAACAATCTCAGAAACTAATGTGTGATGGCTGCATTCCACACACACGGTGGACCATTTCTCTTGATAGAGCAGTTTTGAAACACTCTTTCTGTAGAATCTGCAAGTGGATAATTGGACCTCCTAGAGGCCCTTCGTTGGAAACGGGATTTCTTCATCTAAACCTACAGAGAAGAATTCTCAGTAACTTCTTCGGATGTGTGCATTCGACTCACAGAATGGAACATTCCCTTTGGTAGAGCAGTTTTGAGACACCGTTTTTGTAGAATTCCCAAGTGGATATTTAGAGCACTTTGAAGTCTCTGCTAGAAAAGGAAACATCTTCATGTAAAAAGTAGATAGAATCGTTCTCAGAAAGTGCTTAGTGACGTGTGCGTTCAACTCACAGAGTTTAACGTTTCTTTTGATAGAGCGTTTCTGAAACACCCTTCTTGTAGTAGCTGCAAGTGGATATTTGGACCTATTTGAGGCCTTCTTTGGAAACGGGATTTCTTCATGTAACTCTAGTTTGAAGAATTTTCAGAAACTCCTTTGTGATGTGTGCATTCAATTCAAAGAGTGAAACGTCCCTTTTCACAGAGCAGTTTTGAAACACTGTTTTTGTAGGATTTCCAAGGGGATATTTATAGCGCATTGAGCCTACGGCAGAAAAAGAAACATCTTCCTATAAAAACTAGACAGAATAATTCTCAGAATCTGCTTTGCGATGTGTGCGTTCAACCCACAGAGTAAAACTTTTCTTTTGATAGAGCAGTTTTGAAACACTCTTTTTGTAGTATTTGCATGTGTATATTTAGAGCGCATTGAAGCCCAAAGTAGAAAAGGAAATAACTTCACCTAAAACCTAGACAGAAGCAATCTCAGAAACTACTTTGTGATGTGTACATTCAACTCACAGAGTGGAACGTTCCCCTTTACAGAGCAGTGTTGAAACACTCTTTTTGTAGAAACTGCAGGTGGATATTTGGAACTCTTTGAGGCCTTCGTTGGAAACGGGATTTCTTCCTATAACCCTAGACAGAAGAATTTTCAGAAACCTCATTGTGATGTGTGCGTTCATCTCACAGAGTGGAGTCTTCCGTTTGATAGAGAAGTTTTGAAACCCTGTTCTTGTAGGATTTCCAAGTGGATATTTAGACCACTTTGAAGCCTATGATAGAAAAGGAAACATCTTCATGGAAACATAGATAGAATCATTCTCAGAAACAACTTTGTGATGTGTGCGTTGAACTCACCGTCTTTAACCTTTCTTTTGGTAGAGAAGTTTTGAAACACTCTCTTTGTAAAGTCTACGAGTGGATATTTTGAGCCCTTGGAGGCATTCTTTGGAAAAGGGAATGTCTTCACATAAAAGGCAGACAGAAGTGTTCTCAGAAACTGCTTTGTGATGTCTGTGTTCAACTCACAGAGTTTAACATTTCCTTTGAGAGAGCGGTTTAGTAACACTCTCTTTGTAGAATTTGGAAGTGTATACTAAGAGCGCTTTGAGGCCTATGGTAGAAAAGGAAATATCTTTCCATAAAAGCTAGACAGAAGCAATCTCAGAAACTCCTTTGTGATGTCTGCATTCAACTCACCGAGTGGAACATTCCTCTTGATAGAGCAGTTTGGAAACACTCTTTCTGTAGAATCAGCTTGTTTGTATTTGGACCTCCCTTGAGGCCTTCGTTGGAAACGGGTTTTCATCTTATAAACCCAGACAGAAGAATTCTCAGAGTCTTCTTTGTGATGTGTGCTTTCAACTCACCGAGATAAAGATTTCTCTTGATAGAGCAATTTGGAAACACTCTTTTTGTAGAATTTGCAAGGGTACATTGAGAGCGCTTTCAGGCCTATGGTAGAAAAGGGAATATCTTTCCATAAAAGGTAGACAGAAGCAATCTCAGAAACTACTTTGTGATGTGTGCATTCAACTCACCGAGTGCAACGTTCCTCTTGACAGAGCAGTTTGGAAACATTGTTTCTGTAGAATCTGCAAGTGGATATTTGGACCTCTTTGAGGCCTTCGTTGGAAATGGGATTTCTTCCTATAAACCCAGACAGAAGAATTCTCAGAGACTTCTTTGTGATGTGTGAATTCAACTCACAGTGTGGATCCTTCCTTTTGATAGAGCAGTTTTGAAACACTGTTTTTGTAGTATTTCCAAGCAGATATTTGGAACGCCTTGAAGCGTATGGTAGAAAAGGAAATATCTTCCCATAAAACCTAGACAGAACCAATCTCAGAAACGACTTTGTGATGTCTGCATTCAACTCACAGAGTTGAACATTTCTCTTGATAGAGCAGTTTTGAAACCCTCTTTCTGAAGGATCTGCAAGTGGATATTTGGAACTCCTTTGGGTCTTCGTTGGAAACGGGATTTCTTCGTATAAATCTAGACAGAAGAATTCTCCGAAACTTCTTTGGTTGTGTGCATTCAAGTCACAGAGTGGAACCTTCCTTTGGATAGAGCAGTTTGAAATGCTGTGGTTGTAGTATTTCCAAGCGGATATTAGAGCGCCTTGAGGCCTATGGTAGAAAAGGAAATATCTTCCCATAAAACCTAGACGGAAGCAATCTCAGAAACTACTGTGTGATGGCTGCATTCCACACACACGGTGGAACATTTCTCTTGATAGAGCAGTTTTGAAACACTCTTTCTGTAGAATCTGCAAGTGGATAATTGGACCGCCTTGAGGCCTTCGTTGGAAACGGGATTTCTTCATGTTACTCTAGACAGAAGAATTCTCAAACACTGCTATGTGATGTTTGCATTCAAGTCACAGAGTGCAACATTCCTCTTGATAGAGCAGTTGGGAAATACTCCTTTTGTAGAATTTGCAATGGGATATTTGGACTTCTTTGAGGCCTTCGTTGGAAACGGGATTTCTTCGTATGAATCTAGACAGAAGAATTCTCAGAAACTTCCTTGTGATGTGTGCATTCAACTCAGCGAGTGGCACCTTCCTTTGGATACAGCAGTTTTGAAACACTGTTTTTGTACTATTTCCAAGCGGATATTTAGAGCGCCTTGAAGCCTATGCTAGAAATGGAAATATCTCCCCATAAAACCAAGACAGAAGCAATCTCAGAAACTAATGTGTGATGGCTGCATTCCACACACACGGTGGACCATTTCTCTTGATAGAGCAGTTTTGAAACACTCTTTCTGTAGAATCTGCAAGTGGATAATTGGACCTCCTAGAGGCCTTCGTTGGAAACGGGATTTCTTCATCTAAACCTACAGAGAAGAATTCTCAGTAACTTCTTCGGATGTGTGCATTCGACACACAGAATGGAACATTCCGTTTGATAGAGCAGTTTTGAGACACCGTTTTTGTAGAATTCCCAAGTGGATATTTAGAGCACTTTGAAGTCTCTGCTAGAAAAGGAAACATCTTCATGTAAAAAGTAGATAGAATCGTTCTCAGAAAGTGCTTAGTGACGTGTGCGTTCAACTCACAGAGTGTAACGTTTCTTTTGATAGAGCGTTCCTGAAACACCCTTCTTGTAGTAGCTGCAAGTGGATATTTGGACCTATTTGAGGCCTTCTTTGGAAACGGGATTTCTTCATGTAACTCTAGATTGAAGAATTTTCAGAAACTCCTTTGTGATGTGTGCATTCAATTCAAAGAGTGAAACTTCCCTTTCCACAGAGCAGTTTTGAAACACTGTTTTTGTAGGATTTCCAAGGGGATATTTATAGCGCATTGATCCTATGGCAGAAAAAGAAACATCTTCCTATAAAAACTAGACAGAATAATTCTCAGAATCTGCTTTGCGATGTGTGCGTTCAACCCACAGAGTAAAACTTTTCTTTTGATAGAGCAGTTTTGAAACACTCTTTTTGTAGTATTTGCATGTGTATATTTAGAGCGCATTGAAGCCCAAAGTAGAAAAGGAAATAACTTCACCTAAAACCTAGACAGAAGCAATCTCAGAAACTACTTTGTGATGTGTACATTCAACTCACAGAGTGGAACTTTCCTCTTTATAGAGCAGTGTTGAAACACTCTTTTTGTAGAAACTGCAAGTGGATATTTGGACCTCTTTGAGGCCTTCGTTGGAAACGGGATTTCTTCCTATAACCCTAGACAGAAGAATTTTCAGAAACCTCATTGTGATGTGTGCGTTCATCTCACAGAGTGGAGTGTTCCGTTTGATAGAGAAGTTTTGAAACCCTGTTCTTGTAGGATTTCCAAGTGGATATTTAGACCACTTTGAAGCCTATGATAGAAAAGGAAACATCTTCATGGAAAACATAGATAGAATCATTCTCAGAAACAACTTTGTGATGTGTGCGTTGAACTCACCGTCTTTAACCTTTCTTTTGGTAGAGAAGTTTTGAAACACTCTCTTTGTAAAGTCTACAAGTGGATATTTTGAGCCCTTGGAGGCATTCTTTGGAAAAGGGAATGTCTTCACATAAAAGGCAGATAGAAGTGTTCTCAGAAACTGCTTTGTGATGTCTGTGTTCAACTAACAGAGTGTAACATTTCCTTTGAGAGAGCGGTTTAGTAACACTCTCTTTGTAGAATTTGGAAGTGTATACTAAGAGCGCTTTGAGGCCTATGGTAGAAAAGGAAATATCTTTCCATAAAAGCTAGACAGAAGCAATCTCAGAAACTCCTTTGTGATGTCTGCATTCAACTCACCGAGTGGAACATTCCTCTTGATAGAGCAGTTTGGAAACACTCTTTCTGTAGAATCAGCTTGTTTGTATTTGGACCTCCTTGAGGCCTTCGTTGGAAACGGGTTTTCATCTTATAAACCCAGACAGAAGAATTCTCAGAGTCTTCTTTGTGATGTGTGCTTTCAACTCACTGAGATAAAGATTTCTCTTGATAGAGCAATTTGGAAACACTCTTTTTGTAGAATTTGCAAGGGTACATTGAGAGCGCTTTCAGGCCTATGGTAGAAAAGGGAATATCTTTCCATCAAAGGTAGACAGAAGCAATCTCAGAAACTACTTTGTGATGTGTGCATTCAACTCACCGAGTGCAACATTCCTCTTGATAGAGCAGTTTGGAAACATTGTTTCTGTAGAATCTGCAAGTGGATATATGGACCGCTTTGAGGCCTTCGTTGGAAACGGGATTTCTTCCTATAAACCCAGACAGAAGAATTCTCAGAGATTTCTTTGTGATGTGTGAATTCAACTCACAGTGTGGATCCTTCCTTTTGATAGAGCAGTTTTGAAACACCGTTTTTGTAGTATTTCCAAGCGGATATTTGGAACGCCTTGAAGCGTATGGTAGAAAAGGAAATATCTTCCCATAAAACCTAGACAGAACCAATCTCAGAAACGACTTTTTGATGTCTGCATTCAACTCACAGAGTTGAACATTTCTCTTGATAGAGCAGCTTTGAAACCCTCTTTCTGAAGGATCTGCAAGTGGATATTTGGAACTCCTTTAGGTCCTTCGTTGGAAACGGGATTTCCTTCGTATAAAACCAGACAGAAGAATTCTCCGAAACTTCTTTGGTTGTGTGTATTCAAGTCACAGAGTGGAACCTTCCTTTGGATAGAGCAGTTTGAAACGCTGTGGTTGTAGTATTTCCAAGCGGATATTAGAGCGCCTTGAGGCCTATGGTAGAAAAGGAAATATCTTCCCATAAAACCTAGACGGAAGCAATCTCAGAAACTACTGTGTGATGGCTGCATTCCACACACACGGTGGAACATTTCTCTTGATAGAGCAGTTTTGAAACACTCTTTCTGTAGAATCTGCAAGTGGATAATTGGACCGTCTTGAGGCCTTCGTTGGAAACGGGATTTCTTCATGTTACTCTAGACAGAAGAATTCTCAAACACTGCTATGTGATGTTTGCATGCAAGTCACAGAGTGCAACATTCCTCTTGATAGAGCAGTTGGGAAACACTCCTTTTGTAGAATTTGCAATGGGATATTTGGACTTCTTTGAGGCCTTCGTTGGAAACGGGATTTCTTCGTATGAATCTAGACAGAAGAATTCTCAGAAACTTCCTTGTGATGTGTGCATTCAACTCAGCGAGTGGCACCTTCCTTTGGATACAGCAGTTTTGAAACACTGTTTTTGTAGTATTTCCAAGCGGATATTTAGAGCGCCTTGAAGCCTATGCTAGAAATGGAAATATCTCCCCATAAAACCAAGACAGAAGCAATCTCAGAAACTAATGTGTGATGGCTGCATTCCACACACACGGTGGACCATTTCTCTTGATAGAGCAGTTTTGAAACACTCTTTGTGTAGAATCTGCAAGTGGATAATTGGACCTCCTAGAGGCCTTCGTTGGAAACGGGATTTCTTCATCTAAACCTACAGAGAAGAATTCTCAGTAACTTCTTCGGATGTGTGCATTCGACTCACAGAATGGAACATTCCCTTTGATAGAGCAGTTTTGAGACACCGTTTTTGTAGAATTCCCAAGTGGATATTTAGAGCACTTTGAAGTCTCTGCTAGAAAAGGAAACATCTTCATGTAAAAAGTAGATAGAATCGTTCTCAGAAAGTGCTTAGTGACGTGTGTGTTCAACTCACAGAGTTTAACATTTCTTTTGATAGAGCGTTTCTGAAACACCCTTCTTGTAGTAGCTGCAAGTGGATATTTGGACCTATTTGAGGCCTTCTTTGGAAACGGGATTTCTTCATGTAACTCTAGATAGAAGGATTTTCAGAAACTCCTTTGTGATGTGTGCATTCAATTCAAAGAGTGAAACCTCCCTTTTCACAGAGCAGTTTTGAAACACTGTTTTTGTAGGATTTCCAAGGGGATATTTATAGCGCATTGAGCCTACGGCAGAAAAAGAAACATCTTCCTATAAAAACTAGACAGAATAATTCTCAGAATCTGCTTTGCGATGTGTGCGTTCAACTCACAGAGTAAAACTTTTCTTTTGATAGAGCAGTTTTGAAACACTCTTTTTGTAGTATTTGCATGTGTATATTTAGAGCGCATTGAAGCCCACAGTAGAAAAGGAAATAACTTCACCTAAAACCTAGACAGAAGCAATCTCAGAAACTACTTTGTGATGTGTACATTCAACCTCACAGAGTGGAACTTTCCTCTTTATAGAGCAGTGTTGAAACACTCTTTTTGTAGAAACTGCAAGTGGATATTTGGACCTCTTTGAGGCCTTCGTTGGAAACGGGATTTCTTCCTATAACCCTAGACAGAAGAATTTTCAGAAACCTCATTGTGATGTGTGCGTTCATCTCACAGAGTGGAGTCTTCCGTTTGATAGAGAAGTTTTGAAACCCTGTTCTTGTAGGATTTCCAAGTGGATATTTAGACCACTTTGAAGCCTATGATAGAAAAGGAAACATCTTCATGGAAAACATAGATAGAATCATTCTCAGAAACAACTTTGTGATGTGTGCGTTGAACTCACCGTCTTTAACCTTTCTTTTGGTAGAGAAGTTTTGAAACACTCTCTTTGTAAAGTCTACAAGTGGATATTTTGAGCCCTTGGAGGCATTCTTTGGAAAAGGGAATGTCTTCACATAAAAGGCAGACAGAAGTGTTCTCAGAAACTGCTTTGTGATGTCTGTGTTCAACTCACAGAGTTTAACATTTCCTTTGAGAGAGCGGTTTAGTAACACTCTCTTTGTAGAATTTGGAAGTGTATACTAAGAGCGCTTTGAGGCCTATGGTAGAAAAGGAAATATCTTTCCATAAAAGCTAGACAGAAGCAATCTCAGAAACTCCTTTGTGATGTCTGCATTCAACTCACCGAGTGGAACATTCCTCTTGATAGAGCAGTTTGGAAACACTCTTTCTGTAGAATCAGCTTGTTTGTATTTGGACCTCCTTGAGGCCTTCGTTGGAAACGGGTTTTCATCTTATAAACCCAGACAGAAGAATTCTCAGAGTCTTCTTTGTGATGTGTGCTTTCAACTCACCGAGATAAAGATTTCTCTTGATAGAGCAATTTGGAAACACTCTTTTTGTAGAATTTGCAAGGGTACATTGAGAGCGCTTTCAGGCCTATGGTAGAAAAGGGAATATCTTTCCATAAAAGGTAGACAGAAGCAATCTCAGAAACTACTTTGTCATGTGTGCATTCAACTCACCGAGTGCAACATTCCTCTTGACCGAGCAGTTTGGAAACATTGTTTCTGTAGAATCTGCAAGTGGATATATGGACCGCTTTGAGGCCTTCGTTGGAAACGGGATTTCTTCCTATAAACCCAGACAGAAGAATTCTCAGAGATTTCTTTGTGATGTGTGAATTCAACTCACAGTGTGGATCCTTCCTTTTGATAGAGCAGTTTTGAAACACTGTTTTTGTAGTATTTCCAAGCAGATATTTGGAACGCCTTGAAGCGTATAGTAGAAAAGGAAATATCTTCCCATAAAACCTAGACAGAACCAATCTCAGAAACGACTTTGTGATGTCTGCATTCAACTCACAGAGTTGAACATTTCTCTTGATAGAGCAGTTTTGAAACCCTCTTTCTGAAGGATCTGCAAGTGGATATTTGGAACTCCTTTGGGTCTTCGTTGGAAACGGGATTTCTTCGTACAAATCCAGACAGAAGAATTCTCCGAAACTTCTTTGGTTGTGTGCATTCAAGTCACAGAGTGGAACCTTCCTTTGGATAGAGCAGTTTGAAACGCTGTGGTTGTAGTATTTCCAAGCGGATATTAGAGCGCCTTGAAGCCTATGGTAGAAAAGGAAATATCTTCCCATAAAACCTAGACGGAAGCAATCTCAGAAACTACTGTGTGATGACTGCATTCCACACGCACGGTGGAACATTTCTCTTCATAGAGCAGTTTTGAAACACTCTTTCTGTAGAATCTGCAAGTGGATAATTGGACGGCCTTGAGGCCTTCGTTGGAAACGGGATTTCTTCATGTTACTCTAGACAGAAGAATTCTCAAACACTGCTATGTGATGTTTGCATTCAAGTCACAGAGTGCAACATTCCTCTTGATAGAGCAGTTGGGAAACACTCCTTTTGTAGAATTTGCAATGGGATATTTGGACTTCTTTGAGGCCTTCGTTGGAAACGGGATTTCTTCGTATGAATCTAGACAGAAGAATTCTCAGAAACTTCCTTGTGATGTGTGCATTCAACTCAGCGAGTGGCACCTTCCTTTGGATACAGCAGTTTTGAAACACTGTTTTTGTACTATTTCCAAGCGGATATTTAGAGCGCCTTGAAGCCTATGCTAGAAATGGAAATATCTCCCCATAAAACCAAGACAGAAGCAATCTCAGAAACTAATGTGTGATGGCTGCATTCCACACACACGGTGGACCATTTCTCTTGATAGAGCAGTTTTGAAACACTCTTTCTGTAGAATCTGCAAGTGGATAATTGGACCTCCTAGAGGCCTTCGTTGGAAACGGGATTTCTTCATCTAAACCTACAGAGAAGAATTCTCAGTAACTTCTTCGGATGTGTGCATTCGACTCACAGAATGGAACATTCCCTTTGATAGAGCAGTTTTGAGACACGGTTTTTGTAGAATTCCCAAGTGGATATTTAGAGCACTTTGAAGTCTCTGCTAGAAAAGGAAACATCTTCATGTAAAAAGTAGATAGAATCGTTCTCAGAAAGTGCTTAGTGACGTGTGCGTTCAACTCACAGAGTTTAACGTTTCTTTTGATAGAGCGTTTCTGAAACACCCTTCTTGTAGTAGCTGCAAGTGGATATTTGGACCTATTTGAGGCCTTCTTTGGAAACGGGATTTCTTCATGTAACTCTAGATTGAAGAATTTTCAGAAACTCCTTTGTGATGTGTGCATTCAATTCAAAGAGTGAAACCTCCCTTTTCACAGAGCAGTTTTGAAACACTGTTTTTGTAGGATTTCCAAGGGGATATATATAGCGCATTGAGCCTACGGCAGAAAAAGAAACATCTTCCTATAAAAACTAGACAGAATAATTCTCAGAATCTGCTTTGCGATGTGTGCGTTCAACTCACAGAGTAAAACTTTTCTTTTGATAGAGCAGTTTTGAAACACTCTTTTTGTAGTATTTGCATGTGTATATTTAGAGCGCATTGAAGCCCACAGTAGAAAAGGAAATAACTTCACCTAAAACCTAGACAGAAGCAATCTCAGAAACTACTTTGTGATGTGTACATTCAACTCACAGAGTGGAACTTTCCTCTTTATAGAGCAGTGTTGAAACACTCTTTTTGTAGAAACTGCAAGTGGATATTTGGACCTCTTTGAGGCCTTCGTTGGAAACGGGATTTCTTCCTATAACCCTAGACAGAAGAATTTTCAGAAACCTCATTGTGATGTGTGCGTTCATCTCACAGAGTGGAGTCTTCCGTTTGATAGAGAAGTTTTGAAACCCTGTTCTTGTAGGATTTCCAAGTGGATATTTAGACCACTTTGAAGCCTATGATAGAAAAGGAAACATCTTCATGGAAAACATAGATAGAATCATTCTCAGAAACAACTTTGTGATGTGTGCGTTGAACTCACCGTCTTTAACCTTTCTTTTGGTAGAGAAGTTTTGAAACACTCTCTTTGTAAAGTCTACAAGTGGATATTTTGAGCCCTTGGAGGCATTCTTTGGAAAAGGGAATGTCTTCACATAAAAGGCAGACAGAAGTGTTCTCAGAAACTGCTTTGTGATGTCTGTGTTCAACACACAGAGTTTAACATTTCCTTTGAGAGAGCGGTTTAGTAACACTCTCTTTGTAGAATTTGGAAGTGTATACTAAGAGCGCTTTGAGGCCTATGGTAGAAAAGGAAATATCTTTCCATAAAAGCTAGACAGAAGCAATCCCAGAAACTCCTTTGTGATGTCTGCATTCAACTCACCGAGTGGAACATTCCTCTTGATAGAGCAGTTTGGAAACACTCTTTCTGTAGAATCAGCTTGTTTGTATTTGGACCTCCTTGAGGCCTTCGTTGGAAACGGGTTTTCATCTTATAAACCCAGACAGAAGAATTCTCAGAGTCTTCTTTGTGATGTGTGCTTTCAACTCACCGAGATAAAGATTTCTCTTGATAGAGCAATTTGGAAACACTCTTTTTGTAGAATTTGCAAGGGTACATTGAGAGCGCTTTCAGGCCTATGGTAGAAAAGGGAATATCTTTCCATAAAAGGTAGACAGAAGCAATCTCAGAAACTACTTTGTCATGTGTGCATTCAACTCACCGAGTGCAACATTCCTCTTGATAGAGCAGTTTGGAAACATTGTTTCTGTAGAATCTGCAAGTGGATATATGGACCGCTTTGAGGCCTTCGTTGGAAACGGGATTTCTTCCTATAAACCCAGACAGAAGAATTCTCAGAGACTTCTTTGTGATGTGTGAATTCAACTCACAGTGTGGTTCCTTCCTTTTGATAGAGCAGTTTCGAAACACTGTTTTTGTAGTATTTCCAAGCGGATATTTGGAACGCCTTGAAGCGTATGGTAGAAAAGGAAATATCTTCCCATAAAACCTAGACAGAACCAATCTCAGAAACGACTTTGTGATGTCTGCATTCAACTCACAGAGTTGAACATTTCTCTTGATAGAGCAGTTTTGATACCCTCTTTCTGAAAGATCTGCAAGGGGATATTTGGAACTCCTTTGGGTCTTCGTTGGAAACGGGATTTCTTCGTATAAATCTAGACAGAAGAATTCTCCGAAACTTCTTTTGTTGTGTGCATTCAAGTCACAGGGTGGAACCTTCCTTTGGGTAGAGCAGATTGAAACGCTGTGGTTGTAGTATTTCCAAGCGGATATTAGAGCGCCTTGAGGCCTATGGTAGAAAAGGAAATATCTTCCCATAAAACCTAGACGGAAGCAATCTCAGAAACTACTTTGTGATGGCTGCATTCCACACACACGGTGGAACATTTCTCTTGATAGAGCAGTTTTGAAAGACTCTTTCTGTAGAATCTGCAAGTGGATAATTGGACCGCCTTGAGGCCTTCGTTGGAAACGGGATTTCTTCATGTTACTCTAGATAGAAGAATTCTCAAACACTACTATGTGATGTTTGCATTCAAGTCACAGAGTGCAACATTCCTCTTGATAGAGCAGTTGGCAAAGACTCCTTTGTAGAATTTGCAATGGGATATTTGGACTTTTTCGAGGCCTTCGTTGGAAACGGGATTTCTTCGTATAAATCTAGACAGAAGAATTCTCAGAAACTTCTTTGTGATGTGTGCATTCAACTCAGCGAGTGGCACCTTCCTTTGGATACAGCAGTTTTGAAACACTGTTTTTGTAGTATTTCCAAGCGGATATTTAGAGCGCCTTGAAGCCTACGCTAGAAATGGTAATATCTCCCCATAAAACCAAGACAGAAGCAATCTCAGAAACTAATGTGTGATGGCTGCATTCCACACACACGGTGGACCATTTCTCTTGATAGAGCAGTTTTGAAACACTCTTTCTGTAGAATCTGCAAGTGGATAATTGGACCTCCTAGAGGCCTTCGTTGGAAACGGGATTTCTTCATCTAAACCTACAGAGAAGAATTCTCAGTAACTTCTTCGGATGTGTGCATTCGACTCACAGAATGGAACATTCCGTTTGATAGAGCAGTTTTGAGACACCGTTTTTGTAGAATTCCCAAGTGGATATTTAGAGCACTTTGAAGTCTCTGCTAGAAAAGGAAACATCTTCATGTAAAAAGTAGATAGAATCGTTCTCAGAAAGTGCTTAGTGACGTGTGCGTTCAACTCACAGAGTTTAACGTTTCTTTTGATAGAGCGTTTCTGAAACACCCTTCTTGTAGTAGCTGCAAGTGGATATTTGGACCTATTTGAGGCCTTCTTTGGAAACGGGATTTCTTCATGTAACTCTAGTTTGAAGAATTTTCAGAAACTCCTTTGTGATGTGTGCATTCAATTCAAAGAGTGAAACCTCCCTTTTCACAGAGCAATTTTGAAACACTGTTTTTGTAGGATTTCCAAGGGGATATTTATAGCGCATTGAGCCTACGGCAGAAAAAGAAACATCTTCCTATAAAAACTAGACAGAATAATTCTCAGGAATCTGCTTTGCGATGTGTGCGTTCAACTCACAGAGTAAAACTTTTCTTTTGATAGAGCAGTTTTGAAACACTCTTTTTGTAGTATTTGCATGTGTATATTTAGAGCGCATTGAAGCCCACAGTAGAAAAGGAAATAACTTCACCTAAAACCTAGACAGAAGCAATCTCAGAAACTACTTTGTGATGTGTACATTCAACTCACAGAGTGGAACTTTCCTCTTTATAGAGCAGTGTTGAAACACTCTTTTTGTAGAAACTGCAAGTGGATATTTGGACCTCTTTGAGGCCTTCGTTGGAAACGGGATTTCTTCCTATAACCCTAGACAGAAGAATTTTCAGAAACCTCATTGTGATGTGTGCGTTCATCTCACAGAGTGGAGTCTTCCGTTTCATAGAGAAGTTTTGAAACCCTGTTCTTGTAGGATTTCCAAGTGGATATTTAGACCACTTTGAAGCCTATGATAGAAAAGGAAACATCTTCATGGAAAACATAGATAGAATCATTCTCAGAAACAACTTTGTGATGTGTGCGTTGAACTCACCGTCTTTAACCTTTCTTTTGGTAGAGAAGTTTTGAAACACTCTCTTTGTAAAGTCTACAAGTGGATATTTTGAGCCCTTGGAGGCATTCTTTGGAAAAGGGAATGTCTTCACATAAAAGGCAGACAGAAGTGTTCTCAGAAACTGCTTTGTGATGTCTGTGTTCAACTCACAGAGTTTAACATTTCCTTTGAGAGAGCGGTTTAGTAACACTCTCTTTGTAGAATTTGGAAGTGTATACTAAGAGCGCTTTGAGGCCTATGGTAGAAAAGGAATTATCTTTCCATAAAAGCTAGACAGAAGCAATCTCAGAAACTCCTTTGTGATGTCTGCATTCAACTCACCGAGTGGAACATTCCTCTTGATAGAGCAGTTTGGAAACACTCTTTCTGTAGAATCAGCTTGTTTGTATTTGGACCTCCTTGAGGCCTTCGTTGGAAACGGGTTTTCATCTTATAAACCCAGACAGAAGAATTCTCAGAGTCTTCTTTGTGATGTGTGCTTTCAACTCACCGAGATAAAGATTTCTCTTGATAGAGCAATTTAGAAACACTCTTTTTGTAGAATTTGCAAGGGTACATTGAGAGCGCTTTCAGGCGTATGGTAGAAAAGGGAATATCTTTCCATAAAAGGTAGACAGAAGCAATCTCAGAAACTACTTTGTGATGTGTGCATTCAACTCACCGAGTGCAACATTCCTCTTGATAGAGCAGTTTGGAAACATTGTTTCTGTAGAATCTGCAAGTGGATATATGGACCGCTTTGAGGCCTTCGTTGGAAACGGGATTTCTTCCTATAAACCCAGACAGAAGAATTCTCAGAGATTTCTTTGTGATGTGTGAATTCAACTCACAGTGTGGATCCTTCCTTTTGATAGAGCAGTTTTGAAACACCGTTTTTGTAGTATTTCCAAGCGGATATTTGGAACGCCTTGAAGCGTATGGTAGAAAAGGAAATATCTTCCCATAAAACCTAGACAGAACCCATCTCAGAAACGACTTTGTGATGTCTGCATTCAACTCACAGAGTTGAACATTTCTCTTGATAGAGCAGTTTTGAAACCCTCTTTCTGAAGGATCTGCAAGTGGATATTTGGAACTCCTTTGGGTCTTCGTTGGAAACGGGATTTCTTCGTATAAATCCAGACAGAAGAATTCTCCGAAACTTCTTTGGTTGTGTGCATTCAAGTCACAGAGTGGAACCTTCCTTTGGATAGAGCAGTTTGAAACGCTCTGGTTGTAGTATTTCCAAGCGGATATTAGAGCGCCTTGAAGCCTGTGGTAGAAAAGGAAATATCTTCCCATAAAACCTAGACGGAAGCAATCTCAGTAAACTACTGTGTGATGGCTGCATTCCACACACACGGTGGAACATTTCTCTTGATAGAGCAGTTTTGAAACACTCTTTCTGTAGAATCTGCAAGTGGATAATTGGACCGCCTTGAGGCCTTCGTTGGAAACGGGATTTCTTCATGTTACTCTAGACAGAAGAATTCTCAAACACTGCTATGTGATGTTTGCATTCAAGTCACAGAGTGCAACATTCCTCTTGATAGAGCAGTTGGGAAACACTCCTTTTGTAGAATTTGCAATGGGATATTTGGACTTCTTTGAGGCCTTCGTTGGAAACGGGATTTCTTCGTATGAATCTAGACAGAAGAATTCTCAGAAACTTCCTTGTGATGTGTGCATTCAACTCAGCGAGTGGCACCTTCCTTTGGATACAGCAGTTTTGAAACACTGTTTTTGTAGTATTTCCAAGCGGATATTTAGAGCGCCTTGAAGCCTATGCTAGAAATGGAAATATCTCCCCATAAAACCAAGACAGAAGCAATCTCAGAAACTAATGTGTGATGGCTGCATTCCACACACACGGTGGACCATTTCTCTTGATAGAGCAGTTTTGAAACACTCTTTCTGTAGAATCTGCAAGTGGATATTTGGACCTCCTAGAGGCCTTCGTTGGAAACGGGATTTCTTCATCTAAACCTACAGAGAAGAATTCTCAGTAACTTCTTCGGATGTGTGCATTCGACTCACAGAATGGAACATTCCCTTTGATAGAGCAGTTTTGAGACACCGTTTTTGTAGAATTCCCAAGTGGATATTTAGAGCACTTTGAAGTCTCTGCTAGAAAAGGAAACATCTTCATGTAAAAAGTAGATAGAATCGTTCTCAGAAAGTGCTTAGTGACGTGTGCGTTCAACTCACAGATTTTAACGTTTCTTTTGATAGAGCGTTTCTGAAACACCCTTCTTGTAGTAGCTGCAAGTGGATATTTGGACCTATTTGAGGCCTTCTTTGGAAACGGGATTTCTTCATGTAACTCTAGTTTGAAGAATTTTCAGAAACTCCTTTGTGATGTGTGCATTCAATTCAAAGAGTGAAACCTCCCTTTTCACAGAGCAGTTTTGAAACACTGTTTTTGTAGGATTTCCAAGGGGATATTTACAGCGCATTGAGCCTACGGCAGAAAAAGAAACATCTTCCTATAAAAACTAGACAGAATAATTCTCAGAATCTGCTTTGCGATGTGTGCGTTCAACCCACAGAGTAAAACTTTTCTTTTGATAGAGCAGTTTTGAAACACTCTTTTTGTAGTATTTGCATGTGTATATTTAGAGCGCATTGAAGCCCACAGTAGAAAAGGAAATAACTTCACCTAAAACCTAGACAGAAGCAATCTCAGAAACTACTTTGTGATGTGTACATTCAACTCACAGAGTGGAACTTTCCTCTTTATAGAGCAGTGTTGAAACACTCTTTTTGTAGAAACTGCAAGTGGATATTTGGACCTCTTTGAGGCCTTCGTTGGAAAGGGGATTTCTTCCTATAACCCTAGACAGAAGAATTTTCAGAAACCTCATTGTGATGTGTGCGTTCATCTCACAGAGTGGAGTCTTCCGTTTGATAGAGAAGTTTTGAAACCCTGTTCTTGTAGGATTTCCAAGTGGATATTTAGACCACTTTGAAGCCTATGATAGAAAAGGAAACATCTTCATGGAAAACATAGATAGAATCATTCTCAGCAAACAACTTTGTGATGTGTGCGTTGAACTCACCGTCTTTAACCTTTCTTTTGGTAGAGAAGTTTTGAAACACTCTCTTTGTAAAGTCTACGAGTGGATATTTTGAGCCCTTGGAGGCATTCTTTGGAAAAGGGAATGTCTTCACATAAAAGGCAGACAGAAGTGTTCTCAGAAACTGCTTTGTGATGTCTGTGTTCAACTCACAGAGTTTAACATTTCCTTTGAGAGAGCGGTTTAGTAACACTCTCTTTGTAGAATTTGGAAGTGTATACTAAGAGCGCTTTGAGGCCTATGGTAGAAAAGGAAATATCTTTCCATAAAAGCTAGACAGAAGCAATCTCAGAAACTCCTTTGTGATGTCTGCATTCAACTCACCGAGTGGAACATTCCTCTTGATAGAGCAGTTTGGAAACACTCTTTCTGTAGAATCAGCTTGTTTGTATTTGGACCTCCTTGAGGCCTTCGTTGGAAACGGGTTTTCATCTTATAAACCCAGACAGAAGAATTCTCAGAGTCGTCTTTGTGATGTGTGCTTTCAACTCACCGAGATAAAGATTTCTCTTGATAGAGCAATTTGGAAACACTCTTTTTGTAGAATTTGCAAGGGTACATTGAGAGCGCTTTCAGGCCTATGGTAGAAAAGGGAATATCTTTCCATAAAAGGTAGACAGAAGCAATCTCAGAAACTACTTTGTGATGTGTGCATTCAACTCACCGAGTGCAACATTCCTCTTGATAGAGCAGTTTGGAAACATTGTTTCTGTAGAATCTGCAAGTGGATATATGGACCGCTTTGAGGCCTTCGTTGGAAACGGGATTTCTTCCTATAAACCAAACAGAAGAATTCTCAGAGACTTCTTTGTGATGTGTGAATTCAACTCACAGTGTGGATCCTTCCTTTTGATAGAGCAGTTTTGAAACACTGTTTTTGTAGTATTTCCAAGCGGATATTTGGAACGCCTTGAAGCGTATGGTAGAAAAGGAAATATCTTCCCATAAAACCTAGACAGAACCCATCTCAGAAACGACTTTGTGATGTCTGCATTCAACTCACAGAGTTGAACATTTCTCTTGATAGAGCAGTTTTGAAACCCTCTTTCTGAAGGAGCTGCAAGTGGATATTTGGAACTCCTTTGGGTCTTCGTTGGAAACGGGATTTCTTCGTATAAATCCAGACAGAAGAATTCTCCGAAACTTCTTTGGTTGTGTGCATTCAAGTCACAGAGTGGAACCTTCC
Organism: Homo sapiens; assembly: GCF_000001405.40. Lineage (NCBI taxonomy): Eukaryota > Metazoa > Chordata > Mammalia > Primates > Hominidae > Homo > Homo sapiens. Next base: position 59,477,886 of record NC_000006.12, read on the forward strand.
TTTGGATAGAGCAGTTTGAAACGCTGTGGTTGTAGTATTTCCAAGCGGATATTAGAGCGCCTTGAGGCCTATGGTAGAAAAGGAAATATCTTCCCATAAAACCTAGACGGAAGCAATCTCAGAAACTACTGTGTGATGGCTGCATTCCACACACACGGTGGAACATTTCTCTTGATAGAGCAGTTTTGAAACACTCTTTCTGTAGAATCTGCAAGTGGATAATTGGACCGCCTTGAGGCCTTCGTTGGAAACGGGATTTCTTCATGTTACTCTAGACAGAAGAATTCTCAAACACTGCTGTGTGATGTTTGCATGCAAGTCACAGAGTGCAACATTCCTCTTGATAGAGCAGTTGGGAAACACTCCTTTTGTAGAATTTGCAATGGGATATTTGGACTTCTTTGAGGCCTTCGTTGGAAACGGGATTTCTTCGTATGAATCTAGACAGAAGAATTCTCAGAAACTTCCTTGTGATGTGTGCATTCAACTCAGCGAGTGGCACCTTCCTTTGGATACAGCAGTTTTGAAACACTGTTTTTGTACTATTTCCAAGCAGATATTTAGAGCGCCTTGAAGCCTATGCTAGAAATGGAAATATCTCCCCATAAAACCAAGACAGAAGCAATCTCAGAAACTAATGTGTGATGGCTGCATTCCACACACACGGTGGACCATTTCTCTTGATAGAGCAGTTTTGAAACACTCTTTCTGTAGAATCTGCAAGTGGATAATTGGACCTCCTAGAGGCCTTCGTTGGAAACGGGATTTCTTCATCTAAACCTACAGAGAAGAATTCTCAGTAACTTCTTCGGATGTGTGCATTCGACTCACAGAATAGAACATTCCCTTTGGTAGAGCAGTTTTGAGACACCGTTTTTGTAGAATTCCCAAGTGGATATTTAGAGCACTTTGAAGTCTCTGCTAGAAAAGGAAACATCTTCATGTAAAAAGTAGATAGAATCGTTCTCAGAAGGTGCTTAGTGACGTGTGTGTTCAACTCACAGAGTTTAACGTTTCTTTTGATAGAGCGTTTCTGAAACACCCTTCTTGTAGTAGCTGCAAGTGGATATTTGGACCTATTTGAGGCCTTCTTTGGAAACGGGATTTCTTCATGTAACTCTAGATTGAAGAATTTTCAGAAACTCCTTTGTGATGTGTGCATTCAATTCAAAGAGTGAAACCTCCCTTTTCACAGAGCAGTTTTGAAACACTGTTTTTGTAGGATTTCCAAGGGGATATTTATAGCGCATTGAGCCTATGGCAGAAAAAGAAACATCTTCCTATAAAAACTAGACAGAATAATTCTCAGAATCTGCTTTGCGATGTGTGCGTTCAACTCACAGAGTAAAACTTTTCTTTTGATAGAGCAGTTTTGAAACACTCTTTTTGTAGTATTTGCATGTGTATATTTAGAGCGCATTGAAGCCCACAGTAGAAAAGGAAATAACTTCACCTAAAACCTAGACAGAAGCAATCTCAGAAACTACTTTGTGATGTGTACATTCAACTCACAGAGTGGAACTTTCCTCTTTATAGAGCAGTGTTGAAACACTCTTTTTGTAGAAACTGCAAGTGGATATTTGGACCTCTTTGAGGCCTTCGTTGGAAACGGGATTTCTTCCTATAACCCTAGACAGGAAGAATTTTCAGAAACCTCATTGTGATGTGTGCGTTCATCTCACAGAGTGGAGTCTTCCGTTTGATAGAGAAGTTTTGAAACCCTGTTCTTGTAGGATTTCCAAGTGGATATTTAGACCACTTTGAAGCCTATGATAGAAAAGGAAACATCTTCATGGAAAACATAGATAGAATCATTCTCAGAAACAACTTTGTGATGTGTGCCGTTGAACTCACCGTCTTTAACCTTTCTTTTGGTAGAGAAGTTTTGAAACACTCTCTTTGTAAAGTCTACAAGTGGATATTTTGAGCCCTTGGAGGCATTCTTTGGAAAAGGGAATGTCTTCACATAAAAGGCAGACAGAAGTGTTCTCAGAAACTGCTTTGTGATGTCTGTGTTCAACTCACAGAGTTTAACATTTCCTTTGAGAGAGCGGTTTAGTAACACTCTCTTTGTAGAATTTGGAAGTGTATACTAAGAGCGCTTTGAGGCCTATGGTAGAAAAGGAAATATCTTTCCATAAAAGCTAGACAGAAGCAATCTCAGAAACTCCTTTGTGATGTCTGCATTCAACTCACCGAGTGGAACATTCCTCTTGATAGAGCAGTTTGGAAACACTCTTTCTGTAGAATCAGCTTGTTTGTATTTGGACCTCCTTGAGGCCTTCGTTGGAAACGGGTTTTCATCTTATAAACCCAGACAGAAAGAATTCTCAGGTTCTTCTTTGTGATGTGTGCTTTCAACTCACCGAGATAAAGATTTCTCTTGATAGAGCAATTTGGAAACACTCTTTTTGTAGAATTTGCAAGGGTACATTGAGAGCGCTTTCAGGCCTATGGTAGAAAAGGGAATATCTTTCCATCAAAGGTAGACAGAGCAATCTCAGAAACTACTTTGTGATGTGTGCATTCAACTCACCGAGTGCAACATTCCTCTTGATAGAGCAGTTTGGAAACATTGTTTCTGTAGAATCTGCAAGTGGATATATGGACCGCTTTGAGGCCTTCGTTGGAAACGGGATTTCTTCCTATAAACCCAGACAGAAGAATTCTCAGAGATTTCTTTGTGATGTGTGAATTCAACTCACAGTGTGGATCCTTCCTTTTGATAGAGCAGTTTTGAAACACCGTTTTTGTAGTATTTCCAAGCGGATATTTGGAACGCCTTGAAGCGTATGGTAGAAAAGGAAATATCTTCCCATAAAACCTAGACAGAACCCATCTCAGAAACGACTTTGTGATGTCTGCATTCAACTCACAGAGTTGAACATTTCTCTTGATAGAGCAGTTTTGAAACCCTCTTTCTGAAGGAGCTGCAAGTGGATATTTGGAACTCCTTTGGGTCTTCGTTGGAAACGGGATTTCTTCGTATAAATCCAGACAGAAGAATTCTCCGAAACTTCTTTGGTTGTGTGCATTCAAGTCACAGAGTGGAACCTTCCTTTGGATAGAGCAGTTTGAAACGCTGTGGTTGTAGTATTTCCAAGCGGATATTAGAGCGCCTTGAAGCCTATGGTAGAAAAGGAAATATCTTCCCATAAAACCTAGACGGAAGCAATCTCAGAAACTACTGTGTGATGGCTGCATTCCACACACACGGTGGAACATTTCTCTTGATAGAGCAGTTTTGAAACACTCTTTCTGTAGAATCTGCAAGTGGATAATTGGACCGCCTTGAGGCCTTCGTTGGAAACGGGATTTCTTCATGTTACTCTAGACAGAAGAATTCTCAAACACTGCTATGTGATGTTTGCATTCAAGTCAGAGAGTGCAACATTCCTCTTGATAGAGCAGTTGGGAAACACTCCTTTTGTAGAATTTGCAATGGGATATTTGGACTTCTTTGAGGCCTTCGTTGGAAACGGGATTTCTTCGTATGAATCTAGACAGAAGAATTCTCAGAAACTTTCCTTGTGATGTGTGCATTCAACTCAGCGAGTGGCACCTTCCTTTGGATACAGCAGTTTTGAAACACTGTTTTTGTACTATTTCCAAGCGGATATTTAGAGCGCCTTGAAGCCTATGCTAGAAATGGAAATATCTCCCCATAAAACCAAGACAGAAGCAATCTCAGAAACTAATGTGTGATGGCTGCATTCCACACACACGGTGGACCATTTCTCTTGATAGAGCAGTTTTGAAACACTCTTTCTGTAGAATCTGCAAGTGGATAATTGGACCTCCTAGAGGCCTTCGTTGGAAACGGGATTTCTTCATCTAAACCTACAGAGAAGAATTCTCAGTAACTTCTTCGGATGTGTGCATTCGACTCACAGAATGGAACATTCCCTTTGATAGAGCAGTTTTGAGACACCGTTTTTGTAGAATTCCCAAGTGGATATTTAGAGCACTTTGAAGTCTCTGCTAGAAAAGGAAACATCTTCATGTAAAAAGTAGATAGAATCGTTCTCAGAAAGTGCTTAGTGACGTGTGTGTTCAACTCACAGAGTTTAACGTTTCTTTTGATAGAGCGTTTCTGAAACACCCTTCTTGTAGTAGCTGCAAGTGGATATTTGGACCTATTTGAGGCCTTCTTTGGAAACGGGATTTCTTCATGTAACTCTAGATTGAAGAATTTTCAGAAACTCCTTTGTGATGTGTGCATTCAATTCAAAGAGTGAAACCTCCCTTTTCACAGAGCAGTTTTGAAACACTGTTTTTGTAGGATTTCCAAGGGGATATTTATAGCGCATTGATCCTATGGCAGAAAAAGAAACATCTTCCTATAAAAACTAGACAGAATAATTCTCAGAATCTGCTTTGCGATGTGTGCGTTCAACCCACAGAGTAAAACTTTTCTTTTGATAGAGCAGTTTTGAAACACTCTTTTTGTAGTATTTGCATGTGTATATTTAGAGCGCATTGAAGCCCACAGTAGAAAAGGAAATAACTTCACCTAAAACCTAGACAGAAGCAATCTCAGAAACTACTTTGTGATGTGTACATTCAACTCACAGAGTGGAACTTTTCTCTTTATAGAGCAGTGTTGAAACACTCTTTTTGTAGAAACTGCAAGTGGATATTTGGACCTCTTTGAGGCCTTCGTTGGAAACGGGATTTCTTCCTATAACCCTAGACAGAAGAATTTTCAGAAACCTCATTGTGATGTGTGCGTTCATCTCACAGAGTGGAGTCTTCCGTTTGATAGAGAAGTTTTGAAACCCTGTTCTTGTAGGATTTCCAAGTGGATATTTAGACCACTTTGAAGCCTATGATAGAAAAGGAAACATCTTCATGGAAAACATAGATAGAATCATTCTCAGAAACAACTTTGTGATGTGTGCGTTGAACTCACCGTCTTTAACCTTTCTTTTGGTAGAGAAGTTTTGAAACACTCTCTTTGTAAAGTCTACAAGTGGATATTTTGAGCCCTTGGAGGCATTCTTTTTAAAAGGGAATGTCTTCACATAAAAGGCAGACAGAAGTGTTCTCAGAAACTGCTTTGTGATGTCTGTGTTCAACTCACAGAGTTTAACATTTCCTTTGAGAGAGCGGTTTAGTAACACTCTCTTTGTAGAATTTGGAAGTGTATACTAAGAGCGCTTTGAGGCCTATGGTAGAAAAGGAAATATCTTTCCATAAAAGCTAGACAGAAGCAATCTCAGAAACTCCTTTGTGATGTCTGCATTCAACTCACCGAGTGGAACATTCCTCTTGATAGAGCAGTTTGGAAACACTCTTTCTGTAGAATCAGCTTGTTTGTATTTGGACCTCCTTGAGGCCTTCGTTGGAAACGGGTTTTCATACTTATAAACCCAGACAGAAGAATTCTCAGAGTCTTCTTTGTGATGTGTGCTTTCAACTCACCGAGATAAAGATTTCTCTTGATAGAGCAATTTGGAAACACTCTTTTTGTAGAATTTGCAAGGGTACATTGAGAGCGCTTTCAGGCCTATGGTAGAAAAGGGAATATCTTTCCATAAAAGGTAGACAGAAGCAATCTCAGAAACTACTTTGTGATGTGTGCATTCAACTCACCGAGTGCAACATTCCTCTTGACCGAGCAGTTTGGAAACATTGTTTCTGTAGAATCTGCAAGTGGATATATGGACCGCTTTGAGGCCTTCGTTGGAAACGGGATTTCTTCCTATAAACCCAGACAGAAGAATTCTCAGAGATTTCTTTGTGATGTGTGAATTCAACTCACAGTGTGGATCCTTCCTTTTGATAGAGCAGTTTTGAAACACCGTTTTTGTAGTATTTCCAAGCGGATATTTGGAACGCCTTGAAGCGTATGGTAGAAAAGGAAATATCTTCCCATAAAACCTAGACAGAACCCATCTCAGAAACGACTTTGTGATGTCTGCATTCAACTCACAGAGTTGAACATTTCTCTTGATAGAGCAGTTTTGAAACCCTCTTTCTGAAGGATCTGCAAGTGGATATTTGGAACTCCTTTGGGTCTTCGTTGGAAACGGGATTTCTTCGTATAAATCTAGACAGAAGAATTCTCCGAAACTTCTTTGGTTGTGTGCATTCAAGTCACAGAGTGGAACCTTCCTTTGGATACAGCAGTTTGAAACGCTGTGGTTGTAGTATTTCCAAGCGGATATTAGAGCGCCTTGAGGCCTATGGTAGAAAAGGAAATATCTTCCCATAAAACCTAGACGGAAGCAATCTCAGAAACTACTGTGTGATGGCTGCATTCCACACACACGGTGGAACATTTCTCTTGATAGAGCAGTTTGGAAACACTCTTTCTGTAGAATCTGCAAGTGGATAATTGGACCGCCTTGAGGCCTTCGTTGGAAACGGGATTTCTTCATGTTACTCTATATAAAAGAATTCTCAAACACTACTATGTGATGTTTGCATGCAAGTCACAGAGTGCAACATTCCTCTTGATAGAGCAGTTGGGAAACACTCCTTTTGTAGAATTTGCAATGGGATATTTGGACTTCTTTGAGGCCTTCTTTGGAAACGGGATTTCTTCGTATGAATCTAGACAGAAGAATTCTCAGAAACTTCCTTGTGATGTGTGCATTCAACTCAGCGAGTGGCACCTTCCTTTGGATACAGCAGTTTTGAAACACTGTTTTTGTAGTATTTCCAAGCGGATATTTAGAGCGCCTTGAAGCCTACGCTAGAAATGGAAATATCTCCCCATAAAACCAAGACAGAAGCAATCTCAGAAACTAATGTGTGATGGCTGCATTCCACACACACGGTGGACCATTTCTCTTGATAGAGCAGTTTTGAAACACTCTTTCTGTAGAATCTGCAAGTGGATAATTGGACCTCCTAGAGGCCTTCGTTGGAAACGGGATTTCTTCATCTAAACCTACAGAGAAGAATTCTCAGTAACTTCTTCGGATGTGTGCATTCGACTCACAGAATGGAACATTCCCTTTGATAGAGCAGTTTTGAGACACCGTTTTTGTAGAATTCCCAAGTGGATATTTAGAGCACTTTGAAGTCTCTGCTAGAAAAGGAAACATCTTCATGTAAAAAGTAGATACAATCGTTCTCAGAAAGTGCTTAGTGACGTGTGTGTTCAACTCACAGAGTTTAACGTTTCTTTTGATAGAGCGTTTCTGAAACACCCTTCTTGTAGTAGCTGCAAGTGGATATTTGGACCTATTTGAGGCCTTCTTTGGAAACGGGATTTCTTCATGTAACTCTAGTTTGAAGAATTTTCAGAAACTCCTTTGTGATGTGTGCATTCAATTCAAAGAGTGAAACCTCCCTTTTCACAGAGCAGTTTTGAAACACTGTTTTTGTAGGATTTCCAAGGGGATATTTATAGCGCATTGAGCCTACGGCAGAAAAAGAAACATCTTCCTATAAAAACTAGACAGAATAATTCTCAGAATCTGCTTTGCGATGTGTGCGTTCAACTCACAGAGTAAAACTTTTCTTTTGATAGAGCAGTTTTGAAACACTCTTTTTGTAGTATTTGCATGTGTATATTTAGAGCGCATTGAAGCCCACAGTAGAAAAGGAAATAACTTCACCTAAAACCTAGACAGAAGCAATCTCAGAAACTACTTTGTGATGTGTACATTCAACTCACAGAGTGGAACTTTCCTCTTTATAGAGCAGTGTTGAAACACTCTTTTTGTAGAAACTGCAAGTGGATATGTGGACCTCTTTGAGGTCCTCGTTGGAAACGGGATTTCTTCCTATAACCCTAGACAGAAGAATTTTCAGAAACCTCATTGTGATGTGTGCGTTCATCTCACAGAGTGGAGTCTTCCGTTTGATAGAGAAGTTTTGAAACCCTGTTCTTGTAGGATTTCCAAGTGGATATTTAGACCACTTTGAAGCCTATGACAGAAAAGGGAACATCTTCATGGAAAACATAGATAGAATCATTCTCAGAAACAACTTTGTGATGTGTGCGTTGAACTCACCGTCTTTAACCTTTCTTTTGGTAGAGAAGTTTTGAAACACTCTCTTTGTAAAGTCTACAAGTGGATATTTTGAGCCCTTGGAGGCATTCTTTGGAAAAGGGAATGTCTTCACATAAAAGGCAGACAGAAGTGTTCTCAGAAACAGCTTTGTGATGTCTGTGTTCAACTCACAGAGTTTAACATTTCCTTTGAGAGAGCGGTTTAGTAACACTCTCTTTGTAGAATTTGGAAGTGTATACTAAGAGCGCTTTGAGGCCTATGGTAGAAAAGGAAATATCTTTCCATAAAAGCTAGACAGAAGCAATCTCAGAAACTCCTTTGTGATGTCTGCATTCAACTCACCGAGTGGAACATTCCTCTTGATAGAGCAGTTTGGAAACACTCTTTCTGTAGAATCAGCTTGTTTGTATTTGGACCTCCTTGAGGCCTTCGTTGGAAACGGGTTTTCATCTTATAAACCCAGACAGAAGAATTCTCAGAGTCTTCTTTGTGATGTGTGCTTTCAACTCACCGAGATAAAGATTTCTCTTGATAGAGCAATTTGGAAACACTCTTTTTGTAGAATTTGCAAGGGTACATTGAGAGCGCTTTCAGGCCTATGGTAGAAAATGGAATATCTTTCCATAAAAGGTAGACAGAAGCAATCTCAGAAACTACTTTGTGATGTGTGCATTCAACTCACTGAGTGCAACATTCCTCTTGATAGAGCAGTTTGGAAACATTGTTTCTGTAGAATCTGCAAGTGGATATATGGACCGCTTTGAGGCCTTCGTTGGAAACGGGATTTCTTCCTATAAACCCAGACAGAAGAATTCTCAGAGATTTCTTTGTGATGTGTGAATTCAACTCACAGTGTGGATCCTTCCTTTTGATAGAGCAGTTTTGAAACACTGTTTTTGTAGTATTTCCAAGCGGATATTTGGAACGCCTTGAAGCGTATGGTAGAAAAGGAAATATCTTCCCATAAAACCTAGACAGAACCCATCTCAGAAACGACTTTGTGATGTCTGCATTCAACTCACAGAGTTGAACATTTCTCTTGATAGAGCAGTTTTGAAACCCTCTTTCTGAAGGATCTGCAAGTGGATATTTGGAACTCCTTTGGGTCTTCGTTGGAAACGGGATTTCTTCGTATAAATCTAGACAGAAGAATTCTCCGAAACTTCTTTGGTTGTGTGCATTCAAGTCACAGAGTGGAACCTTCCTTTGGATAGAGCAGTTTGAAACGCTGTGGTTGTAGTATTTCCAAGCGGATATTAGAGCGCCCTGAAGCCTATGGTAGAAAAGGAAATATCTTCCCATAAAACCTAGACGGAAGCAATCTCAGAAACTACTGTGTGATGGCTGCATTCCACACACACGGTGGAACATTTCTCTTGATAGAGCAGTTTTGAAACACTCTTTCTGTAGAATCTGCAAGTGGATAATTGGACCGCCTTGAGGCCTTCGTTGGAAACGGGATTTCTTCATGTTACTCTAGACAGAAGAATTCTCAAACACTGCTATGTGATGTTTGCATTCAAGTCACAGAGTGCAACATTCCTCTTGATAGAGCAGTTGGGAAACACTCCTTTTGTAGAATTTGCAATGGGATATTTGGACTTCTTTGAGGCCTTCGTTGGAAACGGGATTTCTTCGTATGAATCTAGACAGAAGAATTCTCAGAAACTTCCTTGTGATGTGTGCATTCAACTCAGCGAGTGGCACCTTCCTTTGGATACAGCAGTTTTGAAACACTGTTTTTGTAGTATTTCCAAGCGGATATTTAGAGCGCCTTGAAGCCTATGCTAGAAATGGAAATATCTCCCCATAAAACCAAGACAGAAGCAATCTCAGAAACTAATGTGTGATGGCTGCATTCCACACACACGGCGGACCATTTCTCTTGATAGAGCAGTTTTGAAACACTCTTTCTGTAGAATCTGCAAGTGGATAATTGGACCTCCTAGAGGCCTTCGTTGGAAACGGGATTTCTTCATCTAAACCTACAGAGAAGAATTCTCAGTAACTTCTTCGGATGTGTGCATTCGACTCACAGAATGGAACATTCCGTTTGATAGAGCAGTTTTGAGACACCGTTTTTGTAGAATTCCCAAGTGGATATTTAGAGCACTTTGAAGTCTCTGCTAGAAAAGGAAACATCTTCATGTAAAAAGTAGATAGAATCGTTCTCAGAAAGTGCTTAGTGACGTGTGCGTTCAACTCACAGAGTTTAACGTTTCTTTTGATAGAGCGTTTCTGAAACACCCTTCTTGTAGTAGCTGCAAGTGGATATTTGGACCTATTTGAGGCCTTCTTTGGAAACGGGATTTCTTCATGTAACTCTAGATTGAAGAATTTTCAGAAACTCCTTTGTGATGTGTGCATTCAATTCAAAGAGTGAAACCTCCCTTTTCACAGAGCAGTTTTGAAACACTGTTTTTGTAGGATTTCCAAGGGGATATTTATAGCGCATTGAGCCTATGGCAGAAAAAGAAACATCTTCCTATAAAAACTAGACAGAATAATTCTCAGAATCTGCTTTGCGATGTGTGCGTTCAACTCACAGAGTAAAACTTTTCTTTTGATAGAGCAGTTTTGAAACACTCTTTTTGTAGTATTTGCATGTGTATATTTAGAGCGCATTGAAGCCCACAGTAGAAAAGGAAATAACTTCACCTAAAACCTAGACAGAAGCAATCTCAGAAACTACTTTGTGATGTGTACATTCAACTCACAGAGTGGAACTTTTCTCTTTATAGAGCAGTGTTGAAACACTCTTTTTGTAGAAACTGCAAGTGGATATTTGGACCTCTTTGAGGCCTTCGTTGGAAACGGGATTTCTTCCTATAACCCTAGACAGAAGAATTTTCAGAAACCTCATTGTGATGTGTGCGTTCATCTCACAGAGTGGAGTCTTCCGTTTGATAGAGAAGTTTTGAAACCCTGTTCTTGTAGGATTTCCAAGTGGATATTTAGACCACTTTGAAGCCTATGATAGAAAAGGAAACATCTTCATGGAAAACATAGATAGAATCATTCTCAGAAACAACTTTCTGATGTGTGCGTTGAACTCACCGTCTTTAACCTTTCTTTTGGTAGAGAAGTTTTGAAACACTCTCTTTGTAAAGTCTACGAGTGGATATTTTGAGCCCTTGGAGGCATTCTTTGGAAAAGGGAATGTCTTCACATAAAAGGCAGACAGAAGTGTTCTCAGAAACTGCTTTGTGATGTCTGTGTTCAACTCACAGAGTTTAACATTTCCTTTGAGAGAGCGGTTTAGTAACACTCTCTTTGTAGAATTTGGAAGTGTATACTAAGAGCGCTTTGAGGCCTATGGTAGAAAAGGAAATATCTTTCCATAAAAGCTAGACAGAAGCAATCTCAGAAACTCCTTTGTGATATCTGCATTCAACTCACCGAGTGGAACATTCCTCTTGATAGAGCAGTTTGGAAACACTCTTTCTGTAGAATCAGCTTGTTTGTATTTGGACCTCCTTGAGGCCTTCGTTGGAAACGGGTTTTCATCTTATAAACCCAGACAGAAGAATTCTCAGAGTCTTCTTTGTGATGTGTGCTTTCAACTCACCGAGATAAAGATTTCTCTTGATAGAGCAATTTGGAAACACTCTTTTTGTAGAATTTGCAAGGGTACATTGAGAGCGCTTTCAGGCCTATGGTAGAAAAGGGAATATCTTTCCATAAAAGGTAGACAGAAGCAATCTCAGAAACTACTTTGTGATGTGTGCATTCAACTCACCGAGTGCAACATTCCTCTTGATAGAGCAGTTTGGAAACATTGTTTCTGTAGAATCTGCAAGTGGATATATGGACCGCTTTGAGGCCTTCGTTGGAAACGGGATTTCTTCCTATAAACCCAGACAGAAGAATTCTCAGAGATTTCTTTGTGATGTGTGAATTCAACTCACAGTGTGGATCCTTCCTTTTGATAGAGCAGTTTTGAAACACTGTTTTTGTAGTATTTCCAAGCGGATATTTGGAACGCCTTGAAGCGTAAGGTAGAAAAGGAAATATCTTCCCATAAAACCTAGACAGAACCCATCTCAGAAACGACTTTGTGATGTCTGCATTCAACTCACAGAGTTGAACATTTCTCTTGATAGAGCAGTTTTGAAACCCTCTTTCTGAAGGAGCTGCAAGTGGATATTTGGAACTCCTTTGGGTCTTCGTTGGAAACGGGATTTCTTCGTATAAATCCAGACAGAAGAATTCTCCGAAACTTCTTTGGTTGTGTGCATTCAAGTCACAGAGTGGAACCTTCCTTTGGATAGAGCAGTTTGAAACGCTGTGGTTGTAGTATTTCCAAGCGGATATTAGAGCGCCTTGAGGCCTATGGTAGAAAAGGAAATATCTTCCCATAAAACCTAGACGGAAGCAATCTCAGAAACTACTGTGTGATGGCTGCATTCCACACACACGGTGGAACATTTCTCTTGATAGAGCAGTTTTGAAACACTCTTTCTGTAGAATCTGCAAGTGGATAATTGGACCGCCTTGAGGCCTTCGTTGGAAACGGGATTTCTTCATGTTACCCTAGACAGAAGAATTCTCAAACACTGCTATGTGATGTTTGCATTCAAGTCACAGAGTGCAACATTCCTCTTGATAGAGCAGTTGGGAAACACTCCTTTTGTAGAATTTGCAATGGGATATTTGGACTTCTTTGAGGCCTTCGTTGGAAACGGGATTTCTTCGTATGAATTCTAGACAGAAGCAATTCTCAGAAACTTCCTTGTGATGTGTGCATTCAACTCAGCGAGTGGCACCTTCCTTTGGATACAGCAGTTTTGAAACACTGTTTTTGTACTATTTCCAAGCGGATATTTAGAGCGCCTTGAAGCCTATGCTAGAAATGGAAATATCTCCCCATAAAACCAAGACAGAAGCAATCTCAGAAACTAATGTGTGATGGCTGCATTCCACACACACGGTGGACCATTTCTCTTGATAGAGCAGTTTTGAAACACTCTTTCTGTAGAATCTGCAAGTGGATAATTGGACCTCCTAGAGGCCTTCGTTGGAAACGGGATTTCTTCATCTAAACCTACAGAGAAGAATTCTCAGTAACTTCTTCGGATGTGTGCATTCGACTCACAGAATGGAACATTCCCTTTGGTAGAGCAGTTTTGAGACACCGTTTTTGTAGAATTCCCAAGTGGATATTTAGAGCACTTTGAAGTCTCTGCTAGAAAAGGAAACATCTTCATGTAAAAAGTAGATAGAATCGTTCTCAGAAAGTGCTTAGTGACGTGTGCGTTCAACTCACAGAGTTTAACGTTTCTTTTGATAGAGCGTTTCTGAAACACCCTTCTTGTAGTAGCTGCAAGTGGATATTTGGACCTATTTGAGGCCTTCTTTGGAAACGGGATTTCTTCATGTAACTCTAGATTGAAGAATTTTCAGAAACTCCTTTGTGATGTGTGCATTCAATTCAAAGAGTGAAACCTCCCTTTTCACAGAGCAGTTTTGAAACACTGTTTTTGTAGGATTTCCAAGGGGATATTTATAGCGCATTGAGCCTATGGCAGAAAAAGAAACATCTTCCTATAAAAACTAGACAGAATAATTCTCAGAATCTGCTTTGCGATGTGTGCGTTCAACTCACAGAGTAAAACTTTTCTTTTGATAGAGCAGTTTTGAAACACTCTTTTTGTAGTATTTGCATGTGTATATTTAGAGCGCATTGAAGCCCACAGTAGAAAAGGAAATAACTTCACCTAAAACCTAGACAGAAGCAATCTCAGAAACTACTTTGTGATGTGTACATTCAACTCACAGAGTGGAACTTTCCTCTTTATAGAGCAGTGTTGAAACACTCTTTTTGTAGAAACTGCAAGTGGATATTTGGACCTCTTTGAGGCCTTCGTTGGAAACGGGATTTCTTCCTATAACCCTAGACAGGAAGAATTTTCAGAAACCTCATTGTGATGTGTGCGTTCATCTCACAGAGTGGAGTCTTCCGTTTGATAGAGAAGTTTTGAAACCCTGTTCTTGTAGGATTTCCAAGTGGATATTTAGACCACTTTGAAGCCTATGATAGAAAAGGAAACATCTTCATGGAAAACATAGATAGAATCATTCTCAGAAACAACTTTGTGATGTGTGCGTTGAACTCGCCGTCTTTAACCTTTCTTTTGGTAGAGAAGTTTTGAAACACTCTCTTTGTAAAGTCTACAAGTGGATATTTTGAGCCCTTGGAGGCATTCTTTGGAAAAGGGAATGTCTTCACATAAAAGGCAGACAGAAGTGTTCTCAGAAACTGCTTTGTGATGTCTGTGTTCAACTCACAGAGTTTAACATTTCCTTTGAGAGAGCGGTTTAGTAACACTCTCTTTGTAGAATTTGGAAGTGTATACTAAGAGCGCTTTGAGGCCTATGGTAGAAAAGGAAATATCTTTCCATAAAAGCTAGACAGAAGCAATCTCAGAAACTCCTTTGTGATGTCTGCATTCAACTCACCGAGTGGAACATTCCTCTTGATAGAGCAGTTTGGAAACACTCTTTCTGTAGAATCAGCTTGTTTGTATTTGGACCTCCTTGAGGCCTTCGTTGGAAACGGGTTTTCATCTTATAAACCAGACAGAAGAATTCTCAGAGTCTTCTTTGTGATGTGTGCTTTCAACTCACCGAGATAAAGATTTCTCTTGATAGAGCAATTTGGAAACACTCTTTTTGTAGAATTTGCAAGGGTACATTGAGAGCGCTTTCAGGCCTATGGTAGAAAAGGGAATATCTTTCCATAAAAGGTAGACAGAAGCAATCTCAGAAACTACTGTGTGATGGCTGCATTCCACACACAAGGTGGAACATTTCTCTTGATAGAGCAGTTTTGAAACACTCTTTCTGTAGAATCTGCAAGTGGATAATTGGACCGCCTTGAGGCCTTCGTTGGAAACGGTATTTCTTCATGTTACTCTAGATAGAAGAGTTCTCAAACACTACTATGTGATGTTTGCATTCAAGTCACAGTGTGCAACATTCCTCTTGATAGAGCAGTTGGGAAACACTCCTTTTGTAGAATTTGCAATGGGATATTTGGACCTCTTTGAGGCCTTCGTTGGAAACGGGATTTCTTCCTATAAACCCAGACAGAAGAATTCTCAGAGACTTCTTTGTGATGTGTGAATTCAACTCACAGTGTGGATCCTTCCTTTTGATAGAGCAGTTTTGAAACACTGTTTTTGTAGTATTTCCAAGCGGATATTTGGAACGCCTTGAAGCGTATGGTAGAAAAGGAAATATCTTCCCATAAAACCTAGACAGAACCAATCTCAGAAACGACTTTGTGATGTCTGCATTCAACTCACAGAGTTGAACATTTCTCTTGATAGAGCAGTTTTGAAACCCTCTTTCTGAAGGATCTGCAAGTGGATATTTGGAACTCCTTTGGGTCTTCGTTGGAAACGGGATTTCTTCGGTATAAATCTAGACAGAAGAATTCTCCGAAACTTCTTTGGTTGTGTGCATTCAAGTCACAGAGTGGAACCTTCCTTTGGATAGAGCAGTTTGAAACGCTGTGGTTGTAGTATTTCCAAGCGGATATTAGAGCGCCTTGAAGCCTATGGTAGAAAAGGAAATATCTTCCCATAAAACCTAGACGGAAGCAATCTCAGAAACTACTGTGTGATGGCTGCATTCCACACACACGGTGGAACATTTCTCTTGATAGAGCAGTTTTGAAACACTCTTTCTGTAGAATCTGCAAGTGGATAATTGGACCGCCTTGAGGCCTTCGTTGGAAACGGGATTTCTTCATGTTACTCTAGACAGAAGAATTCTCAAACACTGCTATGTGATGTTTGCATTCAAGTCACAGAGTGCAACATTCCTCTTGATAGAGCAGTTGGGAAACACTCCTTTTGTAGAATTTGCAATGGGATATTTGGACTTCTTTGAGGCCTTCGTTGGAAACGGGATTTCTTCGTATGAATCTAGACAGAAGAATTCTCAGAAACTTCCTTGTGATGTGTGCATTCAACTCAGCGAGTGGCACCTTCCTTTGGATACAGCAGTTTTGAAACACTGTTTTTGTAGTATTTCCAAGCGGATATTTAGAGCGCCTTGAAGCCTATGCTAGAAATGGAAATATCTCCCCATAAAACCAAGACAGAAGCAATCTCAGAAACTAATGTGTGATGGCTGCATTCCACACACACGGTGGACCATTTCTCTTGATAGAGCAGTTTTGAAACACTCTTTCTGTAGAATCTGCAAGTGGATAATTGGAACTCCTAGAAGCCTTCGTTGGAAATGGGATTTCTTCATCTAAACCTACAGAGAAGAATTCTCAGTAACTTCTTCGGATGTGTGCATTCGACTCACAGAATGGAACATTCCGTTTGATAGAGCAGTTTTGAGACACCGTTTTTGTAGAATTCCCAAGTGGATATTTAGAGCACTTTGAAGTCTCTGCTAGAAAAGGAAACATCTTCATGTAAAAAGTAGATAGAATCGTTCTCAGAAAGTGCTTAGTGACGTGTGTGTTCAACTCACAGAGTTTAACGTTTCTTTTGATAGAGCGTTTCTGAAACACCCTTCTTGTAGTAGCTGCAAGTGGATATTTGGACCTATTTGAGGCCTTCTTTGGAAACGGGATTTCTTCATGTAACTCTAGTTTGAAGAATTTTCAGAAACTCCTTTGTGATGTGTGCATTCAATTCAAAGAGTGAAACGTCCCTTTTCACAGAGCAGTTTTGAAACACTGTTTTTGTAGGATTTCCAAGGGGATATTTATAGCGCATTGAGCCTACGGCAGAAAAAGAAACATCTTCCTATAAAAACTAGACAGAATAATTCTCAGAATCTGCTTTGCGATGTGTGCGTTCAACTCACAGAGTAAAACTTTTCTTTTGATAGAGCAGTTTTGAAACAATCTTTTTGTAGTATTTGCATGTGTATATTTAGAGCGCATTGAAGCCCACAGTAGAAAAGGAAATAACTTCACCTAAAACCTAGACAGAAGCAATCTCAGAAACTACTTTGTGATGTGTACATTCAACTCACAGAGTGGAACTTTCCTCTTTATAGAGCAGTGTTGAAACACTCTTTTTGTAGAAACTGCAAGTGGATATTTGGACCTCTTTGAGGCCTTCGTTGGAAACGGGATTTCTTCCTATAACCCTAGACAGAAGAATTTTCAGAAACCTCATTGTGATGTGTGCGTTCATCTCACAGAGTGGAGTCTTCCGTTTGATAGAGAAGCTTTGAAACCCTGTTCTTGTAGGATTTCCAAGTGGATATTTAGACCACTTTGAAGCCTATGATAGAAAAGGAAACATCTTCATGGAAAACATAGATAGAATCATTCTCAGAAACAACTTTGTGATGTGTGCGTTGAACTCACCGTCTTTAACCTTTCTTTTGGTAGAGAAGTTTTGAAACACTCTCTTTGTAAAGTCTACAAGTGGATATTTTGAGCCCTTGGAGGCATTCTTTGGAAAAGGGAATGTCTTCACATAAAAGGCAGACAGAAGTGTTCTCAGAAACTGCTTTGTGATGTCTGTGTTCAACTCACAGAGTTTAACATTTCCTTTGAGAGAGCGGTTTAGTAACACTCTCTTTGTAGAATTTGGAAGTGTATACTAAGAGCGCTTTGAGGCCTATGGTAGAAAAGGAATTATCTTTCCATAAAAGCTAGACAGAAGCAATCTCAGAAACTCCTTTGTGATGTCTGCATTCAACTCACCGAGTGGAACATTCCTCTTGATAGAGCAGTTTGGAAACACTCTTTCTGTAGAATCAGCTTGTTTGTATTTGGACCTCCTTGAGGCCTTCGTTGGAAACGGGTTTTCATCTTATAAACCCAGACAGAAGAATTCTCAGAGTCTTCTTTGTGATGTGTGCTTTCAACTCACCGAGATAAAGATTTCTCTTGATAGAGCAATTTGGAAACACTCTTTTTGTAGAATTTGCAAGGGTACATTGAGAGCGCTTTCAGGCCTATGGTAGAAGAGGGAATATCTTTCCATCAAAGGTAGACAGAAGCAATCTCAGAAACTACTTTGTGATGTGTGCATTCAACTCACCGAGTGCAACATTCCTCTTGATAGAGCAGTTTGGAAACATTGTTTCTGTAGAATCTGCAAGTGGATATATGGACCGCTTTGAGGCCTTCGTTGGAAACGGGATTTCTTCCTATAAACCCAGACAGAAGAATTCTCAGAGATTTCTTTGTGATGTGTGAATTCAACTCACAGTGTGGATCCTTCCTTTTGATAGAGCAGTTTTGAAACACCGTTTTTGTAGTATTTCCAAGCGGATATTTGGAACGCCTTGAAGCGTATGGTAGAAAAGGAAATATCTTCCCATAAAACCTAGACAGAACCAATCTCAGAAACGACTTTGTGATGTCTGCATTCAACTCACAGAGTTGAACATTTCTCTTGATAGAGAAGTTTTGAAACCCTCTTTCTGAAGGATCTGCAAGTGGATATTTGGAACTCCTTTGGGTCTTCGTTGGAAACGGGATTTCTTCGTATAAATCCAGACAGAAGAATTCTCCGAAACTTCTTTGGTTGTGTGCATTCAAGTCACAGAGTGGAACCTTCCTTTGGATAGAGCAGTTTGAAACGCTGTGGTTGTAGTATTTCCAAGCGGATATTAGAGCGCCTTGAAGCCTATGGTAGAAAAGGAAATATCTTCCCATAAAACCTAGACGGAAGCAATCTCAGAAACTACTGTGTGATGGCTGCATTCCACACACATGGTGGAACATTTCTCTTGATAGAGCAGTTTTGAAACACTCTTTCTGTAGAATCTGCAAGTGGATAATTGGACCGCCTTGAGGCCTTCGTTGGAAACGGGATTTCTTCATGTTACTCTAGACAGAAGAATTCTCAAACACTGCTATATGATGTTTGCATGCAAGTCAGAGAGTGCAACATTCCTCTTGATAGAGCAGTTGGGAAACACTCCTTTTGTAGAATTTGCAATGGGATATTTGGACTTCTTTGAGGCCTTCGTTGGAAACGGGATTTCTTCGTATGAATCTAGACAGAAGAATTCTCAGAAACTTCCTTGTGATGTGTGCATTCAACTCAGCGAGTGGCACCTTCCTTTGGATACAGCAGTTTTGAAACACTGTTTTTGTACTATTTCCAAGCGGATATTTAGAGCGCCTTGAAGCCTATGCTAGAAATGGAAATATCTCCCCATAAAACCAAGACAGAAGCAATCTCAGAAACTAATGTGTGATGGCTGCATTCCACACACACGGTGGACCATTTCTCTTGATAGAGCAGTTTTGAAACACTCTTTCTGTAGAATCTGCAAGTGGATAATTGGACCTCCTAGAGGCCTTCGTTGGAAACGGGATTTCTTCATCTAAACCTACAGAGAAGAATTCTCAGTAACTTCTTCGGATGTGTGCATTCGACTCACAGTAATGGAACATTCCGTTTGATAGAGCAGTTTTGAGACACCGTTTTTGTAGAATTCCCAAGTGGATATTTAGAGCACTTTGAAGTCTCTGCTAGAAAAGGAAACATCTTCATGTAAAAAGTAGATAGAATCGTTCTCAGAAAGTGCTTAGTGACGTGTGCGTTCAACTCACAGAGTTTAACGTTTCTTTTGATAGAGCGTTTCTGAAACACCCTTCTTGTAGTAGCTGCAAGTGGATATTTGGACCTATTTGAGGCCTTCTTTGGAAACGGGATTTCTTCATGTAACTCTAGTTTGAAGAATTCTCAGAAACTCCTTTGTGATGTGTGCATTCAATTCAAAGAGTGAAACCTCCCTTTTCACAGAGCAGTTTTGAAACACTGTTTTTGTAGGATTTCCAAGGGGATATTTATAGCGCATTGAGCCTACGGCAGAAAAAGAAACACCTTCCTATAAAAACTAGACAGAATAATTCTCAGAATCTGCTTTGCGATGTGTGCGTTCAACCCACAGAGTAAAACTTTTCTTTTGATAGAGCAGTTTTGAAACACTCTTTTTGTAGTATTTGCATGTGTATATTTAGAGCGCATTGAAGCCCACAGTAGAAAAGGAAATAACTTCACCTAAAACCTAGACAGAAGCAATCTCAGAAACTACTTTGTGATGTGTACATTCAACTCACAGAGTGGAACTTTCCTCTTTATAGAGCAGTGTTGAAACACTCTTTTTGTAGAAACTGCAAGTGGATATTTGGACCTCTTTGAGGCCTTCGTTGGAAACGGGATTTCTTCCTATAACCCTAGACAGAAGAATTTTCAGAAACCTCATTGTGATGTGTGCGTTCATCTCACAGAGTGGAGTCTTCCGTTTGATAGAGAAGCTTTGAAACCCTGTTCTTGTAGGATTTCCAAGTGGATATTTAGACCACTTTGAAGCCTATGATAGAAAAGGAAACATCTTCATGGAAAACATAGATAGAATCATTGTCAGAAACAACTTTGTGATGTGTGCGTTGAACTCGCCGTCTTTAACCTTTCTTTTGGTAGAGAAGTTTTGAAACACTCTCTTTGTAATGTCTACAAGTGGATATTTTGAGCCCTTGGAGGCATTCTTTGGAAAAGGGAATGTCTTCACATAAAAGGCAGACAGAAGTGTTCTCAGAAACTGCTTTGTGATGTCTGTGTTCAACTCACAGAGTTTAACATTTCCTTTGAGAGAGCGGTTTAGTGACACTCTCTTTGTAGAATTTGGAAGTGTATACTAAGAGCGCTTTGAGGCCTATGGTAGAAAAGGAAATATCTTTCCATAAAAGCTAGACACAAGCAATCTCAGAAACTCCTTTGTGATGTCTGCATTCAACTCACCGAGTGGAACATTCCTCTTGATAGAGCAGTTTGGAAACACTCTTTCTGTAGAATCAGCTTGTTTGTATTTGGACCTCCTTGAGGCCTTCGTTGGAAACGGGTTTTCATCTTATAAACCCAGACAGAAGAATTCTCAGAGTCTTCTTTGTGATGTGTGCTTTCAACTCACCGAGATAAAGATTTCTCTTGATAGAGCAATTTGGAAACACTCTTTTTGTAGAATTTGCAAGGGTACATTGAGAGCGCTTTCAGGCGTATGGTAGAAAAGGGAATATCTTTCCATAAAAGGTAGACAGAAGCAATCTCAGAAACTACTTTGTGATGTGTGCATTCAACTCACCGAGTGCAACATTCCTCTTGATAGAGCAGTTTGGAAACATTGTTTCTGTAGAATCTGCAAGTGGATATATGGACCGCTTTGAGGCCTTCGTTGGAAACGGGATTTCTTCCTATAAACCCAGACAGAAGAATTCTCAGAGATTTCTTTGTGATGTGTGAATTCAACTCACAGTGTGGATCCTTCCTTTTGATAGAGCAGTTTTGAAACACTGTTTTTGTAGTATTTCCAAGCGGATATTTGGAACGCCTTGAAGCGTATGGTAGAAAAGGAAATATATTCCCATAAAACCTAGACAGAACCCATCTCAGAAACGACTTTGTGATGTCTGCATTCAACTCACAGAGTTGAACATTTCTCTTGATAGAGCAGTTTTGAAACCCTCTTTCTGAAGGATCTGCAAGTGGATATTTGGAACTCCTTTGGGTCTTCGTTGGAAACGGGATTTCTTCGTATAAATCCAGACAGAAGAATTCTCCGAAACTTCTTTGGTTGTGTGCATTCAAGTCACAGAGTGGAACCTTCCTTTGGATAGAGCAGTTTGAAACGCTGTGGTTGTAGTATTTCCAAGCGGATATTAGAGCGCCTTGAGGCCTATGGTAGAAAAGGAAATATCTTCCCATAAAACCTAGACGGAAGCAATCTCAGAAACTACTGTGTGATGGCTGCATTGCACACACACGGTGGAACATTTCTCTTGATAGAGCAGTTTTGAAACACTCTTTCTGTAGAATCTGCAAGTGGATAATTGGACCGCCTTGAGGCCTTCGTTGGAAACGGGATTTCTTCATGTTACTCTAGACAGAAGAATTCTCAAACACTGCTATGTGATGTTTGCATTCAAGTCACAGAGTGCAACATTCCTCTTGATAGAGCAGTTGGGAAACACTCCTTTTGTAGAATTTGCAATGGGATATTTGGACTTCTTTGAGGCCTTCGTTGGAAACGGGATTTCTTCGTATGAATCTAGACAGAAGAATTCTCAGAAACTTCCTTGTGATGTGTGCATTCAACTCAGCGAGTGGCACCTTCCTTTGGATACAGCAGTTTTGAAACACTGTTTTTGTACTATTTCCAAGCGGATATTTAGAGCGCCTTGAAGCCTATGCTAGAAATGGAAATATCTCCCCATAAAACCAAGACAGAAGCAATCTCAGAAACTAATGTGTGATGACTGCATTCCACACACACGGTGGACCATTTCTCTTGATAGAGCAGTTTTGAAACACTCTTTCTGTAGAATCTGCAAGTGGATAATTGGACCTCCTAGAGGCCTTCGTTGGAAACGGGATTTCTTCATCTAAACCTACAGAGAAGAATTCTCAGTAACTTCTTCGGATGTGTGCATTCGACTCACAGAATGGAACATTCCCTTTGATAGAGCAGTTTTGAGACACCGTTTTTGTAGAATTCCCAAGTGGATATTTAGAGCACTTTGAAGTCTCTGCTAGAAAAGGAAACATCTTCATGTAAAAAGTAGATAGAATCGTTCTCAGAAAGTGCTTAGTGACGTGTGTGTTCAACTCACAGAGTTTAACGTTTCTTTTGATAGAGCGTTTCTGAAACACCCTTCTTGTAGTAGCTGCAAGTGGATATTTGGACCTATTTGAGGCCTTCTTTGGAAACGGGATTTCTTCATGTAACTCTAGATTGAAGAATTTTCAGAAACTCCTTTGTGATGTGTGCATTCAATTCAAAGAGTGAAACCTCCCTTTCCACAGAGCAGTTTTGAAACACTGTTTTTGTAGGATTTCCAAGGGGATATTTATAGCGCATTGAGCCTACGGCAGAAAAAGAAACATCTTCCTATAAAAACTAGACAGAATAATTCTCAGAATCTGCTTTGCGATGTGTGAGTTCAACCCACAGAGTAAAACTTTTCTTTTGATAGAGCAGTTTTGAAACACTCTTTTTGTAGTATTTGCATGTGTATATTTAGAGCGCATTGAAGCCCACAGTAGAAAAGGAAATAACTTCACCTAAAATCTAGACAGAAGCAATCTCAGAAACTACTTTGTGATGTGTACATTCAACTCACAGAGTGGAACTTTCCTCTTTATAGAGCAGTGTTGAAACACTCTTTTTGTAGAAACTGCAAGTGGATATTTGGACCTCTTTGAGGCCTTCGTTGGAAACGGGATTTCTTCCTATAACCCTAGACAGAAGAATTTTCAGAAACCTCATTGTGATGTGTGCGTTCATCTCACAGAGTGGAGTCTTCCGTTTGATAGAGAAGTTTTGAAACCCTGTTCTTGTAGGATTTCCAAGTGGATATTTAGACCACTTTGAAGCCTATGATAGAAAAGGAAACATCTTCATGGAAAACATAGATAGAATCATTCTCAGAAACAACTTTGTGATGTGTGCGTTGAACTCACCGTCTTTAACCTTTCTTTTGGT
This sequence comes from Homo sapiens, assembly GCF_000001405.40. NCBI lineage: Eukaryota > Metazoa > Chordata > Mammalia > Primates > Hominidae > Homo > Homo sapiens. The sequence continues at coordinate 59,501,336 of NC_000006.12, forward strand.
AGAGAAGTTTTGAAACACTCTCTTTGTAAAGTCTACAAGTGGATATTTTGAGCCCTTGGAGGCATTCTTTGGAAAAGGGAATGTCTTCACATAAAAGGCAGACAGAAGTGTTCTCAGAAACTGCTTTGTGATGTCTGTGTTCAACTCACAGAGTTTAACATTTCCTTTGAGAGAGCGGTTTAGTAACACTCTCTTTGTAGAATTTGGAAGTGTATACTAAGAGCGCTTTGAGGCCTATGGTAGAAAAGGAAATATCTTTCCATAAAAGCTAGACAGAAGCAATCTCAGAAACTCCTTTGTGATGTCTGCATTCAACTCACCGAGTGGAACATTCCTCTTGATAGAGCAGTTTGGAAACACTCTTTCTGTAGAATCAGCTTGTTTATATTTGGACCTCCTTGAGGCCTTCATTGGAAACGGGTTTTCATCTTATAAACCAGACAGAAGAATTCTCAGAGTCTTCTTTGTGATGTGTGCTTTCAACTCACCGAGATAAAGATTTCTCTTGATAGAGCAATTTGGAAACACTCTTTTTGTAGAATTTTCAAGGGTACATTGAGAGCGCTTTCAGGCCTATGGTAGAAAAGGGAATATCTTTCCATCAAAGGTAGACAGAAGCAATCTCAGAAACTACTTTGTGATGTGTGCATTCAACTCACCGAGTGCAACATTCCTCTTGATAGAGCAGTTTGGAAACATTGTTTCTGTAGAATCTGCAAGTGGATATATGGACCTCTTTGAGGCCTTCGTTGGAAACGGGTTTTCTTCCTATAAACCCAGACAGAAGAATTCTCAGAGATTTCTTTGTGATGTGTGAATTCAACTCACAGTGTGGATCCTTCCTTTTGATAGAGCAGTTTTGAAACACCGTTTTTGTAGTATTTCCAAGCGGATATTTGGAACGCCTTGAAGCGTATGGTAGAAAAGGAAATATCTTCCCATAAAACCTAGACAGAACCCATCTCAGAAACGACTTTGTGATGTCTGCATTCAACTCACAGAGTTGAACATTTCTCTTGATAGAGCAGTTTTGAAACCCTCTTTCTGAAGGATCTGCAAGTGGATATTTGGAACTCCTTTGGGTCTTCGTTGGAAACGGGATTTCTTCGTATAAATCCAGAAAGAAGAATTCTCCGAAACTTCTTTGGTTGTGTGCATTCAAGTCACAGGGTGGAACCTTCCTTTGGGTAGAGCAGTTTGAAACGCTGGGGTTGTAGTATTTCCAAGCGGATATTAGAGCGCCTTGAGGCCTATGGTAGAAAAGGAAATATCTTCCCATAAATCCTAGACGGAAGCAATCTCAGAAACTACTGTGTGATGGCTGCATTCCACACACACGGTGGAACATTTCTCTTGATAGAGCAGTTTTGAAACACTCTTTCTGTAGAATCTGCAAGTGGATAATTGGACCGCCTTGAGGCCTTCGTTGGAAACGGGATTTCTTCATGTTACTCTAGACAGAAGAATTCTCAAACACTACTATGTGATGTTTGCATTCAAGTCACAGAGTGCAACATTCCTCTTGATAGAGCAGTTGGGAAACACTCCTTTTGTAGAATTTGCAATGGGATATTTGGACTTCTTTGAGGCCTTCGTTGGAAACGGGATTTCTTCGTATGAATCCAGACAAAAGAATTCTCAGAAACTTCTTTGTGATGTGTGCATTCAACTCAGCGAGTGGCACCTTCCTTTGGATACAGCAGTTTTGAAACACTGTTTTTGTAGTATTTCCAAGCGGATATTTAGAGCGCCTTGAAGCCTATGCTAGAAATGGAAATATCTCCACATAAAACCAAGACAGAAGCAATCTCAGAAACTAATGTGTGATGGCTGCATTCCACACACACGGTGGACCATTTCTCTTGATAGAGCAGTTTTGAAACACTCTTTCTGTAGAATCTGCAAGTGGATAATTGGACCTCCTAGAGGCCTTCGTTGGAAACGGGATTTCTTCATCTAAACTTACAGAGAACAATTCTCAGTAACTTCTTCGGATGTGTGCATTCGACTCACAGAATGGAACATTCCCTTTGATAGAGCAGTTTTGAGACACCGTTTTTGTAGAATTCCCAAGTGGATATTTAGAGCACTTTGAAGTCTCTGCTAGAAAAGGAAACATCTTCATGTAAAAAGTAGATAGAATCGTTCTCAGAAAGTGCTTAGTGACGTGTGTGTTCAACTCACAGAGTTTATCGTTTCTTTTGATAGAGCGTTTCTGAAACACCCTTCTTGTAGTAGCTGCAAGTGGATATTTGGACCTATTTGAGGCCTTCTTTGGAAACGGGATTTCTTCATGTAACTCTAGATTGAAGAATTTTCAGAAACTCCTTTGTGATGTGTGCATTCAATTCAAAGAGTGAAACCTCCCTTTTCACAGAGCAGTTTTGAAACACTGTTTTTGTAGGATTTCCAAGGGGATATTTATAGCGCATTGATCCTATGGCAGAAAAAGAAACATCTTCCTATAAAAACTAGACAGAATAATTCTCAGAATCTGCTTTGCGATGTGTGCGTTCAACTCACAGAGTAAAACTTTTCTTTTGATAGAGCAGTTTTGAAACACTCTTTTTGTAGTATTTGCATGTGTATATTTAGAGCGCATTGAAGCCCACAGTAGAAAAGGAAATAACTTCACCTAAAACCTAGACAGAAGCAATCTCAGAAACTACTTTGTGATGTGTACATTCAACTCACAGAGTGGAACTTTCCTCTTTATAGAGCAGTGTTGAAACACTCTTTTTGTAGAAACTGCAAGTGGATATTTGGACCTCTTTGAGGCCTTCGTTGGAAACGGGATTTCTTCCTATAACCCTAGACAGAAGAATTTTCAGAAACCTCATTGTGATGTGTGCGTTCATCTCACAGAGTGGAGTGTTCCGTTTGATAGAGAAGTTTTGAAACCCTGTTCTTGTAGGATTTCCAAGTGGATATTTAGACCACTTTGAAGCCTATGATAGAAAAGGAAACATCTTCATGGAAAACATAGATAGAATCATTCTCAGAAACAACTTTGTGATGTGTGCGTTGAACTCACCGTCTTTAACCTTTCTTTTGGTAGAGAAGTTTTGAAACACTCTCTTTGTAAAGTCTACAAGTGGATATTTTGAGCCCTTGGAGGCATTCTTTGGAAAAGGGAATGTCTTCACATAAAAGGCAGACAGAAGTGTTCTCAGAAACTGCTTTGTGATGTCTGTGTTCAACTCACAGAGTTTAACATTTCCTTTGAGAGAGCGGTTTAGTAACACTCTCTTTGTAGAATTTGGAAGTGTATACTAAGAGCGCTTTGAGGCCTATGGTAGAAAAGGAAATATCTTTCCATAAAAGCTAGACAGAAGCAATCTCAGAAACTCCTTTGTGATGTCTGCATTCAACTCACCGAGTGGAACATTCCTCTTGATAGAGCAGTTTGGAAACACTCTTTCTGTAGAATCAGCTTGTTTGTATTTGGACCTCCTTGAGGCCTTCGTTGGAAACGGGTTTTCATCTTATAAACCCAGACAGAAGAATTCTCAGAGTCTTCTTTGTGATGTGTGCTTTCAACTCACCGAGATAAAGATTTCTCTTGATAGAGCAATTTGGAAACACTCTTTTTGTAGAATTTGCAAGGGTACATTGAGAGCGCTTTCAGGCCTATGGTAGAAAAGGGAATATCTTTCCATCAAAGGTAGACAGAAGCAATCTCAGAAACTACTTTGTGATGTGTGCATTCAACTCACCGAGTGCAACATTCCTCTTGATAGAGCAGTTTGGAAACATTGTTTCTGTAGAATCTGCAAGTGGATATATGGACCGCTTTGAGGCCTTCGTTGGAAACGGGATTTCTTCCTATAAACCCAGACAGAAGAATTCTCAGAGACTTCTTTGTGATGTGTGAATTCAACTCACAGTGTGCATCCTTCCTTTTGATAGAGCAGTTTTGAAACACTGTTTTTGTAGTATTTCCAAGCGGATATTTGGAACGCCTTGAAGCGTATGGTAGAAAAGGAAATATCTTCCCATAAAACCTAGACAGAACCCATCTCAGAAACGACTTTGTGATGTCTGCATTCAACTCACAGAGTTGAATATTTCTCTTGATAGAGCAGTTTTGAAACCCTCTTTCTGAAGGATCTGCAAGTGGATATTTGGAACTCCTTTGGGTCTTCGTTGGAAACGGGATTTCTTCGTATAAATCCAGACAGAAGAATTCTCCGAAACTTCTTTGGTTGTGTGCATTCAAGTCACAGAGTGGAACCTTCCTTTGGATAGAGCAGTTTGAAACGCTGTGGTTGTAGTATTTCCAAGCGGATATTAGAGCGCCTTGAGGCCTATGGTAGAAAAGGAAATATCTTCCCATAAAACCTAGACGGAAGCAATCTCAGAAACTACTGTGTGATGGCTGCATTCCACACACACGGTGGAACATTTCTCTTGATAGAGCAGTTTTGAAACACTCTTTCTGTAGAATCTGCAAGTGGATAATTGGACCGCCTTGAGGCCTTCGTTGGAAACGGGATTTCTTCATGTTACTCTAGATAGAAGAATTCTCAAACACTGCTATATGATGTTTGCATGCAAGTCAGAGAGTGCAACATTCCTCTTGATAGAGCAGTTGGGAAACACTCCTTTTGTAGAATTTGCAATGGGATATTTGGACTTCTTTGAGGCCTTCGTTGGAAACGGGATTTCTTCGTATGAATCTAGACAGAAGAATTCTCAGAAACTTCCTTGTGATGTGTGCATTCAACTCAGCGAGTGGCACCTTCCTTTGGATACAGCAGTTTTGAAACACTGTTTTTGTAGTATTTCCAAGCGGATATTTAGAGCGCCTTGAAGCCTATGCTAGAAATGGAAATATCTCCCCATAAAACCAAGACAGAAGCAATCTCAGAAACTAATGTGTGATGGCTGCATTCCACACACACGGTGGACCATTTCTCTTGATAGAGCAGTTTTGAAACACTCTTTCTGTAGAATCTGCAAGTGGATAATTGGAACTCCTAGAGGCCTTCTTTGGAAATGGGATTTCTTCATCTAAACCTACAGAGAAGAATTCTCAGTAACTTCTTCGGATGTGTGCATTCGACTCACAGAATGGAACATTCCCTTTGATAGAGCAGTTTTGAGACACCGTTTTTGTAGAATTCCCAAGTGGATATTTAGAGCACTTTGAAGTCTCTGCTAGAAAAGGAAACATCTTCATGTAAAAAGTAGATAGAATCGTTCTCAGTAAAGTGCTTAGTGACGTGTGTGTTCAACTCACAGAGTTTAACGTTTCTTTTGATAGAGCGTTTCTGAAACACCCTGCTTGTAGTAGCTGCAAGTGGATATTTGGACCTATTTGAGGCCTTCTTTGGAAACGGGATTTCTTCATGTAACTCTAGATTGAAGAATTTTCAGAAACTCCTTTGTGATGTGTGCATTCAATTCAAAGAGTGAAACCTCCCTTTTCACAGAGCAGTTTTGAAACACTGTTTTTGTAGGATTTCCAAGGGGATATTTATAGCGCATTGAGCCTATGGCAGAAAAAGAAACATCTTCCTATAAAAACTAGACAGAATAATTATCAGAATCTGCTTTGCGATGTGTGCGTTCAACTCACAGAGTAAAACTTTTCTTTTGATAGAGCAGTTTTGAAACACTCTTTTTGTAGTATTTGCATGTGTATATTTAGGGCGCATTGAAGCCCACAGTAGAAAAGGAAATAACTTCACCTAAAACCTAGACAGAAGCAATCTCAGAAACTACTTTGTGATGTGTACATTCAACTCACAGAGTGGAACTTTTCTCTTTATAGAGCAGTGTTGAAACACTCTTTTTGTAGAAACTGCAAGTGGATATTTGGACCTCTTTGAGGCCTTCGTTGGAAACGGGATTTCTTCCTATAACCCTAGACAGAAGAATTTTCAGAAACCTCATTGTGATGTGTGCGTTCATCTCACAGAGTGGAGTCTTCCGTTTGATAGAGAAGTTTTGAAACCCTGTTCTTGTAGGATTTCCAAGTGGATATTTAGACCACTTTGAAGCCTATGATAGAAAAGGAAACATCTTCATGGAAAACATAGATAGAATCATTCTCAGAAACAACTTTGTGATGTGTGCGTTGAACTCACCGTCTTTAACCTTTCTTTTGGTAGAGAAGTTTTGAAACACTCTCTTTGTAAAGTCTACAAGTGGATATTTTGAGCCCTTGGAGGCATTCTTTGGAAAAGGGAATGTCTTCACATAAAAGGCAGACAGAAGTGTTCTCAGAAACTGCTTTGTGATGTCTGTGTTCAACTCACAGAGTTTAACATTTCCTTTGAGAGAGCGGTTTAGTAACACTCTCTTTGTAGAATTTGGAAGTGTATACTAAGAGCGCTTTGAGGCCTATGGTAGAAAAGGAAATATCTTTCCATAAAAGCTAGACAGAAGCAATCTCAGAAACTCCTTTGTGATGTCTGCATTCAACTCACCGAGTGGAACATTCCTCTTGATAGAGCAGTTTGGAAACACTCTTTCTGTAGAATCAGCTTGTTTGTATTTGGACCTCCTTGAGGCCTTCGTTGGAAACGGGTTTTCATCTTATAAACCCAGACAGAAGAATTCTCAGAGTCTTCTTTGTGATGTGTGCTTTCAACTCACCGAGATAAAGATTTCTCTTGATAGAGCAATTTGGAAACACTCTTTTTGTAGAATTTGCAAGGGTACATTGAGAGCGCTTTCAGGCCTATGGTAGAAATGGGAATATCTTTCCATAAAAGGTAGACAGAAGCAATCTCAGAAACTACTTTGTGATGTGTGCATTCAACTCACCGAGTGCAACATTCCTCTTGATAGAGCAGTTTGGAAACATTGTTTCTGTAGAATCTGCAAGTGGATATATGGACCGCTTTGAGGCCTTCGTTGGAAACGGGATTTCTTCCTATAAACCCAGACAGAAGAATTCTCAGAGATTTCTTTGTGATGTGTGAATTCAACTCACAGTGTGTATCCTTCCTTTTGTTAGAGCAGTTTTGAAACACTGTTTTTGTAGTATTTCCAAGCGGATATTTGGAACGCCTTGAAGCGTATGGTAGAAAAGGAAATATCTTCCCATAAAACCTAGACAGAACCCATCTCAGAAACGACTTTGTGATGTCTGCATTCAATTCACACAGTTGAACATTTCTCTTGATAGAGCAGTTTTGAAACCCTCTTTCTGAAGGATCTGCAAGTGGATATTTGGAACTCCTTTGGGTCTTCGTTGGAAACGGGATTTCTTCGTATAAATCCAGACAGAAGAATTCTCCGAAACTTCTTTGGTTGTGTGCATTCAAGTCACAGAGTGGAACCTTCCTTTGGATAGAGCAGTTTGAAACGCTGTGGTTGTAGTATTTCCAAGCGGATATTAGAGCGCCTTGAGGCCTATGGTAGAAAAGGAAATATCTTCCCATAAAACCTAGACGGAAGCAATCTCAGAAACTACTGTGTGATGGCTGCATTCCACACACACGGTGGAATATTTCTCTTGATAGAGCAGTTTTGAAACACTCTTTCTGTAGAATCTGCAAGTGGATAATTGGACCGCCTAGAGGCCTCCGTTGGAAACGGGATTTCTTCATGTTACTCTTGATAGAAGAATTCTCAAACACTACTATGTGATGTTTGCATTCAAGTCACAGAGTGCCACATTCCTCTTGATAGAGCAGTTGGGAAACATTCCTTTTGTAGAATCTGCAATGGGATATTTGGACTTCTTTGAGGCCTTCGTTGGAAACGGGATTTCTTCGTATGAATCTAGACAGAAGAATTCTCAGAAACTTCCTTGTGATGTGTGCATTCAACTCAGCGAGTGGCACCTTCCTTTGGATACAGCAGTTTTGAAACACTGTTTTTGTAGTATTTCCAAGCGGATATTTAGAGCGCCTTGAAGCCTATGCTAGAAATGGAAATATCTCCCCATAAAACCAAGACAGAAGCAATCTCAGAAACTAATGTGTGATGGCTGCATTCCACACACACGGTGGACCATTTCCCTTGATAGGGCAGTTTTGAAACACTCTTTCTGTAGAATCTGCAAGTGGATAATTGGACCTCCTAGAGGCCTTCGTTGGAAACGGGATTTCTTCATCTAAACCTACAGAGAAGAATTCTCAGTAACTTCTTCGGATGTGTGCATTCGACTCACAGAATGGAACATTCCCTTTGATAGAGCAGTTTTGAGACACCGTTTTTGTAGAATTCCCAAGTGGATATTTAGAGCACTTTGAAGTCTCTGCTAGAAAAGGAAACATCTTCATGTAAAAAGTAGATAGAATCGTTCTCAGAAAGTGCTTAGTGACGTGTGTGTTCAACTCACAGAGTTTAACGTTTCTTTTGATAGAGCGTTTCTGAAACACCCTTCTTGTAGTAGCTGCAAGTGGATATTTGGACCTATTTGAGGCCTTCTTTGGAAACGGGATTTCTTCATGTAACTCTAGTTTGAAGAATTTTCAGAAACTCCTTTGTGATGTGTGCATTCAATTCAAAGAGTGAAACGTCCCTTTTCACAGAGCAGTTTTGAAACACTATTTTTGTAGGATTTCCAAGGGGATATTTATAGCGCATTGAGCCTACGGCAGAAAAAGAAACATCTTCCTATAAAAACTAGACAGAATAATTCTCAGAATCTGCTTTGCGATGTGTGCGTTCAACTCACAGAGTAAAACTTTTCTTTTGATAGAGCAGTTTTGAAACACTCTTTTTGTAGTATTTGCATGTGTATATTTAGAGCGCATTGAAGCCCACAGTAGAAAAGGAAATAACTTCACCTAAAACCTAGACAGAAGCAATCTCAGAAACTATTTTGTGATGTGTACATTCAACTCACAGAGTGGAACTTTCCTCTTTATAGAGCAGTGTTGAAACACTCTTTTTGTAGAAACTGCAAGTGGATATTTGGACCTCTTTGAGGCCTTCGTTGGAAACGGGATTTCTTCCTATAACCCTAGACAGAAGAATTTTCAGAAACCTCATTGTGATGTGTGCGTTCATCTCACAGAGTGGAGTCTTCCGTTTGATAGAGAAGTTTTGAAACCCTGTTCTTGTAGGATTTCCAAGTGGATATTTAGACCACTTTGAAGCCTATGATAGAAAAGGAAACATCTTCATGGAAAACATAGATAGAATCATTCTCAGAAACAACTTTGTGATGTGTGCGTTGAACTCACCGTCTTTAACCTTTCTTTTGGTAGAGAAGTTTTGAAACACTCTCTTTGTAAAGTCTACAAGTGGATATTTTGAGCCCTTGGAGGCATTCTTTGGAAAAGGGAATGTCTTCACATAAAAGGCAGACAGAAGTGTTCTCAGAAACTGCTTTGTGATGTCTGTGTTCAACTCACAGAGTTTAACATTTCCTTTGAGAGAGCGGTTTAGTAACACTCTCTTTGTAGAATTTGGAAGTGTATACTAAGAGCGCTTTGAGGCCTATGGTAGAAAAGGAAATATCTTTCCATAAAAGCTAGACAGAAGCAATCTCAGAAACTCCTTTGTGATGTCTGCATTCAACTCACCGAGTGGAACATTCCTCTTGATAGAGCAGTTTGGAAACACTCTTTCTGTAGAATCAGCTTGTTTGTATTTGGACCTCCTTGAGGCCTTCGTTGGAAACGGGTTTTCATCTTATAAACCCAGACAGAAGAATTCTCAGAGTCTTCTTTGTGATGTGTGCTTTCAACTCACCGAGATAAAGATTTCTCTTGATAGAGTAATTTGGAAACACTCTTTTTGTAGAATTTGCAAGGGTACATTGAGAGCGCTTTCAGGCCTATGGTAGAAAAGGGAATATCTTTCCATAAAAGGTAGACAGAAGCAATCTCAGAAACTACTTTGTGATGTGTGCATTCAACTCACCGAGTGCAACATTCCTCTTGATAGAGCAGTTTGGAAACATTGTTTCTGTAGAATCTGCAAGTGGATATATGGACCGCTTTGAGGCCTTCGTTGGAAACGGGATTTCTTCCTATAAACCCAGACAGAAGAATTCTCAGAGATTTCTTTGTGATGTGTGAATTCAACTCACAGTGTGGATCCTTCCTTTTGATAGAGCAGTTTTGAAACACTGTTTTTGTAGTATTTCCAAGCGGATATTTGGAACGCCTTGAAGCGTATGGTAGAAAAGGAAATATCTTCCCATAAAACCTAGACAGAACCCATCTCAGAAACGACTTTGTGATGTCTGCATTCAACTCACAGAGTTGAACATTTCTCTTGATAGAGCAGTTTTGAAACCCTCTTTCTGAAGGATCTGCAAGTGGATATTTGGAACTCCTTTGGGTCTTCGTTGGAAACGGGATTTCTTCGTATAAATCCAGACAGAAGAATTCTCCGAAACTTCTTTGGTTGTGTGCATTCAAGTCACAGAGTGGAACCTTCCTTTGGATAGAGCAGTTTGAAACGCTGTGGTTGCAGTATTTCCAAGCGGATATTAGAGCGCCTTGAGGCCTATGGTAGAAAAGGAAATATCTTCCCATAAAACCTAGACGGAAGCAATCTCAGAAACTACTGTGTGATGGCTGCATTCCACACACACGGTGGAACATTTCTCTTGATAGAGCAGTTTTGAAACACTCTTTCTGTAGAATCTGCAAGTGGATAATTGGACCGCCTTGAGGCCTTCGTTGGAAACGGGATTTCTTCATGTTACTCTAGACAGAAGAATTCTCAAACACTGCTATATGATGTTTGCATGCAAGTCACAGAGTGCAACATTCCTCTTGATAGAGCAGTTGGGAAACACTCCTTTTGTAGAATTTGCAATGGGATATTTGGACTTCTTTGAGGCCTTCGTTGGAAACGGGATTTCTTCGTATGAATCTAGACAGAAGAATTCTCAGAAACTTTCCTTGTGATGTGTGCATTCAACTCAGCGAGTGGCACCTTCCTTTGGATACAGCAGTTTTGAAACACTGTTTTTGTAGTATTTCCAAGCGGATATTTAGAGCGCCTTGAAGCCTATGCTAGAAATGGAAATATCTCCCCATAAAACCAAGACAGAAGCAATCTCAGAAACTAATGTGTGATGGCTGCATTCCACACACACGGTGGACCATTTCTCTTGATAGAGCAGTTTTGAAACACTCTTTCTGTAGAATCTGCAAGTGGATAATTGGACCTCCTAGAGGCCTTCGTTGGAAACGGGATTTCTTCATCTAAACCTACAGAGAAGAATTCTCAGTAACTTCTTCGGATGTGTGCATTCGACTCACAGAATGGAACATTCCGTTTGATAGAGCAGTTTTGAGACACCGTTTTTGTAGAATTCCCAAGTGGATATTTAGAGCACTTTGAAGTCTCTGCTAGAAAAGGAAACACCTTCATGTAAAAAGTAGATAGAATCGTTCTCAGAAAGTGCTTAGTGACGTGTGCGTTCAACTCACAGAGTTTAACGTTTCTTTTGATAGAGCGTTTCTGAAACACCCTTCTTGTAGTAGCTGCAAGTGGATATTTGGACCTATTTGAGGCCTTCTTTGGAAACGGGATTTCTTCATGTAACTCTCGTTTGAAGAATTTTCAGAAACTCCTTTGTGATGTGTGCATTCAGTTCAAAGAGTGAAACCTCCCTTTTCACAGAGCAGTTTTGAAACACTGTTTTTGTAGGATTTCCAAGGGGATATTTATAGCGCATTGAGCCTACGGCAGAAAAAGAAACATCTTCCTATAAAAACTAGACAGAATAATTCTCAGAATCTGCTTTGCGATGTGTGCGTTCAACCCACAGAGTAAAACTTTTCTTTTGATAGAGCAGTTTTGAAACACTCTTTTTGTAGTATTTGCATGTGTATATTTAGAGCGCATTGAAGCCCACAGTAGAAAAGGAAATAACTTCACCTAAAACCTAGACAGAAGCAATCTCAGAAACTACTTTGTGATGTGTACATTCAACTCACAGAGTGGAACTTTCCTCTTTATAGAGCAGTGTTGAAACACTCTTTTTGGAGAAACTGCAAGTGGATATTTGGACCTCTTTGAGGCCTTCGTTGGAAACGGGATTTCTTCCTATAACCCTAGACAGAAGAATTTTCAGAAACCTCATTGTGATGTGTGCGTTCATCTCACAGAGTGGAGTCTTCCGTTTGATAGAGAAGTTTTGAAACCCTGTTCTTGTAGGATTTCCAAGTGGATATTTAGACCACTTTGAAGCCTATGATAGAAAAGGAAACATCTTCATGGAAAACATAGATAGAATCATTCTCAGAAACAACTTTGTGATGTGTGCGTTGAACTCACCGTCTTTAACCTTTCTTTTGGTAGAGAAGTTTTGAAACACTCTCTTTGTAAAGTCTACAAGTGGATATTTTGAGCCCTTGGAGGCATTCTTTGGAAAAGGGAATGTCTTCACAAAAAAGGCAGACAGAAGTGTTCTCAGAAACTGCTTTGTGATGTCTGTGTTCAACTCACAGAGTTTAACATTTCCTTTGAGAGAGCGGTTTAGTAACACTCTCTTTGTAGAATTTGGAAGTGTATACTAAGAGCGCTTTGAGGCCTATGGTAGAAAAGGAAATATCTTTCCATAAAAGCTAGACAGAAGCAATCTCAGAAACTCCTTTGTGATATCTGCATTCAACTCACCGAGTGGAACATTCCTCTTGATAGAGCAGTTTGGAAACACTCTTTCTGTAGAATCAGCTTGTTTGTATTTGGACCTCCTTGAGGCCTTCGTTGGAAACGGGTTTTCATCTTATAAACCCAGACAGAAGAATTCTCAGAGTCTTCTTTGTGATGTGTGCTTTCAACTCACCGAGATAAAGATTTCTCTTGATAGAGCAATTTGGAAACACTCTTTTTGTAGAATTTGCAAGGGTACATTGAGAGCGCTTTCAGGCCTATGGTAGAAAAGGGAATATCTTTCCATAAAAGGTAGACAGAAGCAATCTCAGAAACTACTTTGTGATGTGTGCATTCAACTCACCGAGTGCAACATTCCTCTTGACCGAGCAGTTTGGAAACATTGTTTCTGTAGAATCTGCAAGTGGATATTTGGACCTCTTTGAGGCCTTCGATTGGAAACGGGATTTCTTCCTATAAACCCAGACAGAAGAATTCTCAGAGACTTCTTTGTGATGTGTGAATTCAACTCACAGTGTGGATCCTTCCTTTTGATAGAGCAGTTTCGAAACACTGTTTTTGTAGTATTTCCAAGCGGATATTTGGAACGCCTTGAAGCTTATGGTAGAAAAGGAAATATCTTCCCATAAAACCTAGACAGAACCAATCTCAGAAACGACTTTGTGATGTCTGCATTCAACTCACAGAGTTGAACATTTCTCTTGATAGAGCAGTTTTGAAACCCTCTTTCTGAAGGATCTGCAAGTGGATATTTGGAACTCCTTTGGGTCTTCATTGGAAACGGGATTTCTTCGTATAAATCTAGACAGAAGAATTCTCCGAAACTTCTTTGGTTGTGTGCATTCAAGTCACAGAGTGGAACCTTCCTTTGGATAGAGCAGTTTGAAATGCTGTGGTTGTAGTATTTCCAAGCGGTTTTTAGAGCGCCTTGAGGCCTATGGTAGAAAAGGAAATATCTTCCCATAAAACCTAGACGGAAGCAATCTCAGAAACTACTGTGTGACGGCTGCATTCCACACACACGGTGGAACATTTCTCTTGATAGAGCAGTTTTGAAACACTCTTTCTGTAGAATCTGCAAGTGGATAATTGGACCGCCTTGAGGCCTTCGTTGGAAACGGGATTTCTTCATGTTACTCTAGATAGAAGAATTCTCAAACACTACTTTGTGATGTTTGCATTCAAGTCACAGAGTGCAACATTCCTCTTGATAGAGCAGTTGGGAAACACTCCTTTTGTAGAATGTGCAATGGGATATTTGGACTTCTTTGAGGCCTTCGTTGGAAACGGGGTTTCTTCGTATGAATCTAGACAGAAGAATTCTCAGAAACTTCCTTGTGATGTGTGCATTCAACTCAGCGAGTGGCACCTTCCTTTGGATACAGCAGTTTTGAAACACTGTTTTTGTAGTATTTCCAAGCGGATATTTAGAGCGCCTTGAAGCCTATGCTAGAAATGGAAATATCTCCCCATAAAACCAAGACAGAAGCAATATCAGAAACTAATGTGTGATGGCTGCATTCCACACACACGGTGGACCATTTCTCTTGATAGAGCAGTTTTGAAACACTCTTTCTGTAGAATCTGCAAGTGGATAATTGGACCTCCTAGAGGCCTTCGTTGGAAATGGGATTTCTTCATCTAAACCTACAGAGAAGAATTCTCAGTAACTTCTTCGGATGTGTGCATTCGACTCACAGAATGGAACATTCCCTTTGATAGAGCAGTTTTGAGACACCGTTTTTGTAGAATTCCCAAGTGGATATTTAGAGCACTTTGAAGTCTCTGCTAGAAAAGGAAACATCTTCATGTAAAAAGTAGATAGAATCGTTCTCAGAAAGTGCTTAGTGACGTGTGCGTTCAACTCACAGACTTTAACGTTTCTTTTGATAGAGCGTTTCTGAAACACCCTTCTTGTAGTAGCTGCAAGTGGATATTTGGACCTATTTGAGGCCTTCTTTGGAAACGGGATTTCTTCATGTAACTCTAGATTGAAGAATTTTCAGAAACTCCTTTGTGATGTGTGCATTCAATTCAAAGAGTGAAACCTCCCTTTTCACAGAGCAGTTTTGAAACACTGTTTTTGTAGGATTTCCAAGGGGATATTTATAGCGCATTGAGCCTATGGCAGAAAAAGAAACATCTTCCTATAAAAACTAGACAGAATAATTCTCAGAATCTGCTTTGCGATGTGTGCGTTCAACTCACAGAGTAAAACTTTTCTTTTGATAGAGCAGTTTTGAAACACTCTTTTTGTAGTATTTGCATGTGTATATTTAGAGCGCATTGAAGCCCACAGTAGAAAAGGAAATAACTTCACCTAAAACCTAGACAGAAGCAATCTCAGAAACTACTTTGTGATGTGTACATTCAACTCACAGAGTGGAACTTTCCTCTTTATAGAGCAGTGTTGAAACACTCTTTTTGTAGAAACTGCAAGTGGATATTTGGACCTCTTTGAGGCCTTCGTTGGAAACGGGATTTCTTCCTATAACCCTAGACAGAAGAATTTTCAGAAACCTCATTGTGATGTGTGCGTTCATCTCACAGAGTGGAGTCTTCCGTTTGATAGAGAAGTTTTGAAACCCTGTTCTTGTAGGATTTCCAAGTGGATATTTAGACCACTTTGAAGCCTATGATAGAAAAGGAAACATCTTCATGGAAAACATAGATAGAATCATTGTCAGAAACAACTTTGTGATGTGTGCGTTGAACTCACCGTCTTTAACCTTTCTTTTGGTAGAGAAGTTTTGAAACACTCTCTTTGTAAAGTCTACAAGTGGATATTTTGAGCCCTTGGAGGCATTCTTTGGACAAGGGAATGTCTTCACATAAAAGGCAGACAGAAGTGTTCTCAGAAACTGCTTTGTGATGTCTGTGTTCAACTCACAGAGTTTAACATTTCCTTTGAGAGAGCGGTTTAGTGACACTCTCTTTGTAGAATTTGGAAGTGTATACTAAGAGCGCTTTGAGGCCTATGGTAGAAAAGGAATTATCTTTCCATAAAAGCTAGACAGAAGCAATCTCAGAAACTCCTTTGTGATGTCTGCATTCAACTCACCGAGTGGAACATTCCTCTTGATAGAGCAGTTTGGAAACACTCTTTCTGTAGAATCAGCTTGTTTGTATTTGGACCTCCTTGAGGCCTTCGTTGGAAACGGGTTTTCATCTTATAAACCCAGACAGAAGAATTCTCAGAGTCTTCTTTGTGATGTGTGCTTTCAACTCACCAAGATAAAGATTTCTCTTGATAGAGCAATTTGGAAACACTCTTTTTGTAGAATTTGCAAGGGTACATTGAGACCGCTTTCAGGCCTATGGTAGAAAAGGGAATATCTTTCCATCAAAGGTAGACAGAAGCAATCTCAGAAACTACTTTGTGATGTGTGCATTCAACTCACCGAGTGCAACATTCCTCTTGTCCGAGCAGTTTGGAAACATTGTTTCTGTAGAATCTGCAAGTGGATATTTGGACCTCTTTGAGGCCTTCGTTGGAAACGGGATTTCTTACCTATAAACCCAGACAGAAGAATTCTCAGAGATTTCTTTGTGATGTGTGAATTCAACTCACAGTGTGGATCCTTCCTTTTGATAGAGCAGTTTTGAAACACCGTTTTTGTAGTATTTCCAAGCGGATATTTGGAACGCCTTGAAGCGTATGGTAGAAAAAGAAATATCTTCCCATAAAACCTAGACAGAACCCATCTCAGAAACGACTTTGTGATGTCTGCATTCAACTCACAGAGTTGAACATTTCTCTTGATAGAGCAGTTTTGAAACCCTCTTTCTGAAGGATCTGCAAGTGGATATTTGGAACTCCTTTGGGTCTTCGTTGGAAATGGGATTTCTTCGTATAAATCCAGACAGAAGAATTCTCCGAAACTTCTTTGGTTGTGTGCATTCAAGTCACAGAGTGGAACCTTCCTTTGGATAGAGCAGTTTGAAACGCTGTGGTTGTAGTATTTCCAAGCGGATATTAGAGCGCCTTGAAGCCTATGGTAGAAAAGGAAATATCTTCCCATAAAACCTAGACGGAAGCAATCTCAGTAAACTACTGTGTGATGGCTGCATTCCACACACACGGTGGAACATTTCTCTTGATAGAGCAGTTTTGAAACACTCTTTCTGTAGAATCTGCAAGTGGATAATTGGACCGCCTTGAGGCCTTCGTTGGAAACGGGATTTCTTCATGTTACTCTAGACAGAAGAATTCTCAAACACTGCTATGTGATGTTTGCATTCAAGTCACAGAGTGCAACATTCCTCTTGATAGAGCAGTTGGGAAACACTCCTTTTGTAGAATTTGCAATGGGATATTTGGACTTCTTTGAGGCCTTCGTTGGAAACGGGATTTCTTCGTATGAATCTAGACAGAAGAATTCTCAGAAACTTCCTTGTGATGTGTGCATTCAACTCAGCGAGTGGCACCTTCCTTTGGATACAGCAGTTTTGAAACACTGTTTTTGTACTATTTCCAAGCGGATATTTAGAGCGCCTTGAAGCCTATGCTAGAAATGGAAATATCTCCCCATAAAACCAAGACAGAAGCAATCTCAGAAACTAATGTGTGATGGCTGCATTCCACACACACGGTGGACCATTTCTCTTGATAGAGCAGTTTTGAAACACTCTTTCTGTAGAATCTGCAAGTGGATAATTGGACCTCCTAGAGGCCTTCGTTGGAAACGGGATTTCTTCATCTAAACCTACAGAGAAGAATTCTCAGTAACTTCTTCGGATGTGTGCATTCGACTCACAGAATGGAACATTCCGTTTGATAGAGCAGTTTTGAGACACCGTTTTCGTAGAATTCCCAAGTGGATATTTAGAGCACTTTGAAGTCTCTGCTAGAAAAGGAAACATCTTCATGTAAAAAGTAGATAGAATCGTTCTCAGAAAGTGGTTAGTGACGTGTGTGTTCAACTCACAGAGTTTAACGTTTCTTTTGATAGAGCGTTTCTGAAACACCCTGCTTGTAGTAGCTGCAAGTGGATATTTGGACCTATTTGAGGCCTTCTTTGGAAACGGGATTTCTTCATGTAACTCTAGTTTGAAGAATTTTCAGAAACTCCTTTGTGATGTGTGCATTCAATTCAAAGAGTGAAACCTCCCTTTTCACAGAGCAGTTTTGAAACACTGTTTTTGTAGGATTTCCAAGGGGATATTTATAGCGCATTGAGCCTATGGCAGAAAAAGAAACATCTTCCTATAAAAACTAGACAGAATAATTCTCAGAATCTGCTTTGCGATGTGTGCGTTCAACCCACAGAGTAAAACTTTTCTTTTCATAGAGCAGTTTTGAAACACTCTTTTTGTAGTATTTGCATGTGTATATTTAGAGCGCATTGAAGCCCACAGTAGAAAAGGAAATAACTTCACCTAAAACCTAGACAGAAGCAATCTCAGAAACTACTTTCTGATGTGTACATTCAACTCACAGAGTGGAACTTTCCTCTTTATAGAGCAGTGTTGAAACACTCTTTTTGTAGAAACTGCAAGTGGATATTTGGACCTCTTTGAGGCCTTCGTTGGAAACGGGATTTCTTCCTATAACCCTAGACAGAAGAATTTTCAGAAACCTCATTGTGATGTGTGCGTTCATCTCACAGAGTGGAGTCTTCCGTTTGATAGAGAAGCTTTGAAACCCTGTTCTTGTAGGATTTCCAAGTGGATATTTAGACCACTTTGAAGCCTATGATAGAAAAGGAAACATCTTCATGGAAAACATAGATAGAATCATTGTCAGAAACAACTTTGTGATGTGTGCGTTGAACTCACCGTCTTTAACCTTTCTTTTGGTAGAGAAGTTTTGAAACACTCTCTTTGTAAAGTCTACAAGTGGATATTTTGAGCCCTTGGAGGCATTCTTTGGAAAAGGGAATGTCTTCACATAAAAGGCAGACAGAAGTGTTCTCAGAAACTGCTTTGTGATGTCTGTGTTCAACTCACAGAGTTTAACATTTCCTTTGAGAGAGCGGTTTAGTAACACTCTCTTTGTAGAATTTGGAAGTGTATACTAAGAGCGCTTTGAGGCCTATGGTAGAAAAGGAAATATCTTTCCATAAAAGCTAGACAGAAGCAATCCCAGAAACTCCTTTGTGATGTCTGCATTCAACTCACCGAGTGGAACATTCCTCTTGATAGAGCAGTTTGGAAACACTCTTTCTGTAGAATCAGCTTGTTTGTATTTGGACCTCCTTGAGGCCTTCGTTGGAAACGGGTTTTCATCTTATAAACCCAGACAGAAGAATTCTCAGAGTCTTCTTTGTGATGTGTGCTTTCAACTCACCGAGATAAAGATTTCTCTTGATAGAGCAATTTGGAAACACTCTTTTTGTAGAATTTGCAAGGGTACATTGAGAGCGCTTTCAGGCCTATGGTAGAAAAGGGAATATCTTTCCATAAAAGGTAGACAGAAGCAATCTCAGAAACTACTTTGTGATGTGTGCATTCAACTCACCGAGTGCAACATTCCTCTTGATAGAGCAGTTTGGAAACATTGTTTCTGTAGAATCTGCAAGTGGATATATGGACCGCTTTGAGGCCTTCGTTGGAAACGGGATTTCTTCCTATAAACCCAGACAGAAGAATTCTCAGAGATTTCTTTGTGATGTGTGAATTCAACTCACAGTGTGGATCCTTCCTTTTGATAGAGCAGTTTTGAAACACTGTTTTTGTAGTATTTCCAAGCGGATATTTGGAACGCCTTGAAGCGTATGGTAGAAAAGGAAATATCTTCCCATAAAACCTAGACAGAACCCATCTCAGAAACGACTTTGTGATGTCTGCATTCAACTCACAGAGTTGAACATTTCTCTTGATAGAGCAGTTTTGAAACCCTCTTTCTGAAGGATCTGCAAGTGGATATTTGGAACTCCTTTGGGTCTTCGTTGGAAACGGGATTTCTTCGTATAAATCCAGACAGAAAAATTCTCCGAAACTTCTTTGGTTGTGTGCATTCAAGTCACAGAGTGGAACCTTCCTTTGGATAGAGCAGTTTGAAACACTGTGGTTGTAGTATTTCCAAGCGGATATTAGAGCGCCTTGAAGCCTATGGTAGAAAAGGAAATATCTTCCCATAAAACCTAGACGGAAGCAATCTCAGAAACTACTGTGTGATGGCTGCATTCCACACACACGGTGGAACATTTCTCTTGATAGAGCAGTTTTGAAACACTCTTTCTGTAGAATCTGCAAGTGGATAATTGGACCGCCTTGAGGCCTTCGTTGGAAACGGGATTTCTTCATGTTACTCTAGACAGAAGAATTCTCAAACACTGCTATGTGATATTTGCATTCAAGTCACAGAGTGCAACATTCCTCTTGATAGAGCAGTTGGGAAACACTCCTTTTGTAGAATTTGCAATGGGATATTTGGACTTCTTTGAGGCCTTCGTTGGAAACGGGATTTCTTCGTATGAATCTAGACAGAAGAATTCTCAGAAACTTCCTTGTGATGTGTGCATTCAACTCAGCGAGTGGCACCTTCCTTTGGATACAGCAGTTTTGAAACACTGTTTTTGTAGTATTTCCAAGCGGATATTTAGAGCGCCTTGAAGCCTATGCTAGAAATGGAAATATCTCCCCATAAAACCAAGACAGAAGCAATCTCAGAAACTAATGTGTGATGGCTGCATTCCACACACACGGTGGACCATTTCTCTTGATAGAGCAGTTTTGAAACACTCTTTCTGTAGAATCTGCAAGTGGATAATTGGACCTCCTAGAGGCCTTCGTTGGAAACGGGATTTCTTCATCTAAACCTACAGAGAAGAATTCTCAGTAAAGCAATCTCAGAAACTACTGTGTGATGGCTGCATTCCACACACACGGTGGAACATTTCTCTTGATAGAGCAGTTTTGAAACACTCTTTCTGTAGAATCTGCAAGTGGATAATTGGACCGCCTTGAGGCCTTCGTTGGAAACGGGATTTCTTCATGTTACTCTAGACAGAAGAATTCTCAAACACTACTATGTGATGTTTGCATTCAAGTCACAGAGTGCAACATTCCTCTTGATAGAGCAGTTGGGAAACATTCCTTTTGTAGAATGTGCAATGGGATATTTGGACTTCTTTGAGGCCTTCGTTGGAAACGGGATTTCTTCGTATGAATCTAGACAGAAGAATTCTCAGAAACTTCCTTGTGATGTGTGCATTCAACTCAGCGAGTGGCACCTTCCTTTGGATACAGCAGTTTTGAAACACTGTTTTTGTAGTATTTCCAAGCGGATATTTAGAGCGCCTTGAAGCCTATGCTAGAAATGGAAATATCTCCCCATAAAACCAAGACAGAAGCAATCTCAGAAACTAATGTGTGATGGCTGCATTCCACACACACGGTGGACCATTTCTCTTGATAGAGCAGTTTTGAAACACTCTTTCTGTAGAATATGCAAGTGGATAATTGGACCTCCTAGAGGCCTTCGTTGGAAACGGGATTTCTTCATCTAAACCTACAGAGAAGAATTCTCAGTAACTTCTTCGGATGTGTGCATTCGACTCACAGAATGGAACATTCCCTTTGGTAGAGCAGTTTTGAGACACCGTTTTTGTAGAATTCCCAAGTGGATATTTAGAGCACTTTGAAGTCTCTGCTAGAAAAGGAAACATCTTCATGTAAAAAGTAGATAGAATCGTTCTCAGAAAGTGCTTAGTGACGTGTGCGTTCAACTCACAGAGTTTAACGTTTCTTTTGATAGAGCGTTTCTGAAACACCCTGCTTGTAGTAGCTGCAAGTGGATATTTGGACCTATTTGAGGCCTTCTTTGGAAACGGGATTTCTTCATGTAACTCTAGATTGAAGAATTTTCAGAAACTCCTTTGTGATGTGTGCATTCAATTCAAAGAGTGAAACCTCCCTTTTCACAGAGCAGTTTTGAAACACTGTTTTTGTAGGATTTCCAAGGGGATATTTATAGCGCATTGAGCCTATGGCAGAAAAAGAAACATCTTCCTATAAAAACTAGACAGAATAATTCTCAGAATCTGCTTTGCGATGTGTGCGTTCATCTCACAGAGTAAAACTTTTCTTTTGATAGAGCAGTTTTGAAACACTCTTTTTGTAGTATTTGCATGTGTATATTTAGAGCGCATTGAAGCCCACAGTAGAAAAGGAAATAACTTCACCTAAAACCTAGACAGAAGCAATCTCAGAAACTACTTTGTGATGTGTACATTCAACTCACAGAGTGGAACTTTCCTCTTTATAGAGCAGTGTTGAAACACTCTTTTTGTAGAAACTGCAAGTGGATATTTGGACCTCTTTGAGGCCTTCGTTGGAAACGGGATTTCTTCCTATAACCCTAGACAGAAGAATTTTCAGAAACCTCATTGTGATGTGTGCGTTCATCTCACAGAGTGGAGTCTTCCGTTTGATAGAGAAGTTTTGAAACCCTGTTCTTGTAGGATTTCCAAGTGGTTATTTAGACCACTTTGAAGCCTATGATAGAAAAGGAAACATCTTCATGGAAATCATAGATAGAATCATTCTCAGAAACAACTTTGTGATGTGTGCGTTGAACTCACCGTCTTTAACCTTTCTTTTGGTAGAGAAGTTTTGAAACACTCTCTTTGTAAAGTCTACAAGTGGATATTTTGAGCCCTTGGAGGCATTCTTTGGAAAAGGGAATGTCTTCACATAAAAGGCAGACAGAAGTGTTCTCAGAAACTGCTTTGTGATGTCTGTGTTCAACTCACAGAGTTTAATATTTCCTTTGAGAGAGCGGTTTAGTAACACTCTCTTTGTAGAATTTGGAAGTGTATACTAAGAGCGTTTTGAGGCCTATGGTAGAAAAGGAATTATCTTTCCATAAAAGCTAGACAGAAGCAATCTCAGAAACTCCTTTGTGATGTCTGCATTCAACTCACCGAGTGGAACATTCCTCTTGATAGAGCAGTTTGGAAACACTCTTTCTGTAGAATCAGCTTGTTTGTATTTGGACCTCCTTGAGGCCTTCGTTGGAAACGGGTTTTCATCTTATAAACCCAGACAGAAGAATTCTCAGAGTCTTCTTTGTGATGTGTGCTTTCAACTCACCGAGATAAAGATTTCTCTTGACAGAGCAATTTAGAAACACTCTTTTTGTAGAATTTGCAAGGGTACATTGAGAGCGCTTTCAGGCGTATGGTAGAAAAGGGAATATCTTTCCATAAAAGGTAGACAGAAGCAATCTCAGAAACTACTTTGTGATGTGTGCATTCAACTCACCTAGTGCAACGTTCCTCTTGATAGAGCAGTTTGGAAACATTGTTTCTGTAGAATCTGCAAGTGGATATTTGGACCTCTTTGAGGCCTTCGTTGGAAACGGGATTTCTTCCTATAAACCCAGACAGAAGAATTCTCAGAGACTTCTTTGTGATGTGTGAATTCAACTCACAGTGTGGTTCCTTCCTTTTGATAGAGCAGTTTCGAAACACTGTTTTTGTAGTATTTCCAAGCGGATATTTGGAACGCCTTGAAGCGTATGGTAGAAAAGGAAATATCTTCCCATAAAACCTAGACAGAACCAATCTCAGAAACGACTTTGTGATGTCTGCATTCAACTCACAGAGTTGAACATTTCTCTTGATAGAGCAGTTTTGAAACCCTCTTTCTGAAGGATCTGCAAGTGGATATTTGGAACTCCTTTGGGTCTTCGTTGGAAACGGGATTTCTTCGTATAAATCTAGACAGAAGAATTCTCCGAAACATCTTTGGTTGTGTGCATTCAACTCACAGAGTGGAACCTTCCTTTGGATAGAGCAGTTTGAAACGCAGTGGTTGTAGTATTTCCAAGCGGATATTAGAGCGCCTTGAGGCCTATGGTAGAAAAGGAAATATCTTCCCATAAAACCTAGACGGAAGCAATCTCAGAAACTACTGTGTGATGGCTGCATTCCCCACACACGGTGGAACATTTCTCTTGATAGAGCAGTTTTGAAACACTCTTTCTGTAGAATCTGCAAGTGGATAATTGGACCGCCTTGAGGCCTTCGTTGGAAACGGGATTTCTTCATGTTACTCTAGACAGAAGAATTCTCAAACACTGCTATGTGATGTTTGCATTCAAGTCACAGAGTGCAACATTCCTCTTGATAGAGCAGTTGGGAAACACTCCTTTTGTAGAATTTGCAATGGGATATTTGGACTTCTTTGAGGCCTTCGTTGGAAACGGGATTTCTTCGTATGAATCTAGACAGAAGAATTCTCAGAAACTTCCTTGTGATGTGTGCATTCAACTCAGCGAGCGGCACCTTCCTTTGGATACTGCAGTTTTGAAACACTGTTTTTGTAGTATTTCCAAGCGGATATTTAGAGCGCCTTGAAGCCTATGCTAGAAATGGAAATATCTCCCCATAAAACCAAGACAGAAGCAATCTCAGAAACTAATGTGTGATGGCTGCATTCCACACACACGGTGGACCATTTCTCTTGATAGAGCAGTTTTGAAACACTCTTTCTGTAGAATCTGCAAGTGGATAATTGGACCTCCTAGAGGCCTTCGTTGGAAATGGGATTTCTTCATCTAAACCTACAGAGAAGAATTCTCAGTAACTTCTTCGGATGTGTGCATTCGACTCACAGAATGGAACATTCCGTTTGATAGAGCAGTTTTGAGACACCGTTTTTGTAGAATTCCCAAGTGGATATTTAGAGCACTTTGAAGTCTCTGCTAGAAAAGGAAACATCTTCATGTAAAAAGTAGATAGAATCGTTCTCAGAAAGTGCTTAGTGACGTGTGCGTTCAACTCACAGAGTTTAACGTTTCTTTTGATAGAGCGTTTCTGAAACACCCTTCTTGTAGTAGCTGCAAGTGGATATTTGGACCTATTTGAGGCCTTCTTTGGAAACGGGATTTCTTCATGTAACTCTCGTTTGAAGAATTTTCAGAAACTCCTTTGTGATGTGTGCATTCAATTCAAAGAGTGAAACCTCCCTTTTCACAGAGCAGTTTTGAAACACTGTTTTTGTGGGATTTCCAAGGGGATATTTATAGCACATTGAGCCTACGGCAGAAAAAGAAACATCTTCCTATGAAAACTAGACAGAATAATTCTCAGAATCTGCTTTGCGATGTGTGCGTTCAACTCACAGAGTAAAACTTTTCTTTTGATAGAGCAGTTTTGAAACACTCTTTTTGTAGTATTTGCATGTGTATATTTAGAGCGCATTGAAGCCCACAGTAGAAAAGGAAATAACTTCACCTAAAACCTAGACAGAAGCAATCTCAGAAACTACTTTGTGATGTGTACATTCAACTCACAGAGTGGAACTTTCCTCTTTATAGAGCAGTGTTGAAACACTCTTTTTGTAGAAACTGCAAGTGGATATTTGGACCTTCTTTGAGGCCTTCGTTGGAAACGGGATTTCTTCCTATAACCCTAGACAGAAGAATTTTCAGAAACCTCATTGTGATGTGTGCGTTCATCTCACAGAGTGGAGTCTTCCGTTTGATAGAGAAGTTTTGAAACCCTGTTCTTGTAGGATTTCCAAGTGGATATTTAGACCACTTTGAAGCCTATGATAGAAAAGGAAACATCTTCATGGAAAACATAGATAGAATCATTCTCAGAAACAACTTTGTGATGTGTGCGTTGAACTCACCATCTCTAACCTTTCTTTTGGTAGAGAAGTTTTGAAACACTCTCTTTGTAAAGTCTACAAGTGGATATTTTGAGCCCTTGGAGGCATTCTTTGGAAAAGGGAATGTCTTCACATAAAAGGCAGACAGAAGTGTTCTCAGAAACTGCTTTGTGATGTCTGTGTTCAAGTCACAGAGTTTAACATTTCCTTTGAGAGAGCGGTTTAGTAACACTCTCTTTGCAGAATTTGGAAGTGTATACTAAGAGCGCTTTGAGGCCTATGGTAGAAAAGGAATTATCTTTCCATAAAAGCTAGACAGAAGCAATCTCAGAAACTCCTTTGTGATGTCTGCATTCAACTCACCGAGTGGAACATTCCTCTTGATAGAGCAGTTTGGAAACACTCTTTCTGTAGAATCAGCTTGTTTGTATTTGGACCTCCTTGAGGCCTTCGGTTGGAAACGGGTTTTCATCTTATAAACCCAGACAGAAGAATTCTCAGAGTCTTCTTTGTGATGTGTGCTTTCAACTCACCGAGATAAAGATTTCTCTTGATAGAGCAATTTGGAAACACTCTTTTTGTAGAATTTGCAAGGGTACATTGAGAGCGCTTTCAGGCCTATGGTAGAAAAGGGAATATCTTTCCATAAAAGGTAGACAGAAGCAATCTCAGAAACTACTTTGTGATGTGTGCATTCAACTCACCGAGTGCAACATTCCTCTTGATAGAGCAGTTTGGAAACATTGTTTCTGTAGAATCTGCAAGTGGATATATGGACCGCTTTGAGGCCTTCGTTGGAAACGGGATTTCTTCCTATAAACCCAGACAGAAGAATTCTCAGAGATTTCTTTGTGATGTGTGAATTCAACTCACAGTGTGGATCCTTCCTTTTGATAGAGCAGTTTTGAAACACTGTTTTTGTAGTATTTCCAAGCGGATATTTGGAACGCCTTGAAGCGTATGGTAGAAAAGGAAATATCTTCCCATAAAACCTAGACAGAACCCATCTCAGAAACGACTTTGTGATGTCTGCATTCAACTCACAGAGTTGAACATTTCTCTTGATAGAGCAGTTTTGAAACCCTCTTTCTGAAGGATCTGCAAGTGGATATTTGGAACTCCTTTGGGTCTTCGTTGGAAACGGGATTTCTTCGTATAAATCCAGACAGAAGAATTCTCTGAAACTTCTTTGGTTGTGTGCATTCAAGTCACAGAGTGGAACCTTCCTTTGGATAGAGCAGTTTGAAACGCTGTGGTTGTAGTATTTCCAAGCGGATATTAGAGCGCCTTGAAGCCTATGGTAGAAAAGGAAATATCTTCCCATAAAACCTAGACGGAAGCAATCTCAGAAACTACTGTGTGATGGCTGCATTCCACACACACGGTGGAACATTTCTCTTGATAGAGCAGTTTTGAAACACTCTTTCTGTAGAATCTGCAAGTGGATAATTGGACCGCCTTGAGGCCTTCGTTGGAAACGGGATTTCTTCATGTTACTCTAGACAGAAGAATTCTCAAACACTGCTGTGTGATGTTTGCATGCAAGTCACAGAGTGCAACATTCCTCTTGATAGAGCAGTTGGGAAACACTCCTTTTGTAGAATTTGCAATGGGATATTTGGACTTCTTTGAGGCCTTCGTTGGAAACGGGATTTCTTCGTATGAATACTAGACAGAAGAATTCTCAGAAACTTCCTTGTGATGTGTGCATTCAACTCAGCGAGTGGCACCTTCCTTTGGATACAGCAGTTTTGAAACACTGTTTTTGTAGTATTTCCAAGCGGATATTTAGAGCGCCTTGAAGCCTATGCTAGAAATGGAAATATCTCCCCATAAAACCAAGACAGAAGCAATCTCAGAAACTAATGTGTGATGGCTGCATTCCACACACACGGTGGACCATTGCTCTTGATAGAGCAGTTTTGAAACACTCTTTCTGTAGAATCTGCAAGTGGATAATTGGACCTCCTAGAGGCCTTCGTTGGAAACGGGATTTCTTCATCTAAACCTACAGAGAAGAATTCTCAGTAACTTCTTCGGATGTGTGCATTCGACTCACAGAATGGAACATTCCCTTTGATAGAGCAGTTTTGAGACACCGTTTTTGTAGAATTCCCAAGTGGATATTTAGAGCACTTTGAAGTCTCTGCTAGAAAAGGAAACATCTTCATGTAAAAAGTAGATAGAATCGTTCTCAGAAAGTGCTTAGTGACGTGTGCGTTCAACTCACAGAGTTTAACGTTTCTTTTGATAGAGCGTTTCTGAAACACCCTTCTTGTAGTAGCTGCAAGTGGATATTTGGACCTATTTGAGGCCTTCTTTGGAAACGGGATTTCTTCATGTAACTCTAGATTGAAGAATTTTCAGAAACTCCTTTGTGAAGTGTGCATTCAATTCAAAGAGTGAAACGTCCCTTTTCACAGAGCAGTTTTGAAACACTGTTTTTGTAGGATTTCCAAGGGGATATTTATAGCGCATTGAGCCTATGGCAGAAAAAGAAACATCTTCCTATAAAAACTAGACAGAATAATTCTCAGAATCTGCTTTGCGATGTGTGCGTTCAACTCACAGAGTAAAACTTTTCTTTTGATAGAGCAGTTTTGAAACACTCTTTTTGTAGTATTTGCATGTGTATATTTAGAGCGCATTGAAGCCCACAGTAGAAAAGGAAATAACTTCACCTAAAACCTAGACAGAAGCAATCTCAGAAACTATTTTGTGATGTGTACATTCAACTCACAGAGTGGAACTTTCCTCTTTATAGAGCAGTGTTGAAACACTCTTTTTGTAGAAACTGCAAGTGGATATTTGGACCTTCTTTGAGGCCTTCGTTGGAAACGGGATTTCTTCCTATAACCCTAGACAGAAGAATTTTCAGAAACCTCATTGTGATGTGTGCGTTCATCTCACAGAGTGGAGTCTTCCGTTTGATAGAGAAGTTTTGAAACCCTGTTCTTGTAGGATTTCCAAGTGGATATTTAGACCACTTTGAAGCCTATGATAGAAAAGGAAACATCTTCATGGAAAACATAGATAGAATCATTCTCAGAAACAACTTTGTGATGTGTGCGTTGAACTCACCGTCTTTAACCTTTCTTTTGGTAGAGAAGTTTTGAAACACTCTCTTTGTAAAGTCTACAAGTGGATATTTTGAGCCCTTGGAGGCATTCTTTGGAAAAGGGAATGTCTTCACATAAAAGGCAGACACAAGTGTTCTCAGAAACTGCTTTGTGATGTCTGTGTTCAACTCACAGAGTTTAACATTTCCTTTGAGAGAGCGGTTTAGTAACACTCTCTTTGTAGAATTTGGAAGTGTATACTAAGAGCGCTTTGAGGCCTATGGTAGAAAAGGAAATATCTTTCCATAAAAGCTAGACAGAAGCAATCTCAGAAACTCCTTTGTGATGTCTGCATTCAACTCACCGAGTGGAACATTCCTCTTGATAGAGCAGTTTGGAAACACTCTTTCTGTAGAATCAGCTTGTTTGTATTTGGACCTCCTTGAGGCCTTCGGTTGGAAACGGGTTTTCATCTTATAAACCCAGACAGAAGAATTCTCAGAGTCTTCTTTGTGATGTGTGCTTTCAACTCACCGAGATAAAGATTTCTCTTGATAGAGCAATTTGGAAACACTCTTTTTGTAGAATTTGCAAGGGTACATTGAGAGCGCTTTCAGGCCTATGGTAGAAAAGGGAATATCTTTCCATAAAAGGTAGACAGAAGCAATCTCAGAAACTACTTTGTGATGTGTGCATTCAACTCACCGAGTGCAACATTCCTCTTGACCGAGCAGTTTGGAAACATTGTTTCTGTAGTATCTGCAAGTGGATACTTGGACCTCTGTGAGGCCTTCGTTGGAAACGGGATTTCTTCCTATAAACCCAGACAGAAGAATTCTCAGAGACTTCTTTGTGATGTGTGAATTCAACTCACAGTGTGGATCCTTCCTTTTGATAGAGCAGTTTTGAAACACTGTTTTTGTAGTATTTCCAAGCGGATATTTGGAACGCCTTGAAGCGTATGGTAGAAAAGGAAATATCTTCCCATAAAACCTAGACAGAACCCATCTCAGAAACGACTTTGTGATGTCTGCATTCAACTCACAGAGTTGAACATTTCTCTTGATAGAGCAGTTTTGAAACCCTCTTTCTGAAGGATCTGCAAGTGGATATTTGGAACTCCTTTGGGTCTTCGTTGGAAACGGGATTTCTTCGTATAAATCCAGACAGAAGAATTCTCCGAAACTTCTTTGGTTGTGTGCATTCAAGTCACAGAGTGGAACCTTCCTTTGGATAGAGCAGTTTGAAACGCTGTGGTTGTAGTATTTCCAAGCGGATATTAGAGCGCCTTGAAGCCTATGGTAGAAAAGGAAATATCTTCCCATAAAACCTAGACGGAACCCATCTCAGAAACGACTTTGTGATGTCTGCATTCAACTCACAGAGTTGAACATTTCTCTTGATAGAGCAGTTTTGAAACACTCTTTCTGTAGAATCTGCAAGTGGATAATTGGACCGCTTTGAGGCCTTCGTTGGAAACGGGATTTCTTCATGTTACTCTAGACAGAAGAATTCTCAAACACTGCTATGTGATGTTTGCATTCAAGTCACAGAGTGCAACATTCCTCTTGATAGAGCAGTTGGGAAACACTCCTTTTGTAGAATTTGCAATGGGATATTTGGACTTCTTTGAGGCCTTCGTTGGAAACGGGATTTCTTCGTATGAATCTAGACAGAAGAATTCTCAGAAACTTCCTTGTGATGTGTGTATTCAACTCAGCGAGCGGCACCTTCCTTTGGATACTGCAGTTTTGAAACACTGTTTTTGTAGTATTTCCAAGCGGATATTTAGAGCGCCTTGAAGCCTATGCTAGAAATGGAAATATCTCCCCATAAAACCAAGACAGAAGCAATCTCAGAAACTAATGTGTGATGGCTGCATTCCACACACACGGTGGACCATTTCTCTTGATAGAGCAGTTTTGAAACACTCTTTCTGTAGAATCTGCAAGTGGATAATTGGACCTCCTAGAGGCCTTCGTTGGAAACGGGATTTCTTCATCTAAACCTACAGAGAAGAATTCTCAGTAACTTCTTCGGATGTGTGCATTCGACTCACAGAGTGGAACATTCCCTTCGATAGAGCAGTTTTGAGACACCGTTTTGGTAGAATTCCCAAGTGGATATTTAGAGCACTTTGAAGTCTCTGCTAGAAAAGGAAACATCTTCATGTAAAAAGTAGATAGAATCGTTCTCAGAAAGTGCTTAGTGACGTGTGCGTTTAACTCACAGAGTGTAACGTTTCTTTTGATAGAGCGTTTCTGAAACACCCTTCTTGTAGTAGCTGCAAGTGGATATTTGGAACTATTGGAGGCCTTCTTTGGAAACGGGATTTCTTCCTGTAACTCTAGATTGAAGAATTTTCAGAAACTCCTTTGTGATGTGTGCATTCAATTCAAAGAGTGAAACCTCCCTTTTCACAGAGCAGTTTTGAAACACTGTTTTTGTAGGACTTCCAAGGGGATATTTATAGCGCATTGATCCTATGGCAGAAAAAGAAACATCTTCCTATAAAAACTAGACAGAATAATTCTCAGAATCTGCTTTGCGATGTGTGCGTTCAACCCACAGAGTAAAACTTTTCTTTTGATAGAGCAGTTTTGAAACACTCTTTTTGTAGTATTTGCATGTGTATATTTAGAGCGCATTGAAGCCCACAGTAGAAAAGGAAATAACTTCACCTAAAACCTAGACAGAAGCAATCTCAGAAACTACTTTGTGATGTGTACATTCAACTCACAGAGTGGAACTTTCCTCTTTATAGAGCAGTGTTGAAACACTCTTTTTGTAGAAACTGCAAGTGGATATTTGGACCTCTTTGAGGCCTTCGTTGGAAACGGGATTTCTTCCTATAACCCTAGACAGAAGAATTTTCAGAAACCTCATTGTGATGTGTGCGTTCATCTCACAGAGTGGAGTCTTCCGTTTGATAGAGAAGCTTTGAAACCCTGTTCTTGTAGGATTTCCAAGTGGATATTTAGACCACTTTGAAGCCTATGATAGAAAAGGAAACATCTTCATGGAAAACATAGATAGAATCATTCTCAGTAAACAACTTTGTGATGTGTGCGTTGAACTCACCGTCTTTAACCTTTCTTTTTTTAGAGAAGTTTTGAAACACTCTCTTTGTAAAGTCTACAAGTGGATATTTTGAGCCCTTGGAGGCATTCTTTGGAAAAGGGAATGTCTTCACATAAAAGGCAGACAGAAGTGTTCTCAGAAACTGCTTTGTGATGTCTGTGTTCAACTCACAGAGTTTAACATTTCCTTTGAGAGAGCGGTTTAGTAACACTCTCTTTGTAGAATTTGGAAGTGTATACTAAGAGCGCTTTGAGGCCTATGGTAGAAAAGGAAATATCTTTCCATAAAAGCTAGACAGAAGCAATCTCAGAAACTCCTTTGTGATGTCTGCATTCAACTCACCGAGTGGAACATTCCTCTTGATAGAGCAGTTTGGAAACACTCTTTTTGTAGGATCAGCTTGTTTGTATTTGGACCTCCTTGAGGCCTTCGTTGGAAACGGGTTTTCATCTTATAAACCCAGACAGAAGAATTCTCAGAGTCTTCTTTGTGATGTGTGCTTTCAACTCACCGAGATAAAGATTTCTCTTGATAGAGCAATTTGGAAACACTCTTTTTGTAGAATTTGCAAGGGTACATTGAGAGCGCTTTCAGGCCTATGGTAGAAAAGGGAATATCTTTCCATCAAAGGTAGACAGAAGCAATCTCAGAAACTACTTTGTGATGTGTGCATTCAACTCACCGAGTGCAACATTCCTCTTGACCGAGCAGTTTGGAAACATTGTTTCTGTAGAATCTGCAAGTGGATATTTGGACCTCTTTGAGGCCTTCGTTGGAAACGGGATTTCTTCCTATAAACCCAGACAGAAGAATTCTCAGAGATTTCTTTGTGATGTGTGAATTCAACTCACAGTGTGCATCCTTCCTTTTGATAGAGCAGTTTTGAAACACCGTTTTTGTAGTATTTCCAAGCGGATATTTGGAACGCCTTGAAGCGTATGGTAGAAAAGGAAATATCTTCCCATAAAACCTAGACAGAACCAATCTCAGAAACGACTTTGTGATGTCTGCATTCAACTCACAGAGTTGAACATTTCTCTTGATAGAGCAGTTTTGAAACCCTCTTTCTGAAGGATCTGCAAGTGGATATTTGGAACTCCTTTGGGTCTTCGTTGGAAACGGGATTTCTTCGTATAAATCCAGACAGAAGAATTCTCCGAAACTTCTTTGGTTGTGTGCATTCAAGTCACAGAGTGGAACCTTCCTTTGGATAGAGCAGTTTGAAACGCTGTGGTTGTAGTATTTCCAAGCGGATATTAGAGCGCCTTGAAGCCTATGGTAGAAAAGGAAATATCTTCCCATAAAACCTAGACGGAAGCAATCTCAGAAACTACTGTGTGATGGCTGCATTCCACACACACGGTGGAACATTTCTCTTGATAGAGCAGTTTTGAAACACTCTTTCTGTAGAATCTGCAAGTGGATAATTGGACCGCCTTGAGGCCTTCGTTGGAAACGGGATTTCTTCATGTTACTCTAGACAGAAGAATTCTCAAACACTGCTATGTGATGTTTGCATTCAAGTCACAGAGTGCAACATTCCTCTTGATAGAGCAGTTGGGAAACACTCCTTTTGTAGAATTTCAATGGGATATTTGGACTTCTTTGAGGCCTTCGTTGGAAATGGGATTTCTTCGTATGAATCTAGACAGAAGAATTCTCAGAAACTTTCCTTGTGATGTGTGCATTCAACTCAGCGAGTGGCACCTTCCTTTGGATACAGCAGTTTTGAAACACTGTTTTTGTAGTATTTCCAAGCGGATATTTAGAGCGCCTTGAAGCCTATGCTAGAAATGGAAATATCTCCCCATAAAACCAAGACAGAAGCAATCTCAGAAACTAATGTGTGATGGCTGCATTCCACACACACGGTGGACCATTTCTCTTGATAGAGCAGTTTTGAAACACTCTTTCTGTAGAATCTGCAAGTGGATAATTGGACCTCCTAGAGGCCTTCGTTGGAAACGGGATTTCTTCATCTAAACCTACAGAGAAGAATTCTCAGTAACTTCTTCGGATGTGTGCATTCGACTCACAGAATGGAACATTCCCTTTGGTAGAGCAGTTTTGAGACACCGTTTTTGTAGAATTCCCAAGTGGATATTTAGAGCACTTTGAAGTCTCTGCTAGAAACGGAAACATCTTCATGTAAAAAGTAGATAGAATCGTTCTCAGAAAGTGCTTAGTGACGTGTGCGTTCAACTCACAGAGTTTAACGTTTCTTTTGATAGAGCGTTTGTGAAACACCCTTCTTGTAGTAGCTGCAAGTGGATATTTGGACCTATTTGAGGCCTTCTTTGGAAACGGGATTTCTTCATGTAACTCTAGATTGAAGAATTTTCAGAAACTCCTTTGTGATGTGTGCATTCAATTCAAAGAGTGAAACCTCCCTTTTCACAGAGCAGTTTTGAAACACTGTTTTTGTAGGATTTCCAAGGGGATATTTATAGCGCATTGAGCCTATGGCAGAAAAAGAAACATCTTCCTATAAAAACTAGACAGAATAATTCTCAGAATCTGCTTTGCGATGTGTGCGTTCAACTCACAGAGTAAAACTTTTCTTTTGATAGAGCAGTTTTGAAACACTCTTTTTGTAGTATTTGCATGTGTATATTTAGAGCGCATTGAAGCCCACAGTAGAAAAGGAAATAACTTCACCTAAAACCTAGACAGAAGCAATCTCAGAAACTACTTTGTGATGTGTACATTCAACTCACAGAGTGGAACTTTTCTCTTTATAGAGCAGTGTTGAAACACTCTTTTTGTAGAAACTGCAAGTGGATATTTGGACCTCTTTGAGGCCTTCGTTGGAAACGGGATTTCTTCCTATAACCCTAGACAGAAGAATTTTCAGAAACCTCATTGTGATGTGTGCGTTCATCTCACAGAGTGGAGTCTTCCGTTTGATAGAGAAGTTTTGAAACCCTGTTCTTGTAGGATTTCCAAGTGGATATTTAGACCACTTTGAAGCCTATGATAGAAAAGGAAACATCTTCATGGAAAACATAGATAGAATCATTCTCAGAAACAACTTTGTGATGTGTGCGTTGAACTCACCGTCTTTAACCTTTCTTTTGGTAGAGAAGTTTTGAAACACTCTCTTTGTAAAGTCTACAAGTGGATATTTTGAGCCCTTGGAGGCATTCTTTGGAAAAGGGAATGTCTTCACATAAAAGGCAGACAGAAGTGTTCTCAGAAACTGCTTTGTGATGTCTGTGTTCAACTCACAGAGTTTAACATTTCCTTTGAGAGAGCGGTTTAGTAACACTCTCTTTGTAGAATTTGGAAGTGTATACTAAGAGCGCTTTGAGGCCTATGGTAGAAAAGGAAATATCTTTCCATAAAAGCTAGACAGAAGCAATCTCAGAAACTCCTTTGTGATGTCTGCATTCAACTCACCGAGTGGAACATTCCTCTTGATAGAGCAATTTGGTAACACTCTTTCTGTAGAATCAGCTTGTTTGTATTTGGACCTCCTTGAGGCCTTCGTTGGAAACGGGTTTTCATCTTATAAACCCAGACAGAAGAATTCTCAGAGTCTTCTTTGTGATGTGTGCTTTCAACTCACCGAGATAAAGATTTCTCTTGATAGAGCAATTTGGAAACACTCTTTTTGTAGAATTTGCAAGGGTACATTGAGAGCGCTTTCAGGCCTATGGTAGAAAAGGGAATATCTTTCCATAAAAGGTAGACAGAAGCAATCTCAGAAACTACTTTGTGATGTGTGCATTCAACTCACCGAGTGCAACATTCCTCTTGATAGAGCAGTTTGGAAACATTGTTTCTGTAGAATCTGCAAGTGGATATATGGACCGCTTTGAGGCCTTCGTTGGAAACGGGATTTCTTCCTATAAACCCAGACAGAAGAATTCTCAGAGATTTCTTTGTGATGTGTGAATTCAACTCACAGTGTGGATCCTTCCTTTTGATAGAGCAGTTTTGAAACACTGTTTTTGTAGTATTTCCAAGCGGATATTTGGAACGCCTTGAAGCGTATGGTAGAAAAGGAAATATCTTCCCATAAAACCTAGACAGAACCCATCTCAGAAACGAC
Source organism: Homo sapiens (assembly GCF_000001405.40). Taxonomy (NCBI): domain Eukaryota; kingdom Metazoa; phylum Chordata; class Mammalia; order Primates; family Hominidae; genus Homo; species Homo sapiens. Next base: position 59,536,640 of record NC_000006.12, read on the forward strand.
TTTGTGATGTCTGCATTCAACTCACAGAGTTGAACATTTCTCTTGATAGAGCAGTTTTGAAACCCTCTTTCTGAAGGATCTGCAAGTGGATATTTGGAACTCCTTTGGGTCTTCGTTGGAAACGGGATTTCTTCGTATAAATCCAGACAGAAGAATTCTCCGAAACTTCTTTGGTTGTGTGCATTCAAGTCACAGAGTGGAACCTTCCTTTGGATAGAGCAGTTTGAAACGCTGTGGTTGTAGTATTTCCAAGCGGATATAAGAGCGCCTTGAGGCCTATGGTAGAAAAGGAAATATCTTCCCATAAAACCTAGACGGAAGCAATCTCAGAAACTACTGTGTGATGGCTGCATTCCACACACACGGTGGAACATTTCTCTTGATAGAGCAGTTTTGAAACACTCTTTCTGTAGAATCTGCAAGTGGATAATTGGACCGCCTTGAGGCCTTCGTTGGAAACGGGATTTCTTCATGTTACTCTAGACAGAAGAATTCTCAAACACTACTATGTGATGTTTGCATTCAAGTCACAGAGTGCCACATTCCTCTTGATAGAGCAGTTGGGAAACACTCCTTTTGTAGAATCTGCAATGGGATATTTGGACTTCTTTGAGGCCTTCGTTGGAAACGGGATTTCTTCGTATGAATCTAGACAGAAGAATTCTCAGAAACTTCCTTGTGATGTGTGCATTCAACTCAGCGAGTGGCACCTTCCTGTGGATACAGCAGTTTTGAAACACTGTTTTTGTAGTATTTCCAAGCGGATATTTAGAGCGCCTTGAAGCCTATGCTAGAAATGGAAATATCTCCCCATAAAACCAAGACAGAAGCCATCTCAGAAACTAATGTGTGATGGCTGCATTCCACACACACGGTGGCCCATTTCTCTTGATAGAGCAGTTTTGAAACACTCTTTCTGTAGAATCTGCAAGTGGATAATTGGACCTCCTACAGGCCTTCATTGGAAACGGGATTTCTTCATCTAAACCTACAGAGAAGAATTCTCAGTAACTTCTTCGGATGTGTGCATTCGACTCACAGAATGGAACATTCCGTTTGATAGAGCAGTTTTGAGACACCGTTTTTGTAGAATTCCCAAGTGGATATTGAGAGCACTTTGAAGTCTCTGCTAGAAAAGGAAACATCTTCATGTAAAAAGTAGATAGAATCGTTCTCAGAAAGTGCTTAGTGACGTGTGCGTTCAACTCACAGAGTGTAACGTTTCTTTTGATAGAGCGTTTCTGAAACACCCTTCTTGTAGTAGCTGCAAGTGGATATTTGGACCTATTGGAGGCCTTCTTTGGAAACGGGATTTCTTCATGTAACTCTAGATTGAAGAATTTTCAGAAACTCCTTTGTGATGTGTGCATTCAATTCAAAGAGTGAAACCTCCCTTTTCACAGAGCAGTTTTGAAACACTGTTTTTGTAGGATTTCCAAGGGGATATTTATAGCGCATTGAGCCTATGGCAGAAAAAGAAATATCTTCCTATAAAAACTAGACAGAATAATTCTCAGAATCTGCTTTGCGATGTGTGCGTTCAACCCACAGAGTAAAACTTTTCTTTTGATAGAGCAGTTTTGAAACACTCTTTTTGTAGTATTTGCATGTGTATATTTAGAGCGCATTGAAGCCCACAGTAGAAAAGGAAATAACTTCACCTAAAACCTAGACAGAAGCAATCTCAGAAACTACTTTGTGATGTGTACATTCAACTCACAGAGTGGAACTTTCCTCTTTATAGAGCAGTGTTGAAACACTCTTTTTGTGGAAACTGCAAGTGGATATTTGGACCTCTTTGAGGCCTTCGTTGGAAACGGGATTTCTTCCTATAACCCTAGACAGAAGAATTTTCAGAAACCTCATTGTGATGTGTGCGTTCATCTCACAGAGTGGAGTCTTCCGTTTGATAGAGAAGTTTTGAAACCCTGTTCTTGTAGGATTTCCAAGTGGATATTTAGACCACTTTGAAGCCTATGATAGAAAAGGAAACATCTTCATGGAAAACATAGATAGAATCATTCTCAGAAACAACTTTGTGATGTGTGCGTTGAACTCACCGTATTTAACCTTTCTTTTGGTAGAGAAGTTTTGAAACACTCTCTTTGTAAAGTCTACAAGTGGATATTTTGAGCCCTTGGAGGCATTCTTTGGAAAAGGGAATGTCTTCACATAAAAGGCAGACAGAAGTGTTCTCAGAAACTGCTTTGTGATGTCTGTGTTCAACTCACAGAGTTTAACATTTCCTTTGAGAGAGCGGTTTAGTAACACTCTCTTTGTAGAATTTGGAAGTGTATACTAAGAGCGCTTTGAGGCCTATGGTAGAAAAGGAATTATCTTTCCATAAAAGCTAGACAGAAGCAATCTCAGAAACTCCTTTGTGATGTCTGCATTCAACTCACCGAGTGGAACATTCCTCTTGATAGAGCAGTTTGGAAACACTCTTTCTGTAGAATCAGCTTGTTTGTATTTGGACCTCCTTGAGGCCTTCGTTGGAAACGGGTTTTCATCTTATAAACCCAGACAGAAGAATTCTCAGAGTCTTCTTTGTGATGTGTGCTTTCAACTCACCGAGATAAAGATTTCTCTTGATAGAGCAATTTGGAAACACTCTTTTTGTAGAATTTGCAAGGGTACATTGAGAGCGCTTTCAGGTCTATGGTAGAAAAGGGAATATCTTTCCATCAAAGGTAGACAGAAGCAATCTCAGAAACTACTTTGTGATGTGTGCATTCAACTCACCTAGTGCAACGTTCCTCTTGATAGAGCAGTTTGGAAACATTGTTTCTGTAGAATCTGCAAGTGGATATTTGTACCTCTTTGAGGCCTTCGTTGGAAACGGGATTTCTTCCTATAAACCCAGACAGAAGAATTCTCAGAGACTTCTTTGTGATGTGTGAATTCAACTCACAGTGTGGATCCTTCCTTTTGATAGAGCAGTTTCGAAACACTGTTTTTGTAGTATTTCCAAGCGGATATTTGGAACGCCTTGAAGCGTATGGTAGAAAAGGAAATATCTTCCCATAAAACCTAGACAGAACCAATCTCAGAAACGACTTTGTGATGTCTGCATTCAACTCACAGAGTTGAACAATGCTCTTGATAGAGCAGTTTTGAAACCCTCTTTCTGAAGGATCTGCAAGTGGATATTTGGAACTCCTTTGGGTCTTCGTTGGAAACGGGATTTCTTCGTATAAATCTAGACAGAAGAATTCTCCGAAACTTCTTTGGTTGTGTGCATTCAAGTCACAGAGTGGAACCTTCCTTTGGATAGAGCAGTTTGAAACGCTGTGGTTGTAGTATTTCCAAGCGGATATTAGAGCGCCTTGAGGCCTATGGTAGAAAAGGAAATATCTTCCCATAAAACCTAGACGGAAGCAATCTCAGAAACTACTGTGTGATGGCTGCATTCCACACACACGGTGGAACATTTCTCTTGATAGAGCAGTTTTGAAACACTCTTTCTGTAGAATCTGCAAGTGGATAATTGGACCGCCTTGAGGCCTTCGTTGGAAACGGGATTTCTTCATGTTACTCTAGACAGAAGAATTCTCAATCACTACTATGTGATGTTTGCATTCAAGTCACAGAGTGCCACATTCCTCTTGATAGAGCAGTTGGGAACCACTACTTTTGTAGAATTTGCAATGGGATATTTGGACTTCTTTGAGGCCTTCGTTGGAAACGGGATTTCTTCATATGAATCTAGACAGAAGAATTCTCAGAAACTTCCTTGTGATGTGTGCATTCAACTCAGCGAGTGGCACCTTCCTTTGGATACAGCAGTTTTGAAACACTGTTTTTGTAGTATTTCCAAGCGGATATTTAGAGCGCCTTGAAGCCTATGCTAGAAATGGAAATATCTCCCCATAAAACCAAGACAGAAGCAATCTCAGAAACTAATGTGTGATGGCTGCATTCCACACACACGGTGGACCATTTCTCTTGATAGAGCAGTTTTGAAACACTCTTTCTGTAGAATCTGCAAGTGGATAATTGGACCTCCTAGAGGCCTTCGTTGGAAACGGGATTTCTTCATCTAAACCTACAGAGAAGAATTCTCAGTAACTTCTTCGGATGTGTGCATTCGACTCACAGAATGGAACATTCCCTTTGATAGAGCAGTTTTGAGACACCGTTTTTGTAGAATTCCCAAGTGGATATTTAGAGCACTTTGAAGTCTCTGCTAGAAAAGGAAACATCTTCATGTAAAAAGTAGATAGAATCGTTCTCAGAAAGTGCTTAGTGACGTGTGTGTTCAACTCACAGAGTTTAACGGTTTCTTTTGATAGAGCGTTTCTGAAACACCCTTCTTGTAGTAGCTGCAAGTGGATATTTGGACCTATTTGAGGCCTTCTTTGGAAACGGGATTTCTTCATGTAACTCTAGTTTGAAGAATTTTCAGAAACTCCTTTGTGATGTGTGCATTCAATTCAAAGAGTGAAACGTCCCTTTTCACAGAGCAGTTTTGAAACACTGTTTTTGTAGGATTTCCAAGGGGATATTTATAGCGCATTGATCCTATGGCAGAAAAAGAAACATCTTCCTATAAAAACTAGACAGAATAATTCTCAGAATCTGCTTTGCGATGTGTGCGTTCAACCCACAGAGTAAAAGTTTTCTTTTGATAGAGCAGTTTTGAAACACTCTTTTTGTAGTATTTGCATGTGTATATTTAGAGCGCATTGAAGCTCACAGTAGAAAAGGAAATAACTTCACCTAAAACCTAGACAGAAGCAATCTCAGAAACTACTTTGTGATGTGTACATTCAACTCACAGAGTGGAACTTTTCTCTTTATAGAGCAGTGTTGAAACACTCTTTTTGTAGAAACTGCAAGTGGATATTTGGACCTCTTTGAGGCCTTCGTTGGAAACGGGATTTCTTCCTATAACCCTAGACAGAAGAATTTTCAGAAACCTCATTGTGATGTGTGCGTTCATCTCACAGAGTGGAGTCTTCCGTTTGATAGAGAAGTTTTGAAACCCTGTTCTTGTAGGATTTCCAAGTGGATATTTAGACCACTTTGAAGCCTATGATAGAAAAGGAAACATCTTCATGGAAAACATAGATAGAAGAATCATTCTCAGAAACAACTTTGTGATGTGTGCGTTGAACTCACCGTCTTTAACCTTTCTTTTGATAGAGAAGTTTTGAAACACTCTCTTTGTAAAGTCTACAAGTGGATATTTTGGGCCCTTGGAGGCATTCTTTGGAAAAGGGAATGTCTTCACATAAAAGGCAGACAGAAGTGTTCTCAGAAACTGCTTTGTGATGTCTGTGTTCAACTCACAGAGTTTAACATTTCCTTTGATAGAGCAGTTTAGTAACACTCTCTTTGTAGAATTTGGAAGTGTATACTAAGAGCGCTTTGAGGCCTATGGTAGAAAAGGAAATATCTTTCCATAAAAGCTAGACAGAAGCAATCTCAGAAACTCCTTTGTGATGTCTGCATTCAACTCACCGAGTGGAACATTCCTCTTGATAGAGCAGTTTGGAAACGCTCTTTCTGTAGAATCAGCTTGTTTGTAGTTGGACCTCCTTGAGGCCTTCGTTGGAAACGGGTTTTCATCTTATAAACCCAGACAGAAGAATTCTCAGAGTCTTCTTTGTGATGTGTGCTTTCAACTCACCGAGATAAAGATTTCTCTTGATAGAGCAATTTGGAAACACTCTTTTTGTAGAATTTGCAAGGGTACATTGAGAGCGCTTTCAGGCCTATGGTAGAAAAGGGAATATCTTTCCATAAAAGGTAGACAGAAGCAATCTCAGAAACTATTTTGTGATGTGTGCATTCAACTCACCGAGTGCAACATTCCTCTTGATAGAGCAGTTTGGAAACATTGTTTCTGTAGAATCTGCAAGTGGATATATGGACCGCTTTGAGGCCTTCGTTGGAAACGGGATTTCTTCCTATAAACCCAGACAGAAGAATTCTCAGAGATTTCTTTGTGATGTGTGAATTCAACTCACAGTGTGGATCCTTCCTTTTGATAGAGCAGTTTTGAAACACTGTTTTTGTAGTATTTCCAAGCGGATATTTGGAACGCCTTGAAGCCGTATGGTAGAAAAGGAAATATCTTCCCATAAAACCTAGACAGAACCCATCTCAGAAACGACTTTGTGATGTCTGCATTCAACTCACAGAGTTGAACATTTCTCTTGATAGAGCAGTTTTGAAACCCTCTTTCTGAAGGATCTGCAAGTGGATATTTGGAACTCCTTTGGGTCTTCGTTGGAAACGGGATTTCTTCGTATAAATCCAGACAGAAGAATTCTCCGAAACTTCTTTGGTTGTGTGCATTCAAGTCACAGAGTGGAACCTTCCTTTGGATAGAGCAGTTTGAAACGCTGTGGTTGTAGTATTTCCAAGCGGATATTAGAGCGCGTTGAAGCCTATGGTAGAAAAGGAAATATCTTCCCATAAAACCTAGACGGAAGCAATCTCAGAAACTACTTTGTGATGGCTGCATTCCACACACACGGTGGAACATTTCTCTTGATAGAGCAGTTTTGAAACACTCTTTCTGTAGAATCTGCAAGTGGATAATTGGACCGCCTTGAGGCCTTCGTTGGAAACGGGATTTCTTCATGTTACTCTAGACAGAAGAATTCTCAAACACTGCTATGTGATGTTTGCATTCAAGTCACAGAGTCCAACATTCCTCTTGATAGAGCAGTTGGGAAACACTCCTTTTGTAGAATTTGCAATGGGATATTTGGACTTCTTTGAGGCCTTCGTTGGAAACGGGATTTCTTCGTATGAATCTAGACAGAAGAATTCTCAGAAACTTCCTTGTGATGTGTGCATTCAACTCAGCGAGTGGCACCTTCCTTTGGATACAGCAGTTTTGAAACACTGTTTTTGTACTATTTCCAAGCAGATATTTAGAGCGCCTTGAAGCCTATGCTAGAAATGGAAATATCTCCCCATAAAACCAAGACAGAAGCAATCTCAGAAACTAATGTGTGATGGCTGCATTCCACACACACGGTGGACCATTTCTCTTGATAGAGCAGTTTTGAAACACTCTTTCTGTAGAATCTGCAAGTGGATAATTGGACCTCCTAGAGGCCTTCGTTGGAAACGGGATTTCTTCATCTAAACCTACAGAGAAGAATTCTCAGTAACTTCTTCGGATGTGTGCATTCGACTCACAGAATGGAACATTCCCTTTGGTAGAGCAGTTTTGAGACACCGTTTTTGTAGAATTCCCAAGTGGATATTTAGAGCACTTTGAAGTCTCTGCTAGAAAAGGAAACATCTTCATGTAAAAAGTAGATAGAATCGTTCTCAGAAAGTGCTTAGTGACGTGTGCGTTCAACTCACAGAGTTTAACGTTTCTTTTGATAGAGCGTTTCTGAAACACCCTTCTTGTAGTAGCTGCAAGTGGATATTTGGACCTATTTGAGGCCTTCTTTGGAAACGGGATTTCTTCATGTAACTCTAGATTGAAGAATTTTCAGAAACTCCTTTGTGAAGTGTGCATTCAATTCAAAGAGTGAAACCTCCCTTTTCACAGAGCAGTTTTGAAACACTGTTTTTGTAGGATTTCCAAGGGGATATTTATAGCGCATTGAGCCTATGGCAGAAAAAGAAACATCTTCCTATAAAAACTAGACAGAATAATTCTCAGAATCTGCTTTGCGATGTGTGCGTTCAACTCACAGAGTAAAACTTTTCTTTTGATAGAGCAGTTTTGAAACACTCTTTTTGTAGTATTTGCATGTGTATATTTAGAGCGCATTGAAGCCCACAGTAGAAAAGGAAATAACTTCACCTAAAACCTAGACAGAAGCAATCTCAGAAACTACTTTGTGATGTGTACATTCAACTCACAGAGTGGAACTTTCCTCTTTATAGAGCACTGTTGAAACACTCTTTTTGTAGAAACTGCAAGTGGATATTTGGACCTCTTTGAGGCCTTCGTTGGAAACGGGATTTCTTCCTATAACCCTAGACAGAAGAATTTTCAGAAACCTCATTGTGATATGTGCGTTCATCTCACAGAGTGGAGTCTTCTGTTTGATAGAGAAGTTTTGAAACCCTGTTCTTGTAGGATTTCCAAGTGGATATTTAGACCACTTTGAAGCCTATGATAGAAAAGGAAACATCTTCATGGAAAACATAGATAGAATCATTCTCAGAAACAACTTTGTGATGTGTGCGTTGAACTCACCGTCTTTAACCTTTCTTTTGGTAGAGAAGTTTTGAAACACTCTCTTTGTAAAGTCTACAAGTGGATATTTTGAGCCCTTGGAGGCATTCTTTGGAAAAGGGAATGTCTTCACATAAAAGGCAGACAGAAGTGTTCTCAGAAACTGCTTTGTGATGTCTGTGTTCAACTCACAGAGTTTAACATTTCCTTTGAGAGAGCGGTTTAGTAACACTCTCTTTGTAGAATTTGGAAGTGTATACTAAGAGCCGCTTTGAGGCCTATGGTAGAAAAGGAAATATCTTTCCATAAAAGCTAGACAGAAGCAATCTCAGAAACTCCTTTGTGATGTCTGCATTCAACTCACCGAGTGGAACATTCCTCTTGATAGAGCAGTTTGGAAACACTCTTTCTGTAGAATCAGCTTGTTTGTATTTGGACCTCCTTGAGGCCTTCGTTGGAAACGGGTTTTCATCTTATAAACCCAGACAGAAGAATTCTCAGAGTCTTCTTTGTGATGTGTGCTTTCAACTCACCGAGATAAAGATTTCTCTTGATAGAGCAATTTGGAAACACTCTTTTTGTAGAATTTGCAAGGGTACATTGAGAGCGCTTTCAGGCCTATGGTAGAAAAGGGAATATCTTTCCATCAAAGGTAGACAGAAGCAATCTCAGAAACTACTTTGTGATGTGTGCATTCAACTCACCGAGTGCAACATTCCTCTTGATAGAGCAGTTTGGAAACATTGTTTCTGTAGAATCTGCAAGTGGATATATGGACCGCTTTGAGGCCTTCGTTGGAAACGGGATTTCTTCCTATAAACCCAGACAGAAGAATTCTCAGAGACTTCTTTGTGATGTGTGAATTCAACTCACAGTGTGGATCCTTCCTTTTGATAGAGCAGTTTTGAAACACTGTTTTTGTAGTATTTCCAAGCGGATATTTGGAACGCCTTGAAGCGTATGGTAGAAAAGGAAATATCTTCCCATAAAACCTAGACAGAACCAATCTCAGAAACGACTTTGTGATGTCTGCATTCAACTCACAGAGTTGAACATTTCTCTTGATAGAGCAGTTTTGAAACCCTCTTTCTGAAGGATCTGCAAGTGGATATTTGGAACTCCTTTGGGTCTTCGTTGGAAACGGGATTTCTTCGTATAAATCTAGACAGAAGAATTCTCCGAAACTTCTTTGGTTGTGTGCATTCAACTCACAGAGTGGAACCTTCCTTTGGATAGAGCAGTTTGAAACGCTGTGGTTGTAGTATTTCCAAGCGGATATTAGAGCGCGTTGAAGCCTATGGTAGAAAAGGAAATATCTTCCCATAAAACCTAGACGGAAGCAATCTCAGAAACTACTGTGTGATGGCTGCATTCCACACACACGGTGGAACATTTCTCTTGATAGAGCAGTTTTGAAACACTCTTTCTGTAGAATCTGCAAGTGGATAATTGGACCGCCTTGAGGCCTTCGTTGGAAACGGGATTTCTTCATGTTACTCTAGACAGAAGAATTCTCAAACACTGCTATGTGATGTTTGCATTCAAGTCACAGAGTGCAACATTCCTCTTGATAGAGCAGTTGGGAAACACTCCTTTTGTAGAATTTGCAATGGGATATTTGGACTTCTTTGAGGCCTTCGTTGGAAACGGGATTTCTTCGTATGAATCTAGACAGAAGAATTCTCAGAAACTTCCTTGTGATGTGTGCATTCAACTCAGCGAGTGGCACCTTCCTTTGGATACAGCAGTTTTGAAACACTGTTTTTGTAGTATTTCCAAGCGGATATTTAGAGCGCCTTGAAGCCTATGCTAGAAATGGAAATATCTCCCCATAAAACCAAGACAGAAGCAATCTCAGAAACTAATGTGTGATGGCTGCATTCCACACACACGGTGGACCATTTCTCTTGATAGAGCAGTTTTGAAACACTCTTTCTGTAGAATCTGCAAGTGGATAATTGGACCTCCTAGAGGCCTTCGTTGGAAACGGGATTTCTTCATCTAAACCTACAGAGAAGAATTCTCAGTAACTTCTTCGGATGTGTGCATTCGACTCACAGAATGGAACATTCCCTTTGATAGAGCAGTTTTGAGACACCGTTTTTGTAGAATTCCCAAGTGGATATTTAGAGCACTTTGAAGTCTCTGCTAGAAAAGGAAACATCTTCATGTAAAAAGTAGATAGAATCGTTCTCAGAAAGTGCTTAGTGACGTGTGCGTTCAACTCACAGAGTTTAACGTTTCTTTTGATAGAGCATTTCTGAAACACCCTTCTTGTAGTAGCTGCAAGTGGATATTTGGACCTATTTGAGGCCTTCTTTGGAAACGGGATTTCTTCATGTAACTCTAGATTGAAGAATTTTCAGAAACTCCTTTGTGATGTGTGCATTCAATTCAAAGAGTGAAACCTCCCTTTTCACAGAGCAGTTTTGAAACACTGTTTTTGTAGGATTTCCAAGGGGATATTTATAGCGCATTGAGCCTATGGCAGAAAAAGAAACATCTTCCTATAAAAACTAGACAGAATAATTCTCAGAATCTGCTTTGCGATGTGTGCGTTCAACCCACAGAGTAAAACTTTTCTTTTGATAGAGCAGTTTTGAAACACTCTTTTCGTAGTATTTGCATGTGTATATTTAGAGCGCATTGAAGCCCACAGTAGAAAAGGAAATAACTTCACCTAAAACCTAGACAGAAGCAATCTCAGAAACTACTTTGTGATGTGTACATTCAACTCACAGAGTGGAACTTTCCTCTTTATAGAGCAGTGTTGAAACACTCTTTTTGTAGAAACTGCAAGTGGATATTTGGACCTCTTTGAGGCCTTCGTTGGAAACGGGATTTCTTCCTATAACCCTAGACAGAAGAATTTTCAGAAACCTCATTGTGATGTGTGCGTTCATCTCACAGAGTGGAGTCTTCCGTTTGATAGAGAAGTTTTGAAACCCTGTTCTTGTAGGATTTCCAAGTGGATATTTAGACCACTTTGAAGCCTATGATAGAAAAGGAAACATCTTCATGGAAAACATAGATAGAATCATTCTCAGAAACAACTTTGTGATGTGTGCGTTGAACTCACCGTCTTTAACCTTTCTTTTGGTAGAGAAGTTTTGAAACACTCTCTTTGTAAAGTCTACAAGTGGATATTTTGAGCCCTTGGAGGCATTCTTTGGAAAAGGGAATGTCTTCACATAAAAGGCAGACAGAAGTGTTCTCAGAAACTGCTTTGTGATGTCTGTGTTCAACTCACAGAGTTTAACATTTCCTTTGAGAGAGCGGTTTAGTAACACTCTCTTTGTAGAATTTGGAAGTGTATACTAAGAGCGCTTTGAGGCCTATGGTAGAAAAGGAAATATCTTTCCATAAAAGCTAGACAGAAGCAATCTCAGAAACTCCTTTGTGATGTCTGCATTCAACTCACCGAGTGGAACATTCCTCTTGATAGAGCAGTTTGGAAACACTCTTTCTGTAGAATCAGCTTGTTTGTATTTGGACCTCCTTGAGGCCTTCGTTGGAAACGGGTTTTCATCTTATAAATCCAGACAGAAGAATTCTCAGAGTCTTCTTTGTGATGTGTGCTTTCAACTCACCGAGATAAAGATTTCTCTTGATAGAGCAATTTGGAAACACTTTTTTTGTAGAATTTGCAAGGGTACATTGAGAGCGCTTTCAGGCCTATGGTAGAAAAGGGAATATCTTTCCATAAAAGGTAGACAGAAGCAATCTCAGAAACTACTTTGTGATGTGTGCATTCAACTCACCGAGTGCAACATTCCTCTTGTCCGAGCAGTTTGGAAACATTGTTTCTGTAGAATCTGCAAGTGGATATTTGGACCTCTTTGAGGCCTTCGTTGGAAACGGGATTTCTTCCTATAAACCCAGACAGAAGAATTCTCAGAGACTTCTTTGTGATGTGTGAATTCAACACACAGTGTGGATCCTTCCTTTTGATAGAGCAGTTTTGAAACACTGTTTTTGTAGTATTTCCAAGCAGATATTTGGAACGCCTTGAAGCGTATGGTAGAAAAGGAAATATCTTCCCATAAAACCTAGACAGAACCAATCTCAGAAACGACTTTGTGATGTCTGCATTCAACTCACAGAGTTGAACATTTCTCTTGATAGAGCAGTTTTGAAACCCTCTTTCTGAAGGATCTGCAAGTGGATATTTGGAACTCCTTTGGGTCTTCGTTGGAAACGGGATTTCTTCGTATAAATCTAGACAGAAGAATTCTCCGAAACTTCTTTGGTTGTGTGCATTCAAGTCACAGAGTGGAACCTTCCTTTGGATAGAGCAGTTTGAAACGCTGTGGTTGTAGTATTTCCAAGCGGATATTAGAACGCCTTGAGGCCTATGGTAGAAAAGGAAATATCTTCCCATAAAACCTAGACGGAAGCAATCTCAGAAACTACTGTGTGATGGCTGCATTCCACACACACGGTGGAACATTTCTCTTGATAGAGCAGTTTTGAAACACTCTTTCTGTAGAATCTGCAAGTGGATAATTGGACCGCCTTGAGGCCTTCGTTGGAAACGGGATTTCTTCATGTTACTCTAGACAGAAGAATTCTCAAACACTGCTGTGTGATGTTTGCATGCAAGTCACAGAGTGCAACATTCCTCTTGATAGAGCAGTTGGGAAACACTCCTTTTGTAGAATTTGCAATGGGATATTTGGACTTCTTTGAGGCCTTCGTTGGAAACGGGATTTCTTCGTATGAATCTAGACAGAAGAATTCTCAGAAACTTCCTTGTGATGTGTGCATTCAACTCAGCGAGTGGCACCTTCCTTTGGATACAGCAGTTTTGAAACACTGTTTTTGTAGTATTTCCAAGCGGATATTTAGAGCACCTTGAAGCCTATGCTAGAAATGGAAATATCTCCCCATAAAACCAAGACAGAAGCAATCTCAGAAACTAATGTGTGATGGCTGCATTCCACACACACGGTGGACCATTTCTCTTGATAGAGCAGTTTTGAAACACTCTTTCTGTAGAATCTGCAAGTGGATAATTGGACCTCCTAGAGGCCTTCGTTGGAAACGGGATTTCTTCATCTAAACCTACAGAGAAGAATTCTCAGTAACTTCTTCGGATGTGTGCATTCGACTCACAGAATGGAACATTCCCTTTGATAGAGCAGTTTTGAGACACGGTTTTTGTAGAATTCCCAAGTGGATATTTAGAGCACTTTGAAGTCTCTGCTAGAAAAGGAAACATCTTCATGTAAAAAGTAGATAGAATCGTTCTCAGAAAGTGCTTAGTGACGTGTGCGTTCAACTCACAGAGTTTAACGTTTCTTTTGATAGAGCGTTTCTGAAACACCCTTCTTGTAGTAGCTGCAAGTGGATATTTGGACCTATTTGAGGCCTTCTTTGGAAACGGGATTTCTTCATGTAACTCTAGATTGAAGAATTTTCAGAAACTCCTTTGTGATGTGTGCATTCAATTCAAAGAGTGAAACCTCCCTTTTCACAGAGCAGTTTTGAAACACTGTTTTTGTAGGATTTCCAAGGGGATATTTATAGCGCATTGAGCCTACGGCAGAAAAAGAAACATCTTCCTATAAAAACTAGACAGAATAATTCTCAGAATCTGCTTTGCGATGTGTGCGTTCAACCCACAGAGTAAAACTTTTCTTTTGATAGAGCAGTTTTGAAACACTCTTTTTGTAGTATTTGCATGTGTATATTTAGAGCGCATTGAAGCCCACAGTAGAAAAGGAAATAACTTCACCTAAAACCTAGACAGAAGCAATCTCAGAAACTACTTTGTGATGTGTACATTCAACTCACAGAGTGGAACTTTCCTCTTTATAGAGCAGTGTTGAAACACTCTTTTTGTAGAAACTGCAAGTGGATATTTGGACCTCTTTGAGGCCTTCGTTGGAAACGGGATTTCCTCCTATAACCCTAGACAGAAGCAACCTCAGAAACTACTTTGTGATGTGTACATTCAACTCACAGAGTGGAACTTTCCTCTTTATAGAGCAGTGTTGAAACACTCTTTTTGTAGAAACTGCAAGTGGATATTTGGACCTCTTTGAGGCCTTCGTTGGAAACGGGATTTCTTCCTATAACCCTAGACAGAATCATTCTCAGAAACAACTTTGTGATGTGTGCGTTGAACTCACAGTCTTTAACCTTTCTTTTGGTAGAGAAGTTTTGAAACACTCTCTTTGTAAAGTCTACAAGTGGATATTTTGAGCCCTTGGAGGCATTCTTTGGAAAAGGGAATGTCTTCACATAAAAGGCAGACAGAAGTGTTCTCAGAAACTGCTTTGTGATGTCTGTGTTCAACTCACAGAGTTTAACATTTCCTTTGAGAGAGCGGTTTAGTAACACTCTCTTTGTAGAATTTGGAAGTGTATACTAAGAGCGCTTTGAGGCCTATGGTAGAAAAGGAAATATCTTTCCATAAAAGCTAGACAGAAGCAATCTCAGAAACTCCTTTGTGATGTCTGCATTCAACTCACCGAGTGGAACATTCCTCTTGATAGAGCAGTTTGGAAACACTCTTTCTGTAGAATCAGCTTGTTTGTATTTGGACCTCCTTGAGGCCTTCGTTGGAAACGGGTTTTCATCTTATAAACCCAGACAGAAGAATTCTCAGAGTCTTCTTTGTGATGTGTGCTTTCAACTCACCGAGATAAAGATTTCTCTTGTTAGAGCAATTTGGAAACACTCTTTTTGTAGAATTTGCAAGGGTACATTGAGAGCGCTTTCAGGCCTATGGTAGAAAAGGGAATATCTTTCCATAAAAGGTAGACAGAAGCAATCTCAGAAACTACTTTGTGATGTGTGCATTCAACTCACCGAGTGCAACATTCCTCTTCACCGAGCAGTTTGGAAACATTGTTTCAGTAGAATCTGCAAGTGGATATTTTGACCTCTTTGAGGCCTTCGTTGGAAACGGGATTTCTTCCTATAAACCCAGACAGAAGAATTCTCAGAGACTTCTTTGTGATGTGTGAATTCAACTCACAGTGTGGATCCTTCCTTTTGATAGAGCAGTTTTGAAACACTGTTTTTGTAGTATTTCCAAGCGGATATTTGGAACGCATTGAAGCGTATGGTAGAAAAGGAAATATCTTCCCATAAAACCTAGACAGAACCAATCTCAGAAACGACTTTGTGATGTCTGCATTCAACTCACAGAGTTGAACATTTCTCTTGATAGAGCAGTTTTGAAACCCTCTTTCTGAAGGATCTGCAAGTGGATATTTGGAACTCCTTTGGGTCTTCGTTGGAAACGGGATTTCTTCGTATAAATCTAGACAGAAGAATTCTCCGAAACTTCTTTGGTTGTGTGCATTCAAGTCACAGGGTGGAACCTTCCTTTGGGTAGAGCAGTTTGAAACGCTGTGGTTGTAGTGTTTCCAAGCGGATATTAGAGCGCCTTGAGGCCTATGGTAGAAAAGGAAATATCTTCCCATAAAACCTAGACGGAAGCAATCTCAGAAACTACTGTGTGATGGCTGCATTCCACACACACGGTGGAACATTTCTCTTGATAGAGCAGTTTTGAAACACTCTTTCTGTAGAATCTGCAAGTGGATAATTGGACCGCCTTGAGGCCTTCGTTGGAAACGGGATTTCTTCATGTTACTCTAGATAGAAGAATTCTCAAACACTGCTATGTGATGTTTGCATTCAAGTCACAGAGTGCAACATTCCTCTTGATAGAGTAGTTGGGAAACACTCCTATTGTAGAATTTGCAATGGGATATTTGGACTTCTTTGAGGCCTTCGTTGGAAACAGGATTTCTTCGTATAAAACTAGACAGAAGAATTCTCAGAAACTTCTTTGTAATGTGTGCATTCAACTCAGCGTGTGGCACCTTCCTTTGGATACAGCAGTTTTGAAACACTGTTTTTGTAGTATTTCCAAGCGGATATTTAGAGCGCCTTGAAGCCTACGCTAGAAATGGAAATATCTCCCCATAAAACCAAGACAGAAGCAATCTCAGAAACTAATGTGTGATGGCTGCATTCCACACACACGGTGGACCATTTCTCTTGATAGAGCAGTTTTGAAACACTCTTTCTGTAGAATCTGCAAGTGGATAATTGGACCTCCTAGAGGCCTTCGTTGGAAACGGGATTTCTTCATCTAAACCTACAGAGAAGAATTCTCAGTAACTTCTTCGGATGTGTGCATTCGACTCACAGAATGGAACATTCCCTTTGATAGAGCAGTTTTGAGACACCGTTTTTGTAGAATTCCCAAGTGGATATTTAGAGCACTTTGAAGTCTCTGATAGAAAAGGAAACATCTTCATGTAAAAAGTAGATACAATCGTTCTCAGAAAGTGCTTAGTGACGTGTGTGTTCAACTCACAGAGTTTAACGTTTCTTTTGATAGAGCGTTTCTGAAACACCCTTCTTGTAGTAGCTGCAAGTGGATATTTGGACCTATTTGAGGCCTTCTTTGGAAACGGGATTTCTTCATGTAACTCTAGTTTGAAGAATTTTCAGAAACTCCTTTGTGATGTGTGCATTCAATTCAAAGAGTGAAACCTCCCTTTTCACAGAGCAGTTTTGAAACACTGTTTTTGTAGGATTTCCAAGGGGATATTTATAGCGCATTGAGCCTACGGCAGAAAAAGAAACATCTTCCTATAAAAACTAGACAGAATAATTCTCAGAATCTGCTTTGCGATGTGTGTGTTCAACCCACAGAGTAAAACTTTTCTTTGGATAGAGCAGTTTTGAAACACTCTTTTTGTAGTATTTGCATGTGTATATTTAGAGCGCATTGAAGCACACAGTAGAAAAGGAAATAACTTCACCTAAAACCTAGACAGAAGCAATCTCAGAAACTACTTTGTGATGTGTACATTCAACTCACAGAGTGGAACTTTTCTCTTTATAGAGCAGTGTTGAAACACTCTTTTTGTAGAAACTGCAAGTGGATATTTGGACCTCTTTGAGGCCTTCGTTGGAAACGGGATTTCTTCCTATAACCCTAGACAGAAGAATTTTCAGAAACCTCATTGTGATGTGTGCGTTCATCTCACAGAGTGGAGTCCTCCGTTTGATAGAGAAGTTTTGAAACCCTGTTCTTGTAGGATTTCCAAGTGGATATTTAGACCACTTTGAAGCCTATGATAGAAAAGGAAACATCTTCATGGAAAACATAGATAGAATCATTCTCAGAAACAACTTTGTGATGTGTGCGTTGAACTCACCGTCTTTAACCTTTCTTTTGGTAGAGAAGTTTTGAAACACTCTCTTTGTAAAGTCTACAAGTGGATATTTTGAGCCCTTGGAGGCATTCTTTGGAAAAGGGAATGTCTTCACATAAAAGGCAGACAGAAGTGTTCTCAGAAACTGCTTTGTGATGTCTGTGTTCAACTCACAGAGTTTAACATTTTCCTTTGAGAGAGCGGTTTAGTAACACTCTCTTTGTAGAATTTGGAAGTGTATACTAAGAGCGCTTTGAGGCCTATGGTAGAAAAGGAAATATCTTTCCATAAAAGCTAGACAGAAGCAATCTCAGAAACTCCTTTGTGATGTCTGCATTCAACTCACCGAGTGGAACATTCCTCTTGATAGAGCAGTTTGGAAACACTCTTTCTGTAGAATCAGCTTGTTTGTATTTGGACCTCCTTGAGGCCTTCGTTGGAAACGGGTTTTCATCTTATAAACCCAGACAGAAGAATTCTCAGAGTCTTCTTTGTGATGTGTGCTTTCAACTCACCGAGATAAAGATTTCTCTTGATAGAGCAATTTGGAAACACTCTTTTTGTAGAATTTGCAAGGGTACATTGAGAGCGCTTTCAGGCTTATGGTAGAAAAGGGAATATCTTTCCATAAAAGGTAGACAGAAGCAATCTCAGAAACTACTTTGTGATGTGTGCATTCAACTCACCGAGTGCAACATTCCTCTTGATAGAGCAGTTTGGAAACATTGTTTCTGTAGAATCTGCAAGTGGATATATGGACCGCTTTGAGGCCTTCGTTGGAAACGGGATTTCTTCCTATAAACCCAGACAGAAGAATTCTCAGAGATTTCTTTGTGATGTGTGAATTCAACTCACAGTGTGGATCCTTCCTTTTGATAGAGCAGTTTTGAAACACCGTTTTTGTAGTATTTCCAAGCGGATATTTGGAACGCCTTGAAGCGTATGGTAGAAAAGGAAATATCTTCCCATAAAACCTAGACAGAACCAATCTCAGAAACGACTTTGTGATGCCTGCATTCAACTCACAGAGTTTAACATTTCTCTTGATAGAGCAGTTTTGAAACCCTCTTTCTGAAGGATCTGCAAGTGGATATTTGGAACTCCTTTGGGTCTTCGTTGGAAACGGGATTTCTTCGTATAAATCCAGACAGAAGAATTCTCCGAAACTTCTTTGGTTGTGTGCATTCAAGTCACAGAGTGGAACCTTCCTTTGGATAGAGCAGTTTGAAACGCTGTGGTTGTAGTATTTCCAAGCGGATATTAGAGCGCCTTGAGGCCTATGGTAGAAAAGGAAATATCTTCCCATAAAACCTAGACGGAAGCAATCTCAGAAACTACTTTGTGATGGCTGCATTCCACACACACGGTGGAACATTTCTCTTGATAGAGCAGTTTTGAAACACTCTTTCTGTAGAATCTGCAAGTGGATAATTGGACCGCCTTGAGACCTTCGTTGGAAACGGGATTTCTTCATGTTACTCTAGACAGAACAATTCTCAAACACTGCTATGTGATGTTTGCATTCAAGTCACAGAGTGCAACATTCCTCTTGATAGAGCAGTTGGGAAACACTCCTTATGTAGAATTTGCAATGGGATATTTGGACTTCTTTGAGGCCTTCGTTGGAAACGGGATTTCTTCGTATGAATCTAGACAGAAGAATTCTCAGAAACTTCCTTGTGATGTGTGCATTCAACTCAGCGAGTGGCACCTTCCTTTGGATACAGCAGTTTTGAAACACTGTTTTTGTAGTATTTCCAAGCGGATATTTAGAGCGCCTTGAAGCCTATGCTAGAAATGGAAATATCTCCCCATAAAACCAAGACAGAAGCAATCTCAGAAACTAATGTGTGATGGCTGCATTCCACACACACGGTGGACCATTTCTCTTGATAGAGCAGTTTTGAAACACTCTTTCTGTAGAATCTGCAAGTGGATAATTGGACCTCCTAGAGGCCTTCGTTGGAAACGGGATTTCTTCATCTAAACCTACAGAGAAGAATTCTCAGTAACTTCTTCGGATGTGTGCATTCGACTCACAGAGTGGAACATTCCCTTCGATAGAGCAGTTTTGAGACACCGTTTTGGTAGAATTCCCAAGTGGATATTTAGAGCACTTTGAAGTCTCTGCTAGAAAAGGAAACATCTTCATGTAAAAAGTACATAGAATCGTTCTCAGAAAGTGCTTAGTGACGTGTGTGTTCAACTCACAGAGTTTAACGTTTCTTTTGATAGAGCGTTTCTGAAACACCCTTCTTGTAGTAGCTGCAAGTGGATATTTGGACCTATTTGAGGCCTTCTTTGGAAACGGGATTTCTTCATGTAACTCTAGTTTGAAGAATTTTCAGAAACTCCTTTGTGATGTGTGCATTCAATTCAAAGAGTGAAACCTCCCTTTTCACAGAGCAGTTTTGAAACACTGTTTTTGTAGGATTTCCAAGGGGATATTTATAGCGCATTGAGCCTACGGCAGAAAAAGAAACATCTTCCTATAAAAACTAGACAGAATAATTCTCAGAATCTGCTTTGCGATGTGTGCGTTCAACTCACAGAGTAAAACTTTTCTTTTGATAGAGCAGTTTTGAAACACTCTTTTTGTAGTATTTGCATGTGTATATTTAGAGCGCATTGAAGCCCACAGTAGAAAAGGAAATAACTTCACCTAAAACCTAGACAGAAGCAATCTCAGAAACTATTTTGTGATGTGTACATTCAACTCACAGAGTGGAACTTTCCTCTTTATAGAGCAGTGTTGAAACACTCTTTTTGTAGAAACTGCAAGTGGATATTTGGACCTCTTTGAGGCCTTCGTTGGAAACGGGATTTCTTCCTATAACCCTAGACAGAAGAATTTTCAGAAACCTCATTGTGATGTGTGCGTTCATCTCACAGAGTGGAGTCTTCCGTTTGATAGAGAAGTTTTGAAACCCTGTTCTTGTAAAATTTCCAAGTGGATATTTAGACCACTTTGAAGCCTATGATAGAAAAGGAAACATCTTCATGGAAAACATAGATAGAATCATTCTCAGAAACAACTTTGTGATGTGTGCGTTGAACTCACCGTCTTTAACCTTTCTTTTGGTAGAGAAGTTTTGAAACACTCACTTTGTAAAGTCTACAAGTGGATATTTTGAGCCCTTGGAGGCATTCTTTGGAAAAGGGAATGTCTTCACATAAAAGGCAGACAGAAGTGTTCTCAGAAACTGCTTTGTGATGTCTGTGTTCAACTCACAGAGTTTAACATTTCCTTTGAGAGAGCGGTTTAGTAACACTCTCTTTGTAGAATTTGGAAGTGTATACTAAGAGCGCTTTGAGGCCTATGGTAGAAAAGGAAATATCTTTCCATAAAAGCTAGACAGAAGCAATCTCAGAAACTCCTTTGTGATGTCTGCATTCAACTCACCGAGTGGAACATTCCTCTTGATAGAGCAGTTTGGAAACACTCTTTCTGTAGAATCAGCTTGTTTGTATTTGGACCTCCTTGAGGCCTTCGTTGGAAACGGGTTTTCATCTTATAAACCCAGACAGAAGAATTCTCAGAGTTTTCTTTGTGATGTGTACTTTCAACTCACCGACATAAAGATTTCTCTTGATAGAGCAATTTGGAAACACTCTTTTTGTAGAATTTGCAAGGGTACATTGAGAGCGCTTTCAGGCCTATGGTAGAAAAGGGAATATCTTTCCATAAAAGGTAGACAGAAGCAATCTCAGAAACTACTTTGTGATGTGTGCATTCAACTCACCGAGTGCAACATTCCTCTTGATAGAGCAGTTTGGAAACATTGTTTCTGTAGAATCTGCAAGTGGATATATGGACCGCTTTGAGGCCTTCGTTGGAAACGGGATTTCTTCCTATAAACCCAGACAGAAGAATTCTCAGAGATTTCTTTGTGATGTGTGAATTCAACTCACAGTGTGGATCCTTCCTTTTGATAGAGCAGTTTTGAAACACCGCTTTTGTAGTATTTCCAAGCGGATATTTGGAACGCCTTGAAGCGTATGGTAGAAAAGGAAATATCTTCCCATAAAACCTAGACAGAACCAATCTCAGAAACGACTTTGTGATGTCTGCATTCAACTCACAGAGTTGAACATTTCTCTTGATAGAGCAGTTTTGAAACCCTCTTTCTGAAGGATCTGCAAGTGGATATTTGGAACTCCTTTGGGTCTTCGTTGGAAACGGGATTTCTTCGTATAAATCCAGACAGAAGAATTCTCCGAAACTTCTTTGGTTGTGTGCATTCAAGTCACAGAGTGGAACCTTCCTTTGGATAGAGCAGTTTGAAACGCTGTGGTTGTAGTATTTCCAAGCGGATATTAGAGCGCCTTGAAGCCTATGGTAGAAAAGGAAATATCTTCCCATAAAACCTAGACGGAAGCAATCTCAGAATCTACTGTGTGATGGCTGCATTCCACACACACGGTGGAACATTTCTCTTGATAGAGCAGTTTTGAAACACTCTTTCTGTAGAATCTGCAAGTGGATAATTGGACCGCCTTGAGGCCTTCGTTGGAAACGGGATTTCTTCATGTTACTCTAGACAGAAGAATTCTCAAACACTGCTATGTGATGTTTGCATTCAAGTCACAGAGTGCAACATTCCTCTTGATAGAGCAGTTGGGAAACACTCCTTTTGTAGAATTTGCAATGGGATATTTGGACTTCTTTGAGGCCTTCGTTGGAAACGGGATTTCTTCGTATGAATCTAGACAGAAGAATTCTCAGAAACTTCCTTGTGATGTGTGCATTCAACTCAGCGAGTGGCACCTTCCTTTGGATACAGCAGTTTTGAAACACTGTTTTTGTAGTATTTCCAAGCGGATATTTAGAGCGCCTTGAAGCCTATGCTAGAAATGGAAATATCTCCCCATAAAACCAAGACAGAAGCAATCTCAGAAACTAATGTGTGATGGCTGCATTCCACACACACGGTGGACCATTTCTCTTGATAGAGCAGTTTTGAAACACTCTTTCTGTAGAATCTGCAAGTGGATAATTGGACCTCCTAGAGGCCTTCGTTGGAAACGGGATTTCTTCATCTAAACCTACAGAGAAGAATTCTCAGTAACTTCTTCGGATGTGTGCATTCGACTCACAGAATGGAACATTCCCTTTGATAGAGCAGTTTTGAGACATCGTTTTTGTAGAATTGCCAAGTGGATATTTAGAGCACTTTGAAGTCTCTGCTAGAAAAGGAAACATCTTCATGTAAAAAGTAGATAGAATCGTTCTCAGAAAGTGCTTAGTGACGTGTGTGTTCAACTCACAGAGTTTAACGTTTCTTTTGATAGAGCGTTTCTGAAACACCCTTCTTGTAGTAGCTGCAAGTGGATATTTGGACCTATTTGAGGCCTTCTTTGGAAACGGGATTTCTTCATGTAACTCTAGATTGAAGAATTTTCAGAAACTCCTTTGTGATGTGTGCATTCAATTCAAAGAGTGAAACCTCCCTTTTCACAGAGCAGTTTTGAAACACTGTTTTTGTAGGATTTCCAAGGGGATATTTATAGCGCATTGATCCTACGGCAGAAAAAGAAACATCTTCCTATAAAAACTAGACAGAATAATTCTCAGAATCTGCTTTGCGATGTGTGCGTTCAACCCACAGAGTAAAACTTTTCTTTTGATAGAGCAGTTTTGAAACACTCTTTTTGTAGTATTTGCATGTGTATATTTAGAGCGCATTGAAGCCCACAGTAGAAAAGGAAATAACTTCACCTAAAACCTAGACAGAAGCAATCTCAGAAACTACTTTGTGATGTGTACATTCAACTCACAGAGTGGAACTTTTCTCTTTATAGAGCAGTGTTGAAACACTCTTTTTGTAGAAACTGCAAGTGGATATTTGGACCTCTTTGAGGCCTTCGTTGGAAACGGGATTTCTTCCTATAACCCTAGACAGAAGAATTTTCAGAAACCTCATTGTGATGTGTGCGTTCATCTCACAGAGTGGAGTCTTCCGTTTGATAGAGAAGTTTTGAAACCCTGTTCTTGTAGGATTTCCAAGTGGATATTTAGACCACTTTGAAGCCTATGATAGAAAAGGAAACATCTTCATGGAAAACATAGATAGAATCATTCTCAGAAACAACTTTGTGATGTGTGCGTTGAACTCACCGTCTTTAACCTTTCTTTTGGTAGAGAAGTTTTGAAACACTCTCTTTGTAAAGTCTACAAGTGGATATTTTGAGCCCTTGGAGGCATTCTTTGGAAAAGGGAATGTCTTCACATAAAAGGCAGACAGAAGTGTTCTCAGAAACTGCTTTGTGATGTCTGTGTTCAACTCACAGAGTTTAACATTTCCTTTGAGAGAGCGGTTTAGTAACACTCTCTTTGTAGAATTTGGAAGTGTATACTAAGAGCGCTTTGAGGCCTATGGTAGAAAAGGAAATATCTTTCCATAAAAGCTAGACAGAAGCAATCTCAGAAACTCCTTTGTGATGTCTGCATTCAACTCACCGAGTGGAACATTCCTCTTGATAGAGCAGTTTGGAAACACTCTTTCTGTAGAATCAGCTTGTTTGTATTTGGACCTCCTTGAGGCCTTCGTTGGAAACGGGTTTTCATCTTATAAACCCAGACAGAAGAATTCTCAGAGTCTTCTTTGTGATGTGTGCTTTCAACTCACCGAGATAAAGATTTCTCTTGATACAGCAATTTGGAAACACTCTTTTTGTAGAATTTGCAAGGGTACATTGAGAGCGCTTTCAGGCCTATGGTAGAAAAGGGAATATCTTTCCATCAAAGGTAGACAGAAGCAATCTCAGAAACTACTTTGTGATGTGTGCATTCAACTCACCGATTGCAACGTTCCTCTTGATAGAGCAGTTTGGAAACATTGTTTCTGTAGAATCTGCAAGTGGATATTTGGACCTCTTTGAGGCCTTCGTTGGAAACGGGATTTCTTCCTATAAACCCAGACAGAAGAATTCTCAGAGACTTCTTTGTGATGTGTGAATTCAACTCACAGTGTGGATCCTTCCTTTTGATAGAGCAGTTTTGAAACACTGTTTTTGTAGTATTTCCAAGCGGATATTTGGAACGCCTTGAAGCGCATGGTAGAAAAGGAAATATCTTCCCATAAAACCTAGACAGAACCAATCTCAGAAACGACTTTGTGATGTCTGCATTCAACTCACAGAGTTGAACATTTCTCTTGATAGAGCAGTTTTGAAACCCTCTTTCTGAAGGATCTGCAAGTGGATATTTGGAACTTCTTTGGGTCTTCGTTGGAAACGGGATTTCTTCGTAGAAATCTAGACAGAAGAATTCTCCGAAACTTCTTTGGTTGTGTGCATTCAAGTCACAGGGTGGAACCTTCCTTTGGGTAGAGCAGTTTGAAACGCTGTGGTTGTAGTATTTCCAAGCGGATATTAGAGCGCCTTGAAGCCTATGGTAGAAAAGGAAATATCTTCCCATAAAACATAGACGGAAGCAATCTCAGAAACTACTGTGTGATGGCTGCATTCCACACACACGGTGGAACATTTCTCTTGATAGAGCAGTTTTGAAACACTCTTTCTGTAGAATCTGCAAGTGGATAATTGGACCGCCTTGAGGCCTTCGTTGGAAACGGGATTTCTTCATGTTACTCTAGACAGAAGAATTCTCAAACACTGCTGTGTGATGTTTGCATGCAAGTCACAGAGTGCAACATTCCTCTTGATAGAGCAGTTGGGAAACACTCCTTTTGTAGAATTTGCAATGGGATATTTGGACTTCTTTGAGGCCTTCGTTGGAAACGGGATTTCTTCGTATGAATCTAGACAGAAGAATTCTCAGAAACTTCCTTGTGATGTGTGCATTCAACTCAGCGAGTGGCACCTTCCTTTGGATACAGCAGTTTTGAAACACTGTTTTTGTAGTATTTCCAAGCGGATATTTAGAGCGCCTTGAAGCCTATGCTAGAAATGGAAATATCTCCCCATAAAACCAAGACAGAAGCAATCTCAGAAACTAATGTGTGATGGCTGCATTCCACACACACGGTGGACCATTTCTCTTGATAGAGCAGTTTTGAAACACTCTTTCTGTAGAATCTGCAAGTGGATAATTGGACCTCCTAGAGGCCTTCGTTGGAAACGGGATTTCTTCATCTAAACCTACAGAGAAGAATTCTCAGTAACTTCTTCGGATGTGTGCATTCGACTCACAGAGTGGAACATTCCCTTCGATAGAGCAGTTTTGAGACACCGTTTTGGTAGAATTCCCAAGTGGATATTTAGAGCACTTTGAAGTCTCTGCTAGAAAAGGAAACATCTTCATGTAAAAAGTAGATAGAATCGTTCTCAGATAGTGCTTAGTGACGTGTGCGTTCAACTCACAGAGTGTAACGTTTCTTTTGATAGAGCGTTTCTGAAACACCCTTCTTGTAGTAGCTGCAAGTGGATATTTGGACCTATTGGAGGCCTTCTTTGGAAACGGGATTTCTTCATGTAACTCTAGATTGAAGAATTCTCAGAAACTCCTTTGTGATGTGTGCATTCAATTCAAAGAGTGAAACCACCCTTTTCACAGAGCAGTTTGGAAACACTGTTTTTGTAGGATTTCCAAGGGGATATTTATAGCGCATTGAGCCCACGGCAGAAAAAGAAACACCTTCCTATAAAAACTAGACAGAATAATTCTCAGAATCTGGTTTGCCATGTGTGCGTTCAACTCACAGAGTAAAACATTTCTTTTGATAGAGCAGTCTTGAAACACTCTTTTTGTAGTATTTGCATGTGTATATTTAGAGCGCATTGAAGCCCACAGTAGAAAAGGAAATAACTTCACCTAAAACCTAGACAGAAGCAATCTCAGAAACTACTTTGTGATGTGTACATTCAACCTCACAGAGTGGAACTTTCCTCTTTATAGAGCAGTGTTGAAACACTCTTTTTGTAGAAACTGCAAGTGGATATTTGGACCTCTTTGAGGCCTTCGTTGGAAACGGGATTTCTTCCTATAACCCTAGACAGAAGAATTTTCAGAAACCTCATTGTGATGTGTGCGTTCATCTCACAGAGTGGAGTCTTCCGTTTGATAGAGAAGTTTTGAAACCCTGTTCTTGTAGGATTTCCAAGTGGATATTTAGACCACTTTGAAGCCTATGATAGAAAAGGAAACATCTTCATGGAAAACATAGATAGAATCATTCTCAGAAACAACTTTGTGATGTGTGCGTTGAACTCGCCGTCTTTAACCTTTCTTTTGGTAGAGAAGTTTTGAAACACTCTCTTTGTAAAGTCTACAAGTGGATATTTTGAGCCCTTGGAGGCATTCTTTGGAAAAGGGAATGTCTTCACGTAAAAGGCAGACAGAAGTGTTCTCAGAAACTGCTTTGTGATGTCTGTGTTCAACTCACAGAGTTTAACATTTCCTTTGATAGAGCAGTTTAGTAACACTGTCTTTGTAGAATTTGGAAGTGTATACTAAGAGTGCTTTGAGGCCTATGGTAGAAAAGGAAATATCTTTCCATAAAAGCTAGACAGAAGCAATCCCAGAAACTCCTTTGTGATGTCTGCATTCAACTCACCGAGTGGAACATTCCTCTTGATAGAGCAGTTTGGAAACACTCTTTCTGTAGAATCAGCTTGTTTGTATTTGGACCTCCTTGAGGCCTTCGTTGGAAACGGGTTTTCCTCTTATAAACCCAGACAGAAGAATTCTCAGAGTCTTCTTTGTGATGTGTGCTTCCAACTCACCGAGATAAAGATTTTTCTTGATAGAGCAATTTGGAAACACTCTTTTTGTAGAATTTGCAAGGGTACATTGAGAGCGCTTTCAGGCCTATGGTAGAAAAGGGAATATCTTTCCATAAAAGGTAGACAGAAGCAATCTCAGAAACTACTTTGTGATGTGTGCATTCAACTCACCGATTGCAACGTTCCTCTTGATAGAGCAGTTTGGAAACATTGTTTCTGTAGAATCTGCAAGTGGATATTTGGACCTCTTTGAGGCCTTCGTTGGAAACGGGATTTCTTCCTATAAACCCAGACAGAAGAATTCTCAGAGACTTCTTTGTGATGTGTGAATTCAACTCACAGTGTGGATCCTTCCTTTTGATAGAGCAGTTTTGAAACACTGTTTTTGTAGTATTTCCAAGCGGATATTTGGAACGCCTTGAAGCGCATGGTAGAAAAGGAAATATCTTCCCATAAAACCTAGACAGAACCAATCTCAGAAACGACTTTGTGATGTCTGCATTCAACTCACAGAGTTGAACATTTCTCTTGATAGAGCAGTTTTGAAACCCTCTTTCTGAAGGATCTGCAAGTGGATATTTGGAACTCCTTTGGGTCTTCGTTGGAAACGGGATTTCTTCGTATAAATCTAGACAGAAGAATTCTCCGAAACTTCTTTGGTTGTGTGCATTCAAGTCACAGAGTGGAACCTTCCTTTGGATAGAGCAGTTTGAAACGCTGTGGTTGTAGTATTTCCAAGCGGATATTAGAGCGCCTTGAAGCCTATGGTAGAAAAGGAAATATCTTCCCATAAAACCTAGACGGAAGCAATCTCAGAAACTACTGTGTGATGGCTGCATTCCACACACACGGTGGAACATTTCTCTTGATAGAGCAGTTTTGAAACACTCTTTCTGTAGAATCTGCAAGTGGATAATTGGACCGCCTTGAGGCCTTCGTTGGAAACGGGATTTCTTCATGTTACTCTAGACAGAAGAATTCTCAAACACTGCTGTGTGATGTTTGCATTCAAGTCACAGAGTGCAACATTCCTCTTGATAGAGCAGTTGGGAAACACTCCTTTTGTAGAATTTGCAATGGGATATTTGGACTTCTTTGAGGCCTTCGTTGGAAACGGGATTTCTTCGTATGAATCTAGACAGAAGAATTCTCAGAAACTTCCTTGTGATGTGTGCATTCAACTCAGCGAGTGGCACCTTCCTTTGGATACAGCAGTTTTGAAACACTGTTTTTGTACTATTTCCAAGCGGATATTTAGAGCGCCTTGAAGCCTATGCTAGAAATGGAAATATCTCCCCATAAAACCAAGACAGAAGCAATCTCAGAAACTAATGTGTGATGGCTGCATTCCACACACACGGTGGACCATTTCTCTTGATAGAGCAGTTTTGAAACACTCTTTCTGTAGAATCTGCAAGTGGATAATTGGACCTCCTAGAGGCCTTCGTTGGAAACGGGATTTCTTCATCTAAACCTACAGA
This sequence comes from Homo sapiens, assembly GCF_000001405.40. Taxonomy (NCBI): domain Eukaryota; kingdom Metazoa; phylum Chordata; class Mammalia; order Primates; family Hominidae; genus Homo; species Homo sapiens. Next base: position 59,565,154 of record NC_000006.12, read on the forward strand.
GAAGAATTCTCAGTAACTTCTTCGGATGTGTGCATTCGACTCACAGAATGGAACTTTCCGTTTGATAGAGCAGTTTTGAGACACCGTTTTTGTAGAATTCCCAAGTGGATATTTAGAGCACTTTGAAGTCTCTGCTAGAAAAGGAAACATCTTCATGTAAAAAGTAGATAGAATCGTTCTCAGAAAGTGCTTAGTGACGTGTGCGTTCAACTCACAGAGTTTAACGTTTCTTTTGATAGAGCGTTTCTGAAACACCCTTCTTGTAGTAGCTGCAAGTGGATATTTGGACCTATTTGAGGCCTTCTTTGGAAACGGGATTTCTTCATGTAACTCTAGTTTGAAGAATTTTCAGAAACTCCTTTGTGATGTGTGCATTCAATTCAAAGAGTGAAACCTCCCTTTTCACAGAGCAATTTTGAAACACTGTTTTTGTAGGATTTCCAAGGGGATATTTATAGCGCATTGAGCCTACGGCAGAAAAAGAAACATCTTCCTATAAAAACTAGACAGAATAATCCTCAGAATCTGCTTTGCGATGTGTGCGTTCAACCCACAGAGTAAAACTTTTCTTTTGATAGAGCAGTTTTGAAACACTCTTTTTGTAGTATTTGCATGTGTATATTTAGAGCGCATTGAAGCCCACAGTAGAAAAGGAAATAACTTCACCTAAAACCTAGACAGAAGCAATCTCAGAAACTACTTTGTGATGTGTACATTCAACTCACAGAGTGGAACTTTCCTCTTTATAGAGCAGTGTTGAAACACTCTTTTTGTAGAAACTGCAAGTGGATATTTGGACCTCTTTGAGGCCTTCGTTGGAAACGGGATTTCTTCCTATAACCCTAGACAGAAGAATTTTCAGAAACCTCATTGTGATGTGTGCTGTTCATCTCACAGAGTGGAGTCTTCCGTTTGATAGAGAAGTTTTGAAACCCTGTTCTTGTAGGATTTCCAAGTGGATATTTAGACCACTTTGAAGCCTATGATAGAAAAGGAAACATCTTCATGGAAAACATAGATAGAATCATTCTCAGAAACAACTTTGTGATGTGTGCGTTGAACTCACCGTCTTTAACCTTTCTTTTGGTAGAGAAGTTTTGAAACACTCTCTTTGTAAAGTCTACAAGTGGATATTTTGAGCCCTTGGAGGCATTCTTTGGAAAAGGGAATGTCTTCACATAAAAGGCAGACAGAAGTGTTCTCAGAAACTGCTTTGTGATGTCTGTGTTCAACTCACAGAGTTTAACATTTCCTGTGATAGAGCGGTTTAGTAACCCTCTCTTTGTAGAATTTGGAAGTGTATACTAAGAGCGCTTTGAGGCCTATGGTAGAAAAGGAAATATCTTTCCATAAAAGCTGGACAGAAGCAATCTCAGAAACTCCTTTGTGATGTCTGCATTCAACTCACCGAGTGGAACATTCCTCTTGATAGAGCAGTTTGGAAACACTCTTTCTGTAGAATCAGCTTGTTTGTATTTGGACCTCCTTGAGGCCTTCGTTGGAAACGGGTTTTCATCTTATAAACCCAGACAGAAGAATTCTCAGAGTCTTCTTTGTGATGTGTGCTTTCAACTCACCGAGATAAAGATTTCTCTTGATAGAGCAATTTGGAAACACTCTTTTTGCAGAATTTGCAAGGGTACATTGAGAGCGCTTTCAGGCCTATGGTAGAAAAGGGAATATCTTTCCATCAAAGGTAGACAGAAGCAATCTCAGAAACTACTTTGTGATGTGTGCATTCAACTCACCGATTGCAACATTCCTCTTGATAGAGCAGTTTGGAAACATTGTTTCTGTAGAATCTGCAAGTGGATATTTGGACCTCTTTGAGGCCTTCGTTGGAAACGGGATTTCTTCCTATAAACCCAGACAGAAGAATTCTCAGAGACTTCTTTGTGATGTGTGAATTCAACTCACAGTGTGGATCCTTCCTTTTGATAGAGCAGGTTTGAAACACTGTTTTTGTAGTATTTCCAAGCGGATATTTGGAACGCCTTGAAGCGCATGGTAGAAAAGGAAATATCTTCCCATAAAACCTAGACAGAACCAATCTCAGAAACGACTTTGTGATGTCTGCATTCAACTCACAGAGTTGAACATTTCTCTTGATAGAGCAGTTTTGAAACCCTCTTTCTGAAGGATCTGCAAGTGGATATTTGGAACTCCTTTGGGTCTTCGTTGGAAACGGGATTTCTTCGTATAAATCTAGACCGAAGAATTCTCCGAAACTTCTTTGGTTGTGTGCATTCAAGTCACAGGGTGGAACCTTCCTTTGGGTAGAGCAGTTTGAAACGCTGTGGTTGTAGAATTTCCAAGCGGATATTAGAGCGCCTTGAGGCCTATGGTAGAAAAGGAAATATCTTCCCATAAAACCTAGACGGAAGCAATCTCAGAAACTACTGTGTGATGGCTGCATTCCACACACACGGTGGAACATTTCTCTTGATAGAGCAGTTTTGAAACACTCTTTCTGTAGAATCTGCAAGTGGATAATTGGACCGCCTTGAGGCCTTCGTTGGAAACGGGATTTCTTCATGTTACTACTAGACAGAAGAATTCTCAAACACTGCTGTGTGATGTTTGCATTCAAGTCACAGAGTGCAACATTCCTCTTGATAGAGCAGTTGGGAAACACTCCTTTTGTAGAATTTGCAATGGGATATTTGGACTTCTTTGAGGCCTTCGTTGGAAACGGGATTTCTTCGTATGAATCTAGACAGAAGAATTCTCAGCAAACTTCCTTGTGATGTGTGCATTCAACTCAGCGAGTGGCACCTTCCTTTGGATACAGCAGTTTTGAAACACTGTTTTTGTACTATTTCCAAGCGGATATTTAGAGCGCCTTGAAGCCTATGCTAGAAATGGAAATATCTCCCCATAAAACCAAGACAGAAGCAATCTCAGAAACTAATGTGTGATGGCTGCATTCCACACACACGGTGGACCATTTCTCTTGATAGAGCAGTTTTGAAACACTCTTTCTGTAGAATCTGCAAGTGGATAATTGGACCTCCTAGAGGCCTTCGTTGGAAACGGGATTTCTTCATCTAAACCTACAGAGAAGAATTCTCAGTAACTTCTTCGGATGTGTGCATTCGACTCACACAATGGAACATTCCGTTTGATAGAGCAGTTTTGAGACACCGTTTTTGTAGAATTCCCAAGTGGATATTTAGAGCACTTTGAAGTCTCTGCTAGAAAAGGAAACATCTTCATGTAAAAAGTAGATAGAATCGTTCTCAGAAAGTGGTTAGTGACGTGTGTGTTCAACTCACAGAGTTTAACGTTTCTTTTGATAGAGCGTTTCTGAAACACCCTGCTTGTAGTAGCTGCAAGTGGATATTTGGACCTATTTGAGGCCTTCTTTGGAAACGGGATTTCTTCATGTAACTCTAGTTTGAAGAATTTTCAGAAACTCCTTTGTGATGTGTGCATTCAATTCAAAGAGTGAAACCTCCCTTTTCACAGAGCAGTTTTGAAACACTGTTTTTGTAGGATTTCCAAGGGGATATTTATAGCGCATTGAGCCTACGGCAGAAAAAGAAACATCTTCCTATAAAAACTAGACAGAATAATTCTCAGAATCTGCTTTGCGATGTGTGCGTTCAACTCACAGAGTAAAACTTTTCTTTTGATAGAGCAGTTTTGAAACACTCTTTTTGTAGTATTTGCATGTGTATATTTAGAGCGCATTGAAGCCCACAGTAGAAAAGGAAATAACTTCACCTAAAACCTAGACAGAAGCAATCTCAGAAACTACTTTGTGATGTGTACATTCAACTCACAGAGTGGAACTTTCCTCTTTATAGAGCAGTGTGGAAACACTCTTTTTGTAGAAACTGCAAGTGGATATTTTGACCTCTTTGAGGCCTTCGTTGGAAACGGGATTTCTTCCTATAACCCTAGACAGAAGAATTTTCAGAAACCTCATTGTGATGTGTGCGTTCATCTCACAGAGTGGGGTCTTCCGTTTGATAGAGAAGTTTTGAAACCCTGTTCTTGTAGGATTTCCAAGTGGATATTTAGACCACTTTGAAGCCTATGATAGAAAAGGAAACATCTTCATGGAAAACATAGATAGAATCATTCTCAGAAACAACTTTGTGATGTGTGCGTTGAACTCACCGTCTTTAACCTTTCTTTTGGTAGAGAAGTTTTGAAACACTCTCTTTGTAAATTCTACAAGTGGATATTTTGAGCCCTTGGAGGCATTCTTTGGAAAAGGGAATGTCTTCACATAAAAGGCAGACAGAAGTGTTCTCAGAAACTGCTTTGTGATGTCTGTGTTCAACTCACAGAGTTTAACATTTCCTTTGAGAGAGCGGTTTAGTAACACTCTCTTTGTAGAATTTGGAAGTGTATACTAAGAGCGCTTTGAGGCCTATGGTAGAAAAGGAAATATCTTTCCATAAAAGCTAGACAGAAGCAATCTCAGAAACTCCTTTGTGATGTCTGCATTCAACTCACCGAGTGGAACATTCCTCTTGATAGAGCAGTTTGGAAACACTCTTTCTGTAGAATCAGCTTGTTTGTATTTGGACCTCCTTGAGGCCTTCGTTGGAAACGGGTTTTCATCTTATAAACCCAGACAGAAGAATTCTCAGAGTCTTCTTTGTGATGTGTGCTTTCAACTCACCGAGATAAAGATTTCTCTTGATAGAGCAATTTGGAAACACTCTTTTTGTAGAATTTGCAAGGGTACATTGAGAGCGCTTTCAGGCCTATGGTAGAAAAGGTAGACAGAAGCAATCTCAGAAACTACTTTGTGATGTGTGCATTCAACTCACCGAGTGCAACGTTCCTCTTGATAGAGCAGTTTGGAAACATTGTTTCTGTAGAATCTGCAAGTGGATATTTGGACCTCCTTTGAGGCCTTCGTTGGAAACGGGATTTCTTCCTATAAACCCAGACAGAAGAATTCTCAGAGACTTTCTTTGTGATGTGTGAATTCAACTCACAGTGTGGATCCTTCCTTTTGATAGAGCAGTTTTGAAACACTGTTTTTGTAGTATTTCCAAGCGGATATTTGGAACGCCTTGAAGCGTATGGTAGAAAAGGAAATATCTTCCCATAAAACCTAGACAGAACCAATCTCAGAAACGACTTTGTGATGTCTGCATTCAACTCACAGAGTTGAACATTTCTCTTGATAGAGCAGTTTTGAAACCCTCTTTCTGAAGGATCTGCAAGTGGATATTTGGAACTCCTTTGGGTCTTCGTTGGAAACGGGATTTCTTCGTATAAATCCAGACAGAAGAATTCTCCGAAACTTCTTTGGTTGTGTGCATTCAAGTCACAGAGTGGAACCTTCCTTTGGATAGAGCAGTTTGAAACGCTGTGGTTGTAGTATTTCCAAGCGGATATTAGAGCGCCTTGAAGCCTATGGTAGAAAAGGAAATATCTTCCCATAAAACCTAGACGGAAGCAATCTCAGAAACTACTGTGTGATGGCTGCATTCCACACACACGGTGGAACATTTCTCTTGATAGAGCAGTTTTGAAACACTCTTTCTGTAGAATCTGCAAGTGGATAATTGGACCGCCTTGAGGCCTTCGTTGGAAACGGGATTTCTTCATGTTACTCTAGACAGAAGAATTCTCAAACACTGCTATGTGATGTTTGCATTCAAGTCACAGAGTGCAACATTCCTCTTGATAGAGCAGTTGGGAAACACTCCTTTTGTAGAATTTGCAATGGGATATTTGGACTTCTTTGAGGCCTTCGTTGGAAACGGGATTTCTTCGTATGAATCTAGACAGAAGAATTCTCAGAAACTTCCTTGTGATGTGTGCATTCAACTCAGCGAGTGGCACCTTCCTTTGGATACAGCAGTTTTGAAACACTGTTTTTGTAGTATTTCCAAGCGGATATTTAGAGCGCCTTGAAGCCTATGCTAGAAATGGAAATATCTCCCCATAAAACCAAGACAGAAGCAATCTCAGAAACTAATGTGTGATGGCTGCATTCCACACACACGGTGGACCATTTCTCTTGATAGAGCAGTTTTGAAACACTCTTTCTGTAGAATCTGCAAGTGGATAATTGGACCTCCTAGAGGCCTTCGTTGGAAACGGGATTTCTTCATCTAAACCTACAGAGAAGAATTCTCAGTAACTTCTTCGGATGTGTGCATTCGACTCACAGAATGGAACATTCCGTTTGATAGAGCAGTTTTGAGACACCGTTTTTGTAGAATTCCCAAGTGGATATTTAGAGCACTTTGAAGTCTCTGCTAGAAAAGGAAACATCTTTCATGTAAAAAGTAGATAGGATCGTTCTCAGAAAGTGCTTAGTGACGTGTGCGTTCAACTCACAGAGTTTAACGTTTCTTTTGATAGAGCGTTTCTGAAACACCCTTCTTGTAGTAGCTGCAAGTGGATATTTGGACCTATTTGAGGCCTTCTTTGGAAACGGGATTTCTTCATGTAACTCTAGATTGAAGAATTTTCAGAAACTCCTTTGTGATGTGTGCATTCAATTCAAAGAGTGAAACCTCCCTTTTCACAGAGCAGTTTTGAAACACTGTTTTTGTAGGATTTCCAAGGGGATATTTATAGCGCATTGAGCCTATGGCAGAAAAAGAAACATCTTCCTATAAAAACTAGACAGAATAATTCTCAGAATCTGCTTTTCGATGTGTGCGTTCAACCCACAGAGTAAAACTTTTCTTTTGATAGAGCAGTTTTGAAACACTCTTTTTGTAGTATTTGCATGTGTATATTTAGAGCGCATTGAAGCCCACAGTAGAAAAGGAAATAACTTCACCTAAAACCTAGACAGAAGCAATCTCAGAAACTACTTTGTGATGTGTACATTCAACTCACAGCAGTGGAACTTTCCTCTTTATAGAGCAGTGTTGAAACACTCTTTTTGTAGAAACTGCAAGTGGATATTTGGACCTCTTTGAGGCCTTCGTTGGAAACGGGATTTCTTCCTATAACCCTAGACAGAAGAATTTTCAGAAACCTCATTGTGATGTGTGCGTTCATCTCACAGAGTGGAGTCTTCCGTTTGATAGAGAAGTTTTGAAACCCTGTTCTTGTAGGATTTCCAAGTGGATATTTAGACCACTTTGAAGCCTATGATAGAAAAGGAAACATCTTCATGGAAAACATAGATAGAATCATTCTCAGAAACAACTTTGTGATGTGTGCGTTGAACTCACCGTCTTTAACCTTTCTTTTGGTAGAGAAGTTTTGAAACACTCTCTTTGTAAAGTCTACAAGTGGATATTTTGAGCCCTTGGAGGCATTCTTTGGAAAAGGGAATGTCTTCACATAAAAGGCAGACAGAAGTGTTCTCAGAAACTGCTTTGTGATGTCTGTGTTCAACTCACAGAGTTTAACATTTCCTTTGAGAGAGCGGTTTAGTAACACTCTCTTTGTAGAATTTGGAAGTGTATACTAAGAGCGCTTTGAGGCCTATGGTAGAAAAGGAAATATCTTCCATAAAAGCTAGACAGAAGCAATCTCAGAAACTCCTTTGTGATGTCTGCATTCAACTCACCGAGTGGAACATTCCTCTTGATAGAGCAGTTTGGAAACACTCTTTCTGTAGAATCAGCTTGTTTCTATTTGGACCTCCTTGAGGCCTTCGTTGGAAACGGGTTTTCATCTTATAAACTCAGACAGAAGAATTCTCAGAGTCTTCTTTGTGATGTGTGCTTTCAACTCACCGAGATAAAGATTTCTCTTGATAGAGCAATTTGGAAACACTCTTTTTGTAGAATTTGCAAGGGTACATTGAGAGCGCTTTCAGGCCTATGGTAGAAAAGGGAATATCTTTCCATAAAAGGTAGACAGAAGCAATCTCAGAAACTACTTTGTGATGTGTGCATTCAACTCACCGAGTGCAACATTCCTCTTGATAGAGCAGTTTGGAAACATTGTTTCTGTAGAATCTGCAAGTGGATATATGGACCGCTTTGAGGCCTTCGTTGGAAACGGGATTTCTTCCTATAAACCCAGACAGAAGAATTCTCAGAGATTTCTTTGTGATGTGTGAATTCAACTCACAGTGTGGATCCTTCCTTTTGATAGAGCAGTTTTGAAACACTGTTTTTGTAGTATTTCCAAGCGGATATTTGGAACGCCTTGAAGCGTATGGTAGAAAAGGAAATATCTTCCCATAAAACCTAGACAGAACCCATCTCAGAAACGACTTTGTGATGTCTGCATTCAACTCACAGAGTTGAACATTTCTCTTGATAGAGCAGTTTTGAAACCCTCTTTCTGAAGGATCTGCAAGTGGATATTTGGAACTCCTTTGGGTCTTCGTTGGAAACGGGATTTCTTCGTATAAATCCAGACAGAAGAATACTCCGAAACTTCTTTGGTTGTGTGCATTCAAGTCACAGAGTGGAACCTTCCTTTGGATAGAGCAGTTTGAAACGCTGTGGTTGTAGTATTTCCAAGCGGATATTAGAGCGCCTTGAAGCCTATGGTAGAAAAGGAAATATCTTCCCATAAAACCTAGACGGAAGCAATCTCAGAAACTACTGTGTGATGGCTGCATTCCACACACACGGTGGAACATTTCTCTTGATAGAGCAGTTTTGAAACACTCTTTCTGTAGAATCTGCAAGTGGATAATTGGACCGCCTTGAGGCCTTCGTTGGAAACGGGATTTCTTCATGTTACTCTAGACAGAAGAATTCTCAAACACTGCTGTGTGATGTTTGCATGCAAGTCACAGAGTGCAACATTCCTCTTGATAGAGCAGTTGGGAAACACTCCTTTTGTAGAATTTGCAATGGGATATTTGGACTTCTTTGAGGCCTTCGTTGGAAACGGGATTTCTTCGTATGAATCTAGACAGAAGAATTCTCAGAAACTTTCCTTGTGATGTGTGCATTCAACTCAGCGAGTGGCACCTTCCTTTGGATACAGCAGTTTTGAAACACTGTTTTTGTAGTATTTCCAAGCGGATATTTAGAGCGCCTTGAAGCCTATGCTAGAAATGGAAATATCTCCCCATAAAACCAAGACAGAAGCAATCTCAGAAACTAATGTGTGATGGCTGCATTCCACACACACGGTGGACCATTTCTCTTGATAGAGCAGTTTTGAAACACTCTTTCTGTAGAATCTGCAAGTGGATAATTGGACCTCCTAGAGGCCTTCGTTGGAAACGGGATTTCTTCATCTAAACCTACAGAGAAGAATTCTCAGTAACTTCTTCGGATGTGTGCATTCGACTCACAGAATGGAACATTCCCTTTGGTAGAGCAGTTTTGAGACACCGTTTTTGTAGAATTCCCAAGTGGATATTTAGAGCACTTTGAAGTCTCTGCTAGAAAAGGAAACATCTTCATGTAAAAAGTAGATAGAATCGTTCTCAGAAAGTGCTTAGTGACGTGTGCGTTCAACTCACAGAGTTTAACGTTTCTTTTGATAGAGCGTTTCTGAAACACCCTTCTTGTAGTAGCTGCAAGTGGATATTTGGACCTATTTGAGGCCTTCTTTGGAAACGGGATTTCTTCATGTAACTCTAGATTGAAGAATTTTCAGAAACTCCTTTGTGATGTGTGCATTCAATTCAAAGAGTGAAACCTCCCTTTTCACAGAGCAGTTTTGAAACACTGTTTTTGTAGGACTTCCAAGGGGATATTTATAGCGCATTGAGCCTATGGCAGAAAAAGAAACATCTTCCTATAAAAACTAGACAGAATAATTCTCAGAATCTGCTTTGCGATGTGTGCGTTCAACCCACAGAGTAAAACTTTTCTTTTGATAGAGCAGTTTTGAAACACTCTTTTTGTAGTATTTGCATGTGTATATTTAGAGCGCATTGAAGCCCAAAGTAGAAAAGGAAATAACTTCACCTAAAACCTAGACAGAAGCAATCTCAGAAACTACTTTGTGATGTGTACATTCAACTCACAGAGTGGAACTTTCCTCTTTATAGAGCAGTGTTGAAACACTCTTTTTGTAGAAACTGCAAGTGGATATTTGGACCTCTTTGAGGCCTTCGTTGGAAACGGGATTTCTTCCTATAACCCTAGACAGAAGAATTTTCAGAAACCTCATTGTGATGTGTGCGTTCATCTCACAGAGTGGAGTGTTCCGTTTGATAGAGAAGTTTTGAAACCCTGTTCTTGTAGGATTTCCAAGTGGATATTTAGACCACTTTGAAGCCTATGATAGAAAAGGAAACATCTTCATGGAAAACATAGATAGAATCATTGTCAGAAACAACTTTGTGATGTGTGCGTTGAACTCACCGTCTTTAACCTTTCTTTTGGTAGAGAAGTTTTGAAACACTCTCTTTGTAAAGTCTACAAGTGGATATTTTGAGCCCTTGGAGGCATTCTTTGGAAAAGGGAATGTCTTCACATAAAAGGCAGACAGAAGTGTTCTCAGAAACTGCTTTGTGATGTCTGTGTTCAACTCACAGAGTTTAACATTTCCTTTGAGAGAGTGGTTTAGTAACACTCTCTTTGTAGAATTTGGAAGTGTATACTAAGAGCGCTTTGAGGCCTATGGTAGAAAAGGAAATATCTTTCCATAAAAGCTAGACAGAAGCAATCTCAGAAACTCCTTTGTGATGTCTGCATTCAACTCACCGAGTGGAACATTCCTCTTGATAGAGCAGTTTGGAAACACTCTTTCTGTAGAATCAGCTTGTTTGTATTTGGACCTCCTTGAGGCCTTCGTTGGAAACGGGTTTTCATCTTATAAACCCAGACAGAAGAATTCTCAGAGTCTTCTTTGTGATGTGTGCTTTCAACTCACCGAGATAAAGATTTCTCTTGATAGAGCAATTTGGAAACACTCTTTTTGTAGAATTTGCAAGGGTACATTGAGAGCGCTTTCAGGCCTATGGTAGAAAAGGGAATATCTTTCCATCAAAGGTAGACAGAAGCAATCTCAGAAACTACTTTGTGATGTGTGCATTCAACTCACCGAGTGCAACATTCCTCTTGACCGAGCAGTTTGGAAACATTGTTTCTGTAGAATCTGCAAGTGGATATATGGACCGCTTTGAGGCCTTCGTTGGAAACGGGATTTCTTCCTATAAACCCAGACAGAAGAAATCTCAGAGACTTCTTTGTGATGTGTGAATTCAACTCACAGAGTGGATCCTTCCTTTTGATAGAGCAGTTTTCAAACACTGTTTTTATAGTATTTCCAAGCGGATATTTGGAGCGCCTTGAAGCCTATGGTAGAAAAGGAAATATCTTCCCATAAAACCAAGACAGAAGCAATCTCAGAAACTAATGTGTGATGGCTGCATTCCACACACACGGTGGACCATTTCTCTTGATAGAGCAGTTTTGAAACACTCTTTCTGTAGAATCTGCAAGTGGATAATTGGACCTCCTAGAGGCCTTCGTTGGAAACGGGATTTCTTCATCTAAACCTACAGAGAAGAATTCTCAGTAACTTCTTCGGATGTGTGCATTCGACTCACAGAATGGAACATTCCCTTTGATAGAGCAGTTTTGAGACACCGTTTTTGTAGAATTCCCAAGTGGATATTTAGAGCACTTTGAAGTCTCTGCTAGAAAAGGAAACATCTTCATGTAAAAAGTAGATAGAATCGTTCTCAGAAAGTGCTTAGTGACGTGTGTGTTCAACTCACAGAGTTTAACGTTTCTTTTGATAGAGCGTTTCTGAAACACCCTTCTTGTAGTAGCTGCAAGTGGATATTTGGACCTATTTGAGGCCTTCTTTGGAAACGGGATTTCTTCATGTAACTCTAGATTGAAGAATTTTCAGAAACTCCTTTGTGATGTGTGCATTCAATTCACAGAGTGAAACGTCCCTTTTCACAGAGCAGTTTTGAAACACTGTTTTTGTGGGATTTCCAAGGGGATATTTATAGCACATAGAGCCTACGGCAGAAAAAGAAACATCTTCCTATAAAAACTAGACAGAATAATTCTCAGAATCTGCTTTGCGATGTGTGCGTTCAACTCACAGAGTAAAACTTTTCTTTTGATAGAGCAGTTTTGAAACACTCTTTTTGTAGTATTTGCATGTGTATATTTAGAGCGCATTGAAGCCCACAGTAGAAAAGGAAATAACTTCACCTAAAACCTAGACAGAAGCAATCTCAGAAACTACTTTGTGATGTGTACATTCAACTCACAGAGTGGAACTTTCCTCTTTATAGAGCAGTGTTGAAACACTCTTTTTGTAGAAACTGCAAGTGGATATTTGGACCTCTTTGAGGCCTTCGTTGGAAACGGGATTTCTTCCTATAACCCTAGACAGAAGAATTTTCAGAAACCTCATTGTGATGTGTGCGTTCATCTCACAGAGTGGAGTCTTCCGTTTGATAGAGAAGTTTTGAAACCCTGTTCTTGTAGGATTTCCAAGTGGATATTTAGACCACTTTGAAGCCTATGATAGAAAAGGAAACATCTTCATGGAAAACATAGATAGAGTCATTCTCAGAAACAACTTTGTGATGTGTGTGTTGAACTCACAGTCTTTAACCTTTCTTTTGGTAGAGAAGTTTTGAAACACTCTCTTTGTAAAGTCTACAAGTGGATATTTTGAGCCCTTGGAGGCATTCTTTGGAAAAGGGAATGTCTTCACATAAAAGGCAGACAGAAAGTGTTCTCAGAAACTGCTTTGTGATGTCTGTGTTCAACTCACAGAGTTTAACATTTCCTTTGAGAGAGCGGTTTAGTAACACTCTCTTTGTAGAATTTGGAAGTGTATACTAAGAGCGCTTTGAGGCCTATGGTAGAAAAGGAAATATCTTTCCATAAAAGCTAGACAGAAGCAATCTCAGAAACTCCTTTGTGATGTCTGCATTCAACTCACCGAGTGGAACATTCCTCTTGATAGAGCAGTTTGGAAACACTCTTTCTGTAGAATCAGCTTGTTTGTATTTGGACCTCCTTGAGGCCTTCGTTGGAAACGGGTTTTCATCTTATAAACCCAGACAGAAGAATTCTCAGAGTCTTCTTTGTGATGTGTGCTTTCAACTCACCGAGATAAAGATTTCTCTTGATAGAGCAATTTGGAAACACTCTTTTTGTAGAATTTGCAAGGGTACATTGAGAGCGCTTTCAGGCCTATGGTAGAAAAGGGAATATCTTTCCATAAAAGGTAGACAGAAGCAATCTCAGAAACTACTTTGTGATGTGTGCATTCAACTCACCGAGTGCAACATTCCTCTTGACCGAGCAGTTTGGAAACATTGTTTCTGTAGAATCTGCAAGTGGATATATGGACCTCTTTGAGGCCTTCGTTGGAAACGGGATTTCTTCCTATAAACCCAGACAGAAGAATTCTCAGAGATTTCTTTGTGATGTGTGAATTCAACTCACAGTGTGGATCCTTCCTTTTGATAGAGCAGTTTTGAAACACCGTTTTTGTAGTATTTCCAAGCGGATATTTGGAACGCCTTGAAGCGTATGGTAGAAAAGGAAATATCTTCCCATAAAACCTAGACAGAACCAATCTCAGAAACGACTTTGTGATGCCTGCATTCAACTCACAGAGTTGAACATTTCTCTTGATAGAGCAGTTTTGAAACCCTCTTTCTGAAGGATCTGCAAGTGGATATTTGGAACTCCTTTGGGTCTTCGTTGGAAACGGGATTTCTTCGTATAAATCCAGACAGAAGAATTCTCCGAAACTTCTTTGGTTGTGTGCATTCAAGTCACAGAGTGGAACCTTCCTTTGGATAGAGCAGTTTGAAACGCTGTGGTTGTAGTATTTCCAAGCGGATATTAGAGCGCCTTGAGGCCTATGGTAGAAAAGGAAATATCTTCCCATAAAACCTAGACGGAAGCAATCTCAGAAACTACTGTGTGATGGCTGCATTCCACACACACGGTGGAACATTTCTCTTGATAGAGCAGTTTTGAAACACTCTTTCTGTAGAATCTGCAAGTGGATAATTGGACCGCCTTGAGGCCTTCGTTGGAAAGGGGATTTCTTCATGTTACTCTAGACAGAAGAATTCTCAAACACTGCTATGTGATGTTTGCATTCAAGTCACAGAGTGCAACATTCCTCTTGATAGAGCAGTTGGGAAACACTCCTTTTGTAGAATTTGCAATGGGATATTTGGACTTCTTTGAGGCCTTCGTTGGAAACGGGATTTCTTCGTATGAATCTAGACAGAAGAATTCTCAGAAACTTCCTTGTGATGTGTGCATTCAACTCAGCGAGTGGCACCTTCCTTTGGATACAGCAGTTTTGAAACACTGTTTTTGTAGTATTTCCAAGCGGATATTTAGAGCGCCTTGAAGCCTATGCTAGAAATGGAAATATCTCCCCATAAAACCAAGACAGAAGCAATCTCAGAAACTAATGTGTGATGGCTGCATTCCACACACACGGTGGACCATTTCTCTTGATAGAGCAGTTTTGAAACACTCTTTCTGTAGAATCTGCAAGTGGATAATTGGACCTCCTAGAGGCCTTCGTTGGAAACGGGATTTCTTCATCTAAACCTACAGAGAAGAATTCTCAGTAACTTCTTCGGATGTGTGCATTCGACTCACAGAATGGAACATTCCCTTTGATAGAGCAGTTTTCAGACACCGTTTTTGTAGAATTCCCAAGTGGATATTTAGAGCACTTTGAAGTCTCTGCTAGAAAAGGAAACATCTTCATGTAAAAAGTAGATAGAATCGTTCTCAGAAAGTGCTTAGTGACGTGTGCGTTCAACTCACAGAGTTTAACGTTTCTTTTGATAGAGCGTTTCTGAAACACCCTTCTTGTAGTAGCTGCAAGTGGATATTTGGACCTATTTGAGGCCTTCTTTGGAAACGGGATTTCTTCATGTAACTCTAGATTGAAGAATTTTCAGAAACTCCTTTGTGATGTGTGCATTCAATTCAAAGAGTGAAACCTCCCTTTTCACAGAGCAGTTTTGAAACACTGTTTTTGTAGGATTTCCAAGGGGATATTTATAGCGCATTGAGCCTATGGCAGAAAAAGAAACATCTTCCTATAAAAACTAGACAGAATAATTCTCAGAATCTGCTTTGCGATGTGTGCATTCAACCCACAGAGTAAAACTTTTCTTTTGATAGAGCAGTTTTCAAACGCTCTTTTTGTAGTATTTGCATGTGTATATTTAGAGCGCATTGAAGCCCACAGTAGAAAAGGAAATAACTTCACCTAAAACCTAGACAGAAGCAATCTCAGAAACTACTTTGTGATGTGTACATTCAACTCACAGAGTGGAACTTTCCTCTTTATAGAGCAGTGTTGAAACACTCTTTTTGTAGAAACTGCAAGTGGATATTTGGACCTCTTTGAGGCCTTCGTTGGAAACGGGATTTCTTCCTATAACCCTAGACAGAAGAATTTTCAGAAACCTCATTGTGATGTGTGCGTTCATCTCACAGAGTGGAGTCTTCCGTTTGATAGAGAAGTTTTGAAACCCTGTTCTTGTAGGATTTCCAAGTGGATATTTAGACCACTTTGAAGCCTATGATAGAAAAGGAAACATCTTCATGGAAAACATAGATAGAATCATTCTCAGAAACAACTTTGTGATGTGTGCGTTGAACTCACCGTCTTTAACCTTTCTTTTGGTAGAGAAGTTTTGAAACACTCTCTTTGTAAAGTCTACAAGTGGATATTTTGAGCCCTTGGAGGCATTCTTTGGAAAAGGGAATGTCTTCACATAAAAGGCAGACACAAGTGTTCTCAGAAACTGCTTTGTGATGTCTGTGTTCAACTCACAGAGTTTAACATTTCCTTTGAGAGAGCGGTTTAGTAACACTCTCTTTGTAGAATTTGGAAGTGTATACTAAGAGCGCTTTGAGGCCTATGGTAGAAAAGGAAATATCTTTCCATAAAAGCTAGACAGAAGCAATCCCAGAAACTCCTTTGTGATGTCTGCATTCAACTCACCGAGTGGAACATTCCTCTTGATAGAGCAGTTTGGAAACACTCTTTCTGTAGAATCAGCTTGTTTGTATTTGGACCTCCTTGAGGCCTTCGTTGGAAACGGGTTTTCCTCTTATAAACCCAGACAGAAGAATTCTCAGAGTCTTCTTTGTGATGTGTGCTTCCAACTCACCGAGATAAAGATTTCTCTTGATAGAGCAATTTGGAAACACTCTTTTTGTAGAATTTGCAAGGGTACATTGAGAGCGCTTTCAGGCCTATGGTAGAAAAGGGAATATCTTTCCATAAAAGGTAGACAGAAGCAATCTCAGAAACTACTTTGTGATGTGTGCATTCAACTCACCGATTGCAACGTTCCTCTTGATAGAGCAGTTTGGAAACATTGTTTCTGTAGAATCTGCAAGTGGATATTTGGACCTCTTTGAGGCCTTCGTTGGAAACGGGATTTCTTCCTATAAACCCAGACAGAAGAATTCTCAGAGACTTCTTTGTGATGTGTGAATTCAACTCACAGTGTGGATCCTTCCTTTTGATAGAGCAGTTTTGAAACACTGTTTTTGTAGTATTTCCAAGCGGATATTTGGAACGCCTTGAAGCGCATGGTAGAAAAGGAAATATCTTCCCATAAAACCTAGACAGAACCAATCTCAGAAACGACTTTGTGATGTCTGCATTCAACTCACAGTAGTTGAACATTTCTCTTGATAGAGCAGTTTTGAAACCCTCTTTCTGAAGGATCTGCAAGTGGATATTTGGAACTCCTTTGGGTCTTCGTTGGAAACGGGATTTCTTCGTATAAATCTAGACAGAAGAATTCTCCGAAACTTCTTTGGTTGTGTGCATTCAAGTCACAGAGTGGAACCTTCCTTTGGATAGAGCAGTTTGAAACGCTGTGGTTGTAGTATTTCCAAGCGGATATTAGAGCGCCTTGAAGCCTATGGTAGAAAAGGAAATATCTTCCCATAAAACCTAGACGGAAGCAATCTCAGAAACTACTGTGTGATGGCTGCATTCCACACACACGGTGGAACATTTCTCTTGATAGAGCAGTTTTGAAACACTCTTTCTGTAGAATCTGCAAGTGGATAATTGGACCGACTTGAGGCCTTCGTTGGAAACGGGATTTCTTCATGTTACTCTAGACAGAAGAATTCTCAAACACTGCTATGTGATGTTTGCATTCAAGTCACAGAGTGCAACATTCCTCTTGATAGAGCAGTTGGGAAACACTCCTTTTGTAGAATTTGCAATGGGATATTTGGACTTCTTTGAGGCCTTCGTTGGAAACGGGATTTCTTCGTATGAATCTAGACAGAAGAATTCTCAGAAACTTCCTTGTGATGTGTGCATTCAACTCAGCGAGTGGCACCTTCCTTTGGATACAGCAGTTTTGAAACACTGTTTTTGTAGTATTTCCAAGCGGATATTTAGAGCGCCTTGAAGCCTATGCTAGAAATGGAAATATCTCCCCATAAAACCAAGACAGAAGCAATCTCAGAAACTAATGTGTGATGGCTGCATTCCACACACACGGTGGACCATTTCTCTTGATAGAGCAGTTTTGAAACACTCTTTCTGTAGAATCTGCAAGTGGATAATTGGACCTCCTAGAGGCCTTCGTTGGAAACGGGATTTCTTCATCTAAACCTACAGAGAAGAATTCTCAGTAACTTCTTCGGATGTGTGCATTAGACTCACAGAATGGAACATTCCCTTTGGTAGAGCAGTTTTGAGACACCGTTTTTGTAGAATTCCAAAGTGGATATTTAGAGCACTTTGAAGTCTCTGCTAGAAAAGGAAACATCTTCATGTAAAAAGTAGATAGAATCGTTCTCAGAAAGTGCTTAGTGACGTGTGCGTTCAACTCACAGAGTTTAACGTTTCTTTTGATAGAGCGTTTCTGAAACACCCTTCTTGTAGTAGCTGCAAGTGGATATTTGGACCTATTTGAGGCCTTCTTTGGAAACGGGATTTCTTCATGTAACTCTAGATTGAAGAATTTTCAGAAACTCCTTTGTGAAGTGTGCATTCAATTCAAAGAGTGAAACCTCCCCTTTTCACAGAGCAGTTTTGAAACACTGTTTTTGTAGGATTTCCAAGGGGATATTTATAGCGCATTGATCCTATGGCAGAAAAAGAAACATCTTCCTATAAAAACTAGACAGAATAATTCTCAGAATCTGCTTTGCGATGTGTGAGTTCAACCCACAGAGTAAAACTTTTCTTTTGATAGAGCGGTTTTGAAACACTCTTTTTGTAGTATTTGCATGTGTATATTTAGAGCGCATTGAAGCCCACAGTAGAAAAGGAAATAACTTCACCTAAAACCTAGACAGAAGCAATCTCAGAAACTACTTTGTGATGTGTACATTCAACTCAGAGAGTGGAACTTTCCCCTTTACAGAGCAGTGTTGAAACACTCTTTTTGTAGAAACTGCAGGTGGATATTTGGACCTCTTTGAGGCCTTCGTTGGAAACGGGTTTCTTCCTATAACCATAGACAGAAGAATTTTGAGAAACCTCATTGTGATGTGTGCGTTCATCTCACAGAGTGGTGTCTTCCGTTTGATAGAGAAGTTTTGAAACCCTGTTCTTGTAGGATTTCCAAGTGGATATTTAGACCACTTTGAAGCCTATGATAGAAAAGGAAACATCTTCATGGAAAACATAGATAAAGTCATTCTCAGAAACAACTTTGTGATGTGTGTGTTGAACTCACAGTCTTTAACCTTTCTTTTGGTAGAGAAGTTTTGAAACACTCTCTTTGTAAAGTCTACAAGTGGATATTTTGAGCCCTTGGAGGCATTCATTGGAAAAGGGAATGTCTTCACATAAAAGGCAGACAGAAGTGTTCTCAGAAGCTGCTTTGTGATGTCTGTGTTCAACTCACAGAGTTTAACATTTCCTGTGATAGAGCGGTTTAGTAACCCTCTCTTTGTAGAATTTGGAAGTGTATACTAAGAGCGCTTTGAGGCCTATGGTAGAAAAGGAAATAACTTTCCATAAAAGCTAGACAGAAGCAATCTCAGAAACTCCTTTGTGATGTCTGCATTCAACTCACCGAGTGGAACATTCCTCTTGATAGAGCAGTTTGGAAACACTCTTTCTGTAGAATCAGCTTGTTTGTATTTGGACCTCCTTGAGGCCTTCGTTGGAAACGGGTTTTCATCTTATAAACCCAGACAGAAGAATTCTCAGAGTCTTCTTTGTGATGTGTGCTTTCAACTCACCGAGATAAAGATTTCTCTTGATAGAGCAATTTGGAAACACTCTTTTTGTAGAATTTGCAAGGGTACATTGAGAGCGCTTTCAGGCCTATGGTAGAAAAGGGAATATCTTTCCATCAAAGGTAGACAGAAGCAATCTCAGAAACTACTTTGTCATGTGTGCATTCAACTCACCGAGTGCAACATTCCCCTTGATAGAGCAGTTTGGAAACATTGTTTCTGTAGAATCTGCAAGTGGATATATGGACCGCTTTGAGGCCTTCGTTGGAAACGGGATTTCTTCCTATAAACCCAGACAGAAGAATTCTCAGAGATTTCTTTGTGATGTGTGAATTCAACTCACAGTGTGGATCCTTCCTTTTGATAGAGCAGTTTTGAAACACTGTTTTTGTAGTATTTCCAAGCGGATATTTGGAACGCCTTGAAGCGTATGGTAGAAAAGGAAATATCTTCCCATAAAACCTAGACAGAACCCATCTCAGAAACGACTTTGTGATGTCTGCATTCAACTCACAGAGTTGAACATTTCTCTTGATAGAGCAGTTTTGAAACCCTCTTTCTGAAGGATCTGCAAGTGGATATTTGGAACTCCTTTGGGTCTTCGTTGGAAACGGGATTTCTTCGTATAAATCTAGACAGAAGAATTCTCCGAAACTTCTTTGGTTGTGTGCATTCAAGTCACAGAGTGGAACCTTCCTTTGGATAGAGCAGTTTGAAACGCTGTGGTTGTAGTATTTCCAAGCGGATATTAGAGCGCCTTGAGGCCTATGGTAGAAAAGGAAATATCTTCCCATAAAACCTAGACGGAAGCAATCTCAGAAACTACTGTGTGATGGCTGCATTCCACACACACGGTGGAACATTTCTCTTGATAGAGCAGTTTTGAAACACTCTTTCTGTAGAATCTGCAAGTGGATAATTGGACCGCCTTGAGGCCTTCGTTGGAAACGGGATTTCTTCATGTTACTACTAGACAGAAGAATTCTCAAACACTGCTGTGTGATGTTTGCATTCAAGTCACAGAGTGCAACATTCCTCTTGATAGAGCAGTTGGGAAACACTCCTTTTGTAGAATTTGCAATGGGATATTTGGACTTCTTTGAGGCCTTCGTTGGAAACGGGATTTCTTCGTATGAATCTAGACAGAAGAATTCTCAGAAACTTCCTTGTGATGTGTGCATTCAACTCAGCGAGTGGCACCTTCCTTTGGATACAGCAGTTTTGAAACACTGTTTTTGTAGTATTTCCAAGCGGATATTTAGAGCGCCTTGAAGCCTATGCTAGAAATGGAAATATCTCCCCATAAAACCAAGACAGAAGCAATCTCAGAAACTAATGTGTGATGGCTGCATTCCACACACACGGTGGACCATTTCTCTTGATAGAGCAGTTTTGAAACACTCTTTCTGTAGAATCTGCAAGTGGATAATTGGACCTCCTAGAGGCCTTCGTTGGAAACGGGATTTCTTCATCTAAACCTACAGAGAAGAATTCTCAGTAACTTCTTCGGATGTGTGCATTCGACTCACAGAATGGAACATTCCGTTTGATAGAGCAGTTTTGAGACACCGTTTTTGTAGAATTCCCAAGTGGATATTTAGAGCACTTTGAAATCTCTGCTAGAAAAGGAAACATCTTCATGTAAAAAGTAGATAGAATCGTTCTCAGAAAGTGCTTAGTGACGTGTGCGTTCAACTCACAGAGTTTAACGTTTCTTTTGATAGACCGTTTCTGAAACACCCTTCTTGTAGTAGCTGCAAGTGGATATTTGGACCTATTTGAGGCCTTCTTTGGAAACGGGATTTCTTCATGTAACTCTAGTTTGAAGAATTTTCAGAAACTCCTTTGTGATGTGTGCATTCAATTCAAAGAGTGAAACCTCCCTTTTCACAGAGCAGTTTTGAAACACTGTTTTTGTAGGATTTCCAAGGGGATATTTATAGCGCATTGATCCTATGGCAGAAAAAGAAACATCTTCCTATAAAAACTAGACAGAATAATTCTCAGAATCTGCTTTGCGATGTGTGCGTTCAACTCACAGAGTAAAACTTTTCTTTTGATAGAGCAGTTTTGAAACACTCTTTTTGTAGTATTTGCATGTGTATATTTAGAGCGCATTGAAGCCCACAGTAGAAAAGGAAATAACTTCACCTAAAACCTAGACAGAAGCAATCTCAGAAACTCCTTTGTGATGTGTACATTCAACTCACAGAGTGGAACTTTCCTCTTTATAGAGCAGTGATGAAACACTCTTTTTGTAGAAACTGCAAGTGGATATTTGGACCTCTTTGAGGCCTTCGTTGGAAACGGGATTTCTTCCTATAACCCTAGACAGAAGAATTTTCAGAAACCTCATTGTGATGTGTGCGTTCATCTCACAGAGTGGAGTCTTCCGTTTGATAGAGAAGTTTTGAAACCCTGTTCTTGTAGGATTTCCAAGTGGATATTTAGACCACTTTGAAGCCTATGATAGAAAAGGAAACATCTTCATGGAAAACATAGATAGAGTCATTCTCAGAAACAACTTTGTGATGTGTGCGTTGAACTCACAGTCTTTAACCTTTCTTTTGGTAGAGAAGTTTTGAAACACTCTCTTTGTAAAGTCTACAAGTGGATATTTTGAGCCCTTGGAGGCATTCTTTGGAAAAGGGAATGTCTTCACATAAAAGGCAGACAGAAGTGTTCTCAGAAACTGCTTTGTGATGTCTGTGTTCAACTCACAGAGTTTAACATTTCCTGTGATAGAGCGGTTTAGTAACCCTCTCTTTGTAGAATTTGGAAGTGTATACTAAGAGCGCTTTGAGGCCTATGGTAGAAAAGGAAATATCTTTCCATAAAAGCTGGACAGAAGCAATCTCAGAAACTCCTTTGTGATGTCTGCATTCAACTCACCGAGTGGAACATTCCTCTTGATAGAGCAGTTTGGAAACACTCTTTCTGTAGAATCAGCTTGTTTGTATTTGGACCTCCTTGAGGCCTTCGTTGGAAACGGGTTTTCATCTTATAAACCCAGACAGAAGAATTCTCAGAGTCTTCTTTGTGATGTGTGCTTTCAACTCACCGAGATAAAGATTTCTCTTGATAGAGCAATTTGGAAACACTCTTTTTGTAGAATTTGCAAGGGTACATTGAGAGCGCTTTCAGGCCTATGGTAGAAAAGGGAATATCTTTCCATAAAAGGTAGACAGAAGCAATCTCAGAAACTACTTTGTCATGTGTGCATTCAACTCACCGAGTGCAACATTCCTCTTGATAGAGCAGTTTGGAAACATTGTTTCTGTAGAATCTGCAAGTGGATATATGGACCGCTTTGAGGCCTTCGTTGGAAACGGGATTTCTTCCTATAAACCCAGACAGAAGAATTCTCAGAGATTTCTTTGTGATGTGTGAATTCAACTCACAGTGTGGATCCTTCCTTTTGATAGAGCAGTTTTGAAACACTGTTTTTGTAGTATTTCCAAGCGGATATTTGGAACGCCTTGAAGCGTATGGTAGAAAAGGAAATATCTTCCCATAAAACCTAGACAGAACCCATCTCAGAAACGACTTTGTGATGTCTGCATTCAACTCACAGAGTTGAACATTTCTCTTGATAGAGCAGTTTTGAAACCCTCTTTCTGAAGGATCTGCAAGTGGATATTTGGAACTCCTTTGGGTCTTCGTTGGAAACGGGATTTCTTCGTATAAATCCAGACAGAAGAATTCTCCGAAACTTCTTTGGTTGTGTGCATTCAAGTCACAGAGTGGAACCTTCCTTTGGATAGAGCAGTTTGAAACGCTCTGGTTGTAGTATTTCCAAGCGGATATTAGAGCGCCTTGAGGCCTATGGTAGAAAAGGAAATATCTTCCCATAAAACCTAGACGGAAGCAATCTCAGAAACTACTGTGTGATGGCTGCATTCCACACACACGGTGGAACATTTCTCTTGATAGAGCAGTTTTGAAACACTCTTTCTGTAGAATCTGCAAGTGGATAATTGGACCGCCTTGAGGCCTTCGTTGGAAACGGGATTTCTTCATGTTACTACTAGACAGAAGAATTCTCAAACACTGCTGTGTGATGTTTGCATTCAAGTCACAGAGTGCAACATTCCTCTTGATAGAGCAGTTGGGAAACACTCCTTTTGTAGAATTTGCAATGGGATATTTGGACTTCTTTGAGGCCTTCGTTGGAAACGGGATTTCTTCGTATGAATCTAGACAGAAGAATTCTCAGAAACTTCCTTGTGATGTGTGCATTCAACTCAGCGAGTGGCACCTTCCTTTGGATACAGCAGTTTTGAAACACTGTTTTTGTACTATTTCCAAGCGGATATTTAGAGCGCCTTGAAGCCTATGCTAGAAATGGAAATATCTCCCCATAAAACCAAGACAGAAGCAATCTCAGAAACTAATGTGTGATGGCTGCATTCCACACACACGGTGGACCATTTCTCTTGATAGAGCAGTTTTGAAACACTCTTTCTGTAGAATCTGCAAGTGGATAATTGGACCTCCTAGAGGCCTTCGTTGGAAACGGGATTTCTTCATCTAAACCTACAGAGAAGAATTCTCAGTAACTTCTTCGGATGTGTGCATTCGACTCACAGAATGGAACATTCCGTTTGATAGAGCAGTTTTGAGACACCGTTTTTGTAGAATTCCCAAGTGGATATTTAGAGCACTTTGAAGTCTCTGCTAGAAAAGGAAACATCTTCATGTAAAAAGTAGATAGAATCGTTCTCAGAAAGTGCTTAGTGACGTGTGTGTTCAACTCACAGAGTTTAACGTTTCTTTTGATAGAGCGTTTCTGAAACACCCTTCTTGTAGTAGCTGCAAGTGGATATTTGGACCTATTTGAGGCCTTCTTTGGAAACGGGATTTCTTCATGTAACTCTAGTTTGAAGAATTTTCAGAAACTCCTTTGTGATGTGTGCATTCAATTCAAAGAGTGAAACCTCCCTTTTCACAGAGCAGTTTTGAAACACTGTTTTTGTAGGGTTTCCAAGGGGATATTTATAGCGCATTGAGCCTACGGCAGAAAAAGAAACATCTTCCTATAAAAACTAGACAGAATAATTCTCAGAATCTGCTTTGCGATGTGTGCGTTCAACTCACAGAGTAAAACTTTTCTTTTGATAGAGCAGTTTTGAAACACTCTTTTTGTAGTATTTGCATGTGTATATTTAGAGCGCATTGAAGCCCACAGTAGAAAAGGAAATAACTTCACCTAAAACCTAGACAGAAGCAATCTGAGAAACTACTTTGTGATGTGTACATTCAACTCACAGAGTGGAACTTTCCTCTTTATAGAGCAGTGTTGAAACACTCTTTTTGTAGAAACTGCAAGTGGATATTTGGACCTCTTTGAGGCCTTCGTTGGAAACGGGATTTCTTCCTATAACCCTAGACAGAAGAATTTTCAGAAACCTCATTGTGATGTGTGCGTTCATCTCACAGAGTGGAGTCTTCCGTTTGATAGAGAAGCTTTGAAACCCTGTTCTTGTAGGATTTCCAAGTGGATATTTAGACCACTTTGAAGCCTATGATAGAAAAGGAAACATCTTCATGGAAAACATAGATAGAATCATTCTCAGAAACAACTTTGTGATGTGTGCATTGAACTCACCGTCTTTAACCTTTCTTTTGGTAGAGAAGTTTTGAAACACTCTCTTTGTAAAGTCTACAAGTGGATATTTTGAGCCCTTGGAGGCATTCTTTGGAAAAGGGAATGTCTTCACATAAAAGGCAGACAGAAGTGTTCTCAGAAACTGCTTTGTGATGTCTGTCGTTCAACTCACAGAGTTTAACATTTCCTTTGAGAGAGCGGTTTAGTAACACTCTCTTTGTAGAATTTGGAAGTGTATACTAAGAGCGCTTTGAGGCCTATGGTAGAAAAGGAAATATCTTTCCATAAAAGCTAGACAGAAGCAATCTCAGAAACTCCTTTGTGATGTCTGCATTCAACTCACCGAGTGGAACATTCCTCTTGATAGAGCAGTTTGGAAACACTCTTTCTGTAGAATCAGCTTGTTTGTATTTGGACCTCCTTGAGGCCTTCGTTGGAAACGGGTTTTCATCTTATAAACCCAGGCAGAAGAATTCTCAGAGTCTTCTTTGTGATGTGTGCTTTCAACTCACCGAGATAAAGATTTCTCTTGATAGAGCAATTTGGAAACACTCTTTTTGTAGAATTTGCAAGGGTACATTGAGAGCGCTTTCAGGCCTATGGTAGAAAAGGGAATATCTTTCCATAAAAGGTAGACAGAAGCAATCTCAGAAACTACTTTGTGATGTGTGCATTCAACTCACCGAGTGCAACATTCCTCTTGACTGAGCAGTTTGGAAACATTGTTTCTGTAGAATCTGCAAGTGGATATTTGGACCTCTTTGAGGCCTTCGTTGGAAACGGGATTTCTTCCTATAAACCCAGACAGAAGAATTCTCAGAGACTTCTTTGTGATGTGTGAATTCAACTCACAGTGTGGATCCTTCCTTTTGATAGAGCAGTTTTGAAACACCGTTTTTGTAGTATTTCCAAGCGGATATTTGGAACGCCTTGAAGCGTATGGTAGAAAAGGAAATATCTTCCCATAAAACCTAGACAGAACCAATCTCAGAAACGACTTTGTGATGTCTGCATTCAACTCACAGAGTTGAACATTTCTCTTGATAGAGCAGTTTTGAAACCCTCTTTCTGAAGGATCTGCAAGTGGATATTTGGAACTCCTTTGGGTCTTCGTTGGAAACGGGATTTCTTCGTATAAATCTAGACAGAAGAATTCTCCGAAACTTCTTTGGTTGTGTGCATTCAAATCACAGAGTGGAACCTTCCTTTGGATAAAGCAGTTTGAAACGCTGTGGTTGTAGTATTTCCAAGCGGATATTAGAGCGCCTTGAGGCCTATGGTAGAAAAGGAAATATCTTCCATTAAAACCTAGACGGAAGCAATCTCAGAAACTACTGTGTGATGGCTGCATTCCACACACACGGTGGAACATTTCTCTTGATAGAGCAGTTTTGAAACACTCTTTCTGTAGAATCTGCAAGTGGATAATTGGACCGCCTTGAGGCCTTCGTTGGAAACGGGATTTCTTCATGTTACTCTAGACAGAAGAATTCTCAAACACTGCTATGTGATGTTTGCATTCAAGTCACAGAGTGCAACATTCCTCTTGATAGAGCAGTTGGGAAACACTCCTTTTGTAGAATTTGCAATGGGATATTTGGACTTCTTTGAGGCCTTCGTTGGAAACGGGATTTCTTCGTATGAATCTAGACAGAAGAATTCTCAGAAACTTCCTTGTGATGTGTGCATTCAACTCAGCGAGTGGCACCTTCCTTTGGATACAGCAGTTTTGAAACACTGTTTTTGTAGTATTTCCAAGCGGATATTTAGAGCGCCTTGAAGCCTATGCTAGAAATGGAAATATCTCCCCATAAAACCAAGACAGAAGCAATCTCAGAAACTAATGTGTGATGGCTGCATTCCACACACACGGTGGACCATTTCTCTTGATAGAGCAGTTTTGAAACACTCTTTCTGTAGAATCTGCAAGTGGATAATTGGACCTCCTAGAGGCCTTCGTTGGAAACGGGATTTCTTCATCTAAACCTACAGAGAAGAATTCTCAGTAACTTCTTCGGATGTGTGCATTCGACTCACAGAATGGAACATTCCCTTTGATAGAGCAGTTTTGAGACACCGTTTTTGTAGAATTCCCAAGTGGATATTTAGAGCACTTTGAAGTCTCTGCTAGAAAAGGAAACATCTTCATGTAAAAAGTAGATAGAATCGTTCTCAGAAAGTGCTTAGTGACGTGTGCGTTCAACTCACAGAGTTTAACGTTTCTTTTGATAGAGCGTTTCTGAAACACCCTTCTTGTAGTAGCTGCAAGTGGATATTTGGACCTATTTGAGGCCTTCTTTGGAAACGGGATTTCTTCATGTAACTACTAGTTTGAAGAATTTTCAGAAACTCCTTTGTGATGTGTGCATTCAATTCAAAGAGTGAAACGTCCCTTTTCACAGAGCAGTTTTGAAACACTGTTTTTGTAGGATTTCCAAGGGGATATTTATAGCGCATTGAGCCTACGGCAGAAAAAGTAACATCTTCCTATAAAAACTAGACAGAATAATTCTCAGAATCTGCTTTGCGATGTGTGCGTTCAACCCACAGAGTAAAACTTTTCTTTTGATAGAGCAGTTTTGAAACACTCTTTTTGTAGTATTTGCATGTATATATTTAGAGCGCATTGAAGCCCACAGTAGAAAAGGAAATAACTTCACCTAAAACCTAGACAGAAGCAATCTCAGAAACTACTTTGTGATGTGTACATTCAACTCACAGAGTGGAACTTTCCTCTTTATAGAGCAGTGTTGAAACACTCTTTTTGTAGAAACTGCAAGTGGATATTTGGACCTCTTTGAGGCCTTCGTTGGAAACGGGATTTCTTCCTATAACCCTAGACAGAAGAATTTTCAGAAACCTCATTGGGATGTGTGCGTTCATCTCACAGAGTGGAGTCTTCCGTTTGATAGAGAAGTTTTGAAACCCTGTTCTTGTAGGATTTCCAAGTGGATATTTAGACCACTTTGAAGCCTATGATAGAAAAGGAAACATCTTTCATGGAAAACATAGATAGAATCATTCTCAGAAACAACTTTGTGATGTGTGCCGTTGAACTCACCGTCTTTAACCTTTCTTTTGGTAGAGAAGTTTTGAAACACTCTCTTTGTAAAGTCTACAAGTGGATATTTTGAGCCCTTGGAGGCATTCTTTGGAAAAGGGAATGTCTTCACATAAAAGGCAGACAGAAGTGTTCTCAGAAACTGCTTTGTGATGTCTGTGTTCAACTCACAGAGTTTAACATTTCCTTTGAGAGAGCGGTTTAGTAACACTCTCTTTGTAGAATTTGGAAGTGTATACTAAGAGCGCTTTGAGGCCTATGGTAGAAAAGGAAATATCTTTCCATAAAAGCTAGACAGAAGCAATCTCAGAAACTCCTTTGTGATATCTGCATTCAATTCACCGAGTGGAACATTCCTCTTGATAGAGCAGTTTGGAAACACTCTTTCTGTAGAATCAGCTTGTTTGTATTTGGACCTCCTTGAGGCCTTCGTTGGAAACGGGTTTTCATCTTATAAACCCAGACAGAAGAATTCTCAGAGTCTTCTTTGTGATGTGTGCTTTCAACTCACCGAGATAAAGATTTCTCTTGATAGAGCAATTTGGAAACACTCTTTTTGTAGAATTTGCAAGGGTACATTGAGAGCGCTTTCAGGCCTATGGTAGAAAAGGGAATATCTTTCCATAAAAGGTAGACAGAAGCAATCTCAGAAACTACTTTGTGATGTGTGCATTCAACTCACCGAGTGCAACATTCCTCTTGACCGAGCAGTTTGGAAACATTGTTTCTGTAGAATCTGCAAGTGGATATATGGACCGCTTTGAGGCCTTCGTTGGAAACGGGATTTCTTCCTATAAACCCAGACAGAAGAATTCTCAGAGACTTCTTTGTGATGTGTGAATTCAACTCACAGTGTGGATCCTTCCTTTTGATAGAGCAGTTTTGAAACACTGTTTTTGTAGTATTTCCAAGCGGATATTTGGAACGCCTTGAAGCGTATGGTAGAAAAGGAAATATCTTCCCATAAAACCTAGACAGAACCCATCTCAGAAACGACTTTGTGATGTCTGCATTCAACTCACAGAGTTGAACATTTCTCTTGATAGAGCAGTTTTGAAACCCTCTTTCTGAAGGATCTGCAAGTGGATATTTGGAACTCCTTTGGGTCTTCGTTGGAAACGGGATTTCTTCGTATAAATCCAGACAGAAGAATTCTCCGAAACTTCTTTGGTTGTGTGCATTCAAGTCACAGAGTGGAACCTTCCTTTGGATAGAGCAGTTTGAAACGCTGTGGTTGTAGTATTTCCAAGCGGATATTAGAGCGCCTTGAAGCCTATGGTAGAAAAGGAAATATCTTCCCATAAAACCAGACGGAAGCAATCTCAGAAACTACTGTGTGATGGCTGCATTCCACACACACGGTGGAACATTTCTCTTGATAGAGCAGTTTTGAAACACTCTTTCTGTAGAATCTGCAAGTGGATAATTGGACCGCCTTGAGGCCTTCGTTGGAAACGGGATTTCTTCATGTTACTCTAGACAGAAGAATTCTCAAACACTGCTATGTGATGTTTGCATTCAAGTCACAGAGTGCAACATTCCTCTTGATAGAGCAGTTGGGAAACACTCCTTTTGTAGAATTTGCAATGGGATATTTGGACTTCTTTGAGGCCTTCGTTGGAAACGGGATTTCTTCGTATGAATCTAGACAGAAGAATTCTCAGAAACTTCCTTGTGATGTGTGCATTCAACTCAGCGAGTGGCACCTTCCTTTGGATACAGCAGTTTTGAAACACTGTTTTTGTAGTATTTCCAAGCGGATATTTAGAGCGCCTTGAAGCCTATGCTAGAAATGGAAATATCTCCCCATAAAACCAAGACAGAAGCAATCTCAGAAACTAATGTGTGATGGCTGCATTCCACACACACGGTGGACCATTTCTCTTGATAGAGCAGTTTTGAAACACTCTTTCTGTAGAATCTGCAAGTGGATAATTGGACCTCCTAGAGGCCTTCGTTGGAAACGGGATTTCTTCATCTAAACCTACAGAGAAGAATTCTCAGTAACTTCTTCGGATGTGTGCATTCGACTCACAGAATGGAACATTCCGTTTGATAGAGCAGTTTTGAGACACCGTTTTCGTAGAATTCCCAAGTGGATATTTAGAGCACTTTGAAGTCTCTGCTAGAAAAGGAAACATCTTCATGTAAAAAGTAGATAGAATCGTTCTCAGAAAGTGGTTAGTGACGTGTGTGTTCAACTCACAGAGTTTAACGTTTCTTTTGATAGAGCGTTTCTGAAACACCCTGCTTGTAGTAGCTGCAAGTGGATATTTGGACCTATTTGAGGCCTTCTTTGGAAACGGGATTTCTTCATGTAACTCTAGTTTGAAGAATTTTCAGAAACTCCTTTGTGATGTGTGCATTCAATTCAAAGAGTGAAACCTCCCTTTTCACAGAGCAGTTTTGAAACACTGTTTTTGTAGGATTTCCAAGGGGATATTTATAGCGCATTGAGCCTACGGCAGAAAAAGAAACATCTTCCTATAAAAACTAGACAGAATAATTCTCAGAATCTGCTTTGCGATGTGTGCGTTCAACCCACAGAGTAAAACTTTTCTTTTGATAGAGCAGTTTTGAAACACTCTTTTTGTAGTATTTGCATGTGTATATTTAGAGCGCATTGAAGCCCAAAGTAGAAAAGGAAATAACTTCACCTAAAACCTAGACAGAAGCAATCTCAGAAACTACTTTGTGATGTGTACATTCAACTCACAGAGTGGAACTTTCCTCTTTATAGAGCAGTGTTGAAACACTCTTTTTGTAGAAACTGCAAGTGGATATTTGGACCTCTTTGAGGCCTTCGTTGGAAACGGGATTTCTTCCTATAACCCTAGACAGAAGAATTTTCAGAAACCTCATTGTGA
Source organism: Homo sapiens (assembly GCF_000001405.40). NCBI lineage: Eukaryota > Metazoa > Chordata > Mammalia > Primates > Hominidae > Homo > Homo sapiens. Next base: position 59,595,748 of record NC_000006.12, read on the forward strand.
TGTGTGCGTTCATCTCACAGAGTGGAGTCTTCCGTTTGATAGAGAAGTTTTGAAACCCTGTTCTTGTAGGATTTCCAAGTGGATATTTAGACCACTTTGAAGCCTATGATAGAAAAGGAAACATCTTCATGGAAAACATAGATAGAATCATTCTCAGAAACAACTTTGTGATGTGTGCGTTGAACTCACCGTCTTTAACCTTTCTTTTGGTAGAGAAGTTTTGAAACACTCTCTTTGTAAAGTCTACAAGTGGATATTTTGAGCCCTTGGAGGCATTCTTTGGAAAAGGGAATGTCTTCACATAAAAGGCAGACAGAAGTGTTCTCAGAAACTGCTTTGTGATGTCTGTGTTCAACTCACAGAGTTTAACATTTCCTTTGAGAGAGCGGTTTAGTAACACTCTCTTTGTAGAATTTGGAAGTGTATACTAAGAGCGCTTTGAGGCCTATGGTAGAAAAGGAAATATCTTTCCATAAAAGCTAGACAGAAGCAATCTCAGAAACTCCTTTGTGATGTCTGCATTCAACTCACCGAGTGGAACATTCCTCTTGATAGAGCAGTTTGGAAACACTCTTTCTGTAGAATCAGCTTGTTTGTATTTGGACCTCCTTGAGGCCTTCGTTGGAAACGGGTTTTCATCTTATAAACCCAGACAGAAGAATTCTCAGAGTCTTCTTTGTGATGTGTGCTTTCAACTCACCGAGATAAAGATTTCTCTTGATAGAGCAATTTGGAAACACTCTTTTTGTAGAATTTGCAAGGGTACATTGAGAGCGCTTTCAGGCCTATGGTAGAAAAGGGAATATCTTTCCATAAAAGGTAGACAGAAGCAATCTCAGAAACTACTTTGTGATGTGTGCATTCAACTCACCGAGTGCAACATTCCTCTTGACCGAGCAGTTTGGAAACATTGTTTCTGTAGAATCTGCAAGTGGATATTTGGACCTCTTTGAGGCCTTCGATTGGAAACGGGATTTCTTCCTATAAACCCAGACAGAAGAATTCTCAGAGACTTCTTTGTGATGTGTGAATTCAACTCACAGTGTGGATCCTTCCTTTTGATAGAGCAGTTTTGAAACACTGTTTTTGTAGTATTTCCAAGCGGATATTTGGAACGCCTTGAAGCGTATGGTAGAAAAGGAAATATCTTCCCATAAAACCTAGACAGAACCAATCTCAGAAACGACTTTGTGATGTCTGCATTCAACTCACAGAGTTGAACATTTCTCTTGATAGAGCAGTTTTGAAACCCTCTTTCTGAAGGATCTGCAAGTGGATATTTGGAACTCCTTTGGGTCTTCGTTGGAAACGGGATTTCTTCGTATAAATCTAGACAGAAGAATTCTCCGAAACTTCTTTGGTTGTGTGCATTCAAGTCACAGAGTGGAACCTTCCTTTGGATAGAGCAGTTTGAAACGCTGTGGTTGTAGTATTTCCAAGCGGATATTAGAGCGCCTTGAAGCCTATGGTAGAAAAGGAAATATCTTCCCATAAAACCTAGACGGAAGCAATCTCAGAAACTACTGTGTGATGGCTGCATTCCACACACACGGTGGAACATTTCTCTTGATAGAGCAGTTTTGAAACACTCTTTCTGTAGAATCTGCAAGTGGATAATTGGACCGCCTTGAGGCCTTCGTTGGAAACGGGATTTCTTCATGTTACTCTAGACAGAAGAATTCTCAAACACTGCTGTGTGATGTTTGCATGCAAGTCACAGAGTGCAACATTCCTCTTGATAGAGCAGTTGGGAAACACTCCTTTTGTAGAATTTGCAATGGGATATTTGGACTTCTTTGAGGCCTTCGTTGGAAACGGGATTTCTTCGTATGAATCTAGACAGAAGAATTCTCAGAAACTTCCTTGTGATGTGTGCATTCAACTCAGCGAGTGGCACCTTCCTTTGGATACAGCAGTTTTGAAACACTGTTTTTGTACTATTTCCAAGCGGATATGTAGAGCGCCTTGAAGCCTATGCTAGAAATGGAAATATCTCCCCATAAAACCAAGACAGAAGCAATCTCAGAAACTAATGTGTGATGGCTGCATTCCACACACACGGTGGACCATTTCTCTTGATAGAGCAGTTTTGAAACACTCTTTCTGTAGAATCTGCAAGTGGATAATTGGACCTCCTAGAGGCCTTCGTTGGAAACGGGATTTCTTCATCTAAACCTACAGAGAAGAATTCTCAGTAACTTCTTCGGATGTTTGCATTCGACTCACAGAATGGAACATTCCCTTTGATAGAGCAGTTTTGAGACACCGTTTTTGTAGAATTCCCAAGTGGATATTTAGAGCACTTTGAAGTCTCTGCTAGAAAAGGAAACATCTTCATGTAAAAAGTAGATAGAATCGTTCTCAGAAAGTGCTTAGTGACGTGTGTGTTCAACTCACAGAGTTTAACGTTTCTTTTGATAGAGCGTTTCTGAAACACCCTGCTTGTAGTAGCTGCAAGTGGATATTTGGACCTATTTGAGACCTTCTTTGGAAACGGGATTTCTTCATGTAACTCTAGATTGAAGAATTTTCAGAAACTCCTTTGTGATGTGTGCATTCAATTCAAAGAGTGAAACCTCCCTTTTCACAGAGCAGTTTTGAAACACTCTTTTTGTAGGATTTCCAAGGGGATATTTATAGCGCATTGATCCTATGGCAGAAAAAGAAACATCTTCCTATAAAAACTAGACAGAATAATTCTCAGAATCTGCTTTGCGATGTGTGCGTTCAACTCACAGAGTAAAACTTTTCTTTTGATAGAGCAGTTTTGAAAAACTCTTTTTGTAGTATTTGCATGTGTATATTTAGAGCGCATTGAAGCCCACAGTAGAAAAGGAAATAACTTCACCTAAAACCTAGACAGAAGCAATCTCAGAAACTACTTTGTGATGTGTACATTCAACTCACAGAGTGGAACTTTCCTCTTTATAGAGCAGTGTTGAAACACTCTTTTTGTGGAAACTGCAAGTGGATATTTGGACCTCTTTGAGGCCTTCGTTGGAAACGGGATTTCTTCCTATAACCCTAGACAGAAGAATTTTCAGAAACCTCATTGTGATGTGTGCGTTCATCTCACAGAGTGGAGTCTTCCGTTTGATAGAGAAGTTTTGAAACCCTGTTCTTGTAGGATTTCCAAGTGGATATTTAGACCACTTTGAAGCCTATGATAGAAAAGGAAACATCTTCATGGAAAACATAGATAGAATCATTCTCAGAAACAACTTTGTGATGTGTGCGTTGAACTCACCGTCTTTAACCTTTCTTTTGGTAGAGAAGTTTTGAAACACTCTCTTTGTAAAGTCTACAAGTGGATATTTTGAGCCCTTGGAGGCATTACTTTGGAAAAGGGAATGTCTTCACATAAAAGGCAGACAGAAGTGTTCTCAGAAACTGCTTTGTGATGTCTGTGTTCAACTCACAGAGTTTAACATTTCCTTTGAGAGAGCGGTTTAGTAACACTCTCATTGTAGAATTTGGAAGTGTATACTAAGAGCGCTTTGAGGCCTATGGTAGAAAAGGAAATATCTTTCCATAAAAGCTAGACAGAAGCAATCTCAGAAACTCCTTTGTGATGTCTGCATTCAACTCACCGAGTGGAACATTCCTCTTGATAGAGCAGTTTGGAAACACTCTTTCTGTAGAATCAGCTTGTTTGTATTTGGACCTCCTTGAGGCCTTCGTTGGAAACGGGTTTTCATCTTATAAACCCAGACAGAAGAATTCTCAGAGTCTTCTTTGTGATGTGTGCTTTCAACTCACCGAGATAAAGATTTCTCTTGATAGAGCAATTTGGAAACACTCTTTTTGTAGAATTTGCAAGGGTACATTGAGAGCGCTTTCAGGCCTATGGTAGAAAAGGGAATATCTTTCCATAAAAGGTAGACAGAAGCAATCTCAGAAACTACTTTGTGATGTGTGCATTCAACTCACCGAGTGCAACATTCCTCTTGATAGAGCAGTTTCGAAACATTGTTTCTGTAGAATCTGCAAGTGGATATATGGACCGCTTTGAGGCCTTCGTTGGAAACGGGATTTCTTCCTATAAACCCAGACAGAAGAATTCTCAGAGATTTCTTTGTGATGTGTGAATTCAACTCACAGTGTGGATCCTTCCTTTTGATAGAGCAGTTTTGAAACACTGTTTTTGTAGTATTTCCAAGCGGATATTTGGAACGCCTTGAAGCGTATGGTAGAAAAGGAAATATCTTCCCATAAAACCTAGACAGAACCCATCTCAGAAACGACTTTGTGATGTCTGCATTCAACTCACAGAGTTGAACATTTCTCTTGATAGAGCAGTTTTGAAACCCTCTTTCTGAAGGATCTGCAAGTGGATATTTGGAACTCCTTTGGGTCTTCGTTGGAAACGGGATTTCTTCGTATAAATCCAGACAGAAGAATTCTCCGAAACTTCTTTGGTTGTGTGCATTCAAGTCACAGAGTGGAACCTTCCTTTGGATAGAGCAGTTTGAAACGCTCTGGTTGTAGTATTTCCAAGCGGATATTAGAGAGCCTTGAAGCCTATGGTAGAAAAGGAAATATCTTCCCATAAAACCTAGACGGAAGCAATCTCAGAAACTACTGTGTGATGGCTGCATTCCCCACACACGGGTGGAACATTTCTCTTGATAGAGCAGTTTTGAAACACTCTTTCTGTAGAATCTGCAAGTGGATAATTGGACCGCCTTGAGGCCTTCGTTGGAAACGGGATTTCTTCATGTTACTCTAGACAGAAGAATTCTCAAACACTGCTATGTGATGTTAGCATGCAAGTCACAGAGTGCAACATTCCTCTTGATAGAGCAGTTGGGAAACACTCCTTTTGTAGAATTTGCAATGGGATATTTGGACTTCTTTGAGGCCTTCGTTGGAAACGGGATTTCTTCGTATGAATCTAGACAGAAGAATTCTCAGAAACTTCCTTGTGATGTGTGCATTCAACTCAGCGAGTGGCACCTTCCTTTGGATACAGCAGTTTTGAAACACTGTTTTTGTAGTATTTCCAAGCGGATATTTAGAGCGCCTTGAAGCCTATGCTAGAAATGGAAATATCTCCCCATAAAACCAAGACAGAAGCAATCTCAGAAACTAATGTGTGATGGCTGCATTCCACACACACGGTGGACCATTTCTCTTGATAGAGCAGTTTTGAAACACTCTTTCTGTAGAATCTGCAAGTGGATAATTGGACCTCCTAGAGGCCTTCGTTGGAAACGGGATTTCTTCATCTAAACCTACAGAGAAGAATTCTCAGTAACTTCTTCGGATGTGTGCATTCTACTCACAGAGTGGAACATTCCCTTCGATAGAGCAGTTTTGAGACACCGTTTTGGTAGAATTCCCAAGTGGATATTTAGAGCACTTTGAAGTCTCTGCTAGAAAAGGAAACATCTTCATGTAAAAAGTAGATAGAATCGTTCTCAGAAAGTGCTTAGTGACGTGTGCGTTCAACTCAGAGAGTGTAACTTTTCTTTTGATAGAGCGTTTCTGAAACACCCTTCTTGTAGTAGCTGCAAGTGGATATTTGGACCTATTTGAGGCCTTCTTTGGAAACGGGATTTCTTCATGTAACTCTAGATTGAAGAATTTTCAGAAACTCCTTTGTGATGTGTACATTCAATTCAAAGAGTGAAACGTCCCTTTTCACAGAGCAGTTTTGAAACACTGTTTTTGTAGGATTTCCAAGGGGATATTTACAGCGCATTGAGCCTACGGCAGGAAAAGAAACATCTTCCTATAAAAACTAGACAGAATAATTCTCAGAATCTGCTTTGCGATGTGTACGTTCAACCCGCAGAGTAAAACTTTTCTTTTGATAGAGCAGTTTTGAAACACTCTTTTTGTAGTATTTGCATGTGTATATTTAGAGCGCATTGAAGCCCACAGTAGAAAAGGAAATAACTTCACCTAAAACCTAGACAGAAGCAATCTCAGAAACTACTTTGTGATGTGTACATTCAACTCACAGTAGTGGAACTTTCCTCTTTATAGAGCAGTGTTGAAACACTCTTTTTGTAGAAACTGCAAGTGGATATTTGGACCTCTTTGAGGCCTTCGTTGGAAACGGGATTTCTTCCTATACCCCTAGACAGAAGAATTTTCAGAAACCTCATTGTGATGTGTGCGTTCATCTCACAGAGTGGAGTCTTCCGTTTGATAGAGAAGTTTTGAAACCCTGTTCTTGTAGGATTTCCAAGTGGATATTTAGACCACTTTGAAGCCTATGATAGAAAAGGAAACATCTTCATGGAAAACATAGATAGAATCATTCTCAGAAACAACTTTGTGATGTGTGCGTTGAACTCACCGTCTTTAACCTTTCTTTTGGTAGAGAAGTTTTGAAACACTCTCTTTGTAAAGTCTACAAGTGGATATTTTGAGCCCTTGGAGGCATTCTTTGGAAAAGGGAATGTCTTCACATAAAAGGCAGACAGAAGTGTTCTCAGAAACTGCTTTGTGATGTCTGTGTTCAACTCACAGAGTTTAACATTTCCTTTGAGAGAGCGGTTTAGTAACACTCTCTTTGTAGAATTTGGAAGTGTATACTAAGAGCGCTTTGAGGCCTATGGTAGAAAAGGAAATATCTTTCCATAAAAGCTAGACAGAAGCAATCTCAGAAACTCCTTTGTGATGTCTGCATTCAACTCACCGAGTGGAACATTCCTCTTGATAGAGCAGTTTGGAAACACTCTTTCTGTAGAATCAGCTTGTTTGTATTTGGACCTCCTTGAGGCCTTCGTTGGAAACGGGTTTTCATCTTATAAACCCAGACAGAAGAATTCTCAGAGTCTTCTTTGTGATGTGTGCTTTCAACTCACCGAGATAAAGATTTCTCTTGATAGAGCAATTTGGAAACACTCTTTTTGTAGAATTTGCAAGGGTACATTGAGAGCGCTTTCAGGCCTATGGTAGAAAAGGGAATATCTTTCCATAAAAGGTAGACAGAAGCAATCTCAGAAACTACTTTGTCATGTGTGCATTCAACTCACCGAGTGCAACATTCCTCTTGATAGAGCAGTTTGGAAACATTGTTTCTGTAGAATCTGCAAGTGGATATATGGACCGCTTTGAGGCCTTCGTTGGAAATGGGATTTCTTCCTATAAACCCAGACAGAAGAATTCTCAGAGATTTCTTTGTGATGTGTGAATTCAACTCACAGTGTGGATCCTTCCTTTTGATAGAGCAGTTTTGAAACACTGTTTTTGTAGTATTTCCAAGCAGATATTTGGAACGCCTTGAAGCGTATAGTAGAAAAGGAAATATCTTCCCATAAAACCTAGACAGAACCCATCTCAGAAACGACTTTGTGATGTCTGCATTCAACTCACAGAGTTGAACATTTCTCTTGATAGAGCAGTTTTGAAACCCTCTTTCTGAAGGATCTGCAAGTGGATATTTGGAACTCCTTTGGGTCTTCGTTGGAAACGGGATTTCTTCGTATAAATCCAGACAGAAGAATTCTCCGAAACTTCTTTGGTTGTGTGCATTCAAGTCACAGAGTGGAACCTTCCTTTGGATAGAGCAGTTTGAAACGCTGTGGTTGTAGTATTTCCAAGCGGATATTAGAGCGCCTTGAGGCCTATGGTAGAAAAGGAAATATCTTCCCATAAAACCTAGACGGAAGCAATCTCAGAAACTACTGTGTGATGGCTGCATTCCACACACACGGTGGAACATTTCTCTTGATAGAGCAGTTTTGAAACACTCTTTCTGTAGAATCTGCAAGTGGATAATTGGACCGCCTTGAGGCCTTCGTTGGAAACGGGATTTCTTCATGTTACTCTAGACAGAAGAATTCTCAAACACTGCTATGTGATGTTTGCATGCAAGTCACAGAGTGCAACATTCCTCTTGATAGAGCAGTTGGGAAACACTCCTTTTGTAGAATTTGCAATGGGATATTTGGACTTCTTTGAGGCCTTCGTTGGAAACGGGATTTCTTCGTATGAATCTAGACAGAAGAATTCTCAGAAACTTCCTTGTGATGTGTGCATTCAACTCAGCGAGTGGCACCTTCCTTTGGATACAGCAGTTTTGAAACACTGTTTTTGTAGTATTTCCAAGCGGATATTTAGAGCGCCTTGAAGCCTATGCTAGAAATGGAAATATCTCCCCATAAAACCAAGACAGAAGCAATCTCAGAAACTAATGTGTGATGGCTGCATTCCACACACACGGTGGACCATTTCTCTTGATAGAGCAGTTTTGAAACACTCTTTCTGTAGAATCTGCAAGTGGATAATTGGACCTCCTAGAGGCCTTCGTTGGAAACGGGATTTCTTCATCTAAACCTACAGAGAAGAATTCTCAGTAACTTCTTCGGATGTGTGCATTCGACTCACAGAATGGAACATTCCGTTTGATAGAGCAGTTTTGAGACACCGTTTTTGTAGAATTCCCAAGTGGATATTTAGAGCACTTTGAAGTCTCTGCTAGAAAAGGAAACATCTTCATGTAAAAAGTAGATAGAATCGTTCTCAGAAAGTGCTTAGTGACGTGTGTGTTCAACTCACAGAGTTTAACGTTTCTTTTGATAGAGCGTTTCTGAAACACCCTGCTTGTAGTAGCTGCAAGTGGATATTTGGACCTATTTGAGGCCTTCTTTGGAAACGGGATTTCTTCATGTAACTCTAGTTTGAAGAATTTTCAGAAACTCCTTTGTGATGTGTGCATTCAATTCAAAGAGTGAAACCTCCCTTTTCATAGAGCAGTTTTGAAACACTGTTTTTGTAGGATTTCCAAGGGGATATTTATAGCGCATTGAGCCTATGGCAGAAAAAGAAACATACTTCGTATAAAAACTAGACAGAATAATTCTCAGAATCTGCTTTGCGATGTGTGCGTTCAACTCACAGAGTAAAACTTTTCTTTTGATAGAGCAGTTTTGAAACACTCTTTTTGTAGTATTTGCATGTGTATATTTAGAGCGCATTGAAGCCCACAGTAGAAAAGGAAATAACTTCACCTAAAACCTAGACAGAAGCAATCTCAGAAACTACTTTGTGATGTGTACATTCAACTCACAGAGTGGAACTTTCCTCTTTATAGAGCAGTGTTGAAACACTCTTTTTGTAGAAACTGCAAGTGGATATTTGGACCTCTTTGAGGCCTTCGTTGGAAACGGGATTTCTTCCTATAACCCTAGACAGAAGAATTTTCAGAAACCTCATTGTGATGTGTGCGTTCATCTCACAGAGTGGAGTCTTCCGTTTGATAGAGAAGTTTTGAAACCCTGTTCTTGTAGGATTTCCAAGTGGATATTTAGACCACTTTGAAGCCTATGATAGAAAAGGAAACATCTTCATGGAAAACATAGATAGAATCATTCTCAGAAACAACTTTGTGATGTGTGCGTTGAACTCACCGTCTTTAACCTTTCTTTTGGTAGAGAAGTTTTGAAACACTCTCTTTGTAAAGTCTACAAGTGGATATTTTGAGCCCTTGGAGGCATTCTTTGGAAAAGGGAATGTCTTCACATAAAAGGCAGACAGAAGTGTTCTCAGAAACTGCTTTGTGATGTCTGTGTTCAACTCACAGAGTTTAACATTACCTTTGAGAGAGCGGTTTAGTAACACTCTCTTTGTAGAATTTGGAAGTGTATACTAAGAGCGCTTTGAGGCCTATGGTAGAAAAGGAAATATCTTTCCATAAAAGCTAGACAGAGCAATCTCAGAAAACTCCTTTGTGATGTCTGCATTCAACTCACCGAGTGGAACATTCCTCTTGATAGAGCAGTTTGGAAACACTCTTTCTGTAGAATCAGCTTGTTTGTATTTGGACCTCCTTGAGGCCTTCGTTGGAAACGGGTTTTCATCTTATAAACCCAGACAGAAGAATTCTCAGAGTCTTCTTTGTGATGTGTGCTTTCAACTCACCGAGATAAAGATTTCTCTTGATAGAGCAATTTGGAAACACTCTTTTTGTAGAATTTGCAAGGGTACATTGAGAGCGCTTTCAGGCCTATGGTAGAAAAGGGAATATCTTTCCATAAAAGGTAGACAGAAGCAATCTCAGAAACTACTTTGTGATGTGTGCATTCAACTCACCGAGTGCAACATTCCTCTTGATAGAGCAGTTTGGAAACATTGTTTCTGTAGAATCTGCAAGTGGATATATGGACCGCTTTGAGGCCTTCGTTGGAAACGGGATTTCTTCCTATAAACCCAGACAGAAGAATTCTCAGAGATTTCTTTGTGATGTGTGAATTCAACTCACAGTGTGGATCCTTCCTTTTGATAGAGCAGTTTTGAAACACTGTTTTTGTAGTATTTCCAAGCGGATATTTGGAACGCCTTGAAGCGTATGGTAGAAAAGGAAATATCTTCCCATAAAACCTAGACAGAACCCATCTCAGAAACGACTTTGTGATGTCTGCATTCAACTCACAGAGTTGAACATTTCTCTTGATAGAGCAGTTTTGAAACCCTCTTTCTGAAGGATCTGCAAGTGGATATTTGGAACTCCTTTGGGTCTTCGTTGGAAACGGGATTTCTTCGTATAAATCCAGACAGAAGAATTCTCCGAAACTTCTTTGGTTGTGTGCATTCAAGTCACAGAGTGGAACCTTCCTTTGGATAGAGCAGTTTGAAACGCTGTGGTTGTAGTATTTCCAAGCGGATATTAGAGCGCCTTGAGGCCTATGGTAGAAAAGGAAATATCTTCCCATAAAACCTAGACGGAAGCAATCTCAGAAACTACTGTGTGATGGCTGCATTCCACACACACGGTGGAACATTTCTCTTGATAGAGCAGTTTTGAAACACTCTTTCTGTAGAATCTGCAAGTGGATAATTGGACCGCCTTGAGGCCTTCGTTGGAAACGGGATTTCTTCATGTTACTCTAGACAGAAGAATTCTCAAACACTGCTATGTGATGTTTGCATTCAAGTCACAGAGTGCAACATTCCTCTTGATAGAGCAGTTGGGAAACACTCCTTTTGTAGAATTTGCAATGGGATATTTGGACTTCTTTGAGGCCTTCGTTGGAAACGGGATTTCTTCGTATGAATCTAGACAGAAGAATTCTCAGAAACTTCCTTGTGATGTGTGCATTCAACTCAGCGAGTGGCACCTTCCTTTGGATACAGCAGTTTTGAAACACTGTTTTTGTAGTATTTCCAAGCGGATATTTAGAGCGCCTTGAAGCCTATGCTAGAAATGGAAATATCTCCCCATAAAACCAAGACAGAAGCAATCTCAGAAACTAATGTGTGATGGCTGCATTCCACACACACGGTGGACCATTTCTCTTGATAGAGCAGTTTTGAAACACTCTTTCTGTAGAATCTGCAAGTGGATAATTGGACCTCCTAGAGGCCTTCGTTGGAAACGGGATTTCTTCATCTAAACCTACAGAGAAGAATTCTCAGTAACTTCTTCGGATGTGTGCATTCGACTCACAGAATGGAACATTCCCTTTGATAGAGCAGTTTTGAGACACCGTTTTTGTAGAATTCCCAAGAGGATATTTAGAGCACTTTGAAGTCTCTGCTAGAAAAGGAAACATCTTCATGTAAAAAGTAGATAGAATCGTTCTCAGAAAGTGCTTAGTGACGTGTGCGTTCAACTCACAGAGTTTAACGTTTCTTTTGATAGAGCGTTTCTGAAACACCCTTCTTGTAGTAGCTGCAAGTGGATATTTGGACCTATTTGAGGCCTTCTTTGGAAACGGGATTTCTTCATGTAACTCTAGTTTGAAGAATTTTCAGAAACTCCTTTGTGATGTGTGCATTCAATTCAAAGAGTGAAACCTCCCTTTTCACAGAGCAGTTTTGAAACACTGTTTTTGTAGGACTTCCAAGGGGATATTTATAGCGCATTGAGCCTATGGCAGAAAAAGAAACATCTTCCTATAAAAACTAGACAGAATAATTCTCAGAATCTGCTTTGCGATGTGTGCGTTCAACCCACAGAGTAAAACTTTTCTTTTGATAGAGCAGTTTTGAAACACTCTTTTTGTAGTATTTGCATGTGTATATTTAGAGCGCATTGAAGCCCAAAGTAGAAAAGGAAATAACTTCACCTAAAACCTAGACAGAAGCAATCTCAGAAACTACTTTGTGATGTGTACATTCAACTCACAGAGTGGAACGTTCCCCTTTACAGAGCAGTGTTGAAACACTCTTTTTGTAGAAACTGCAGGTGGATATTTGGAACTCTTTGAGGCCTTCGTTGGAAACGGGATTTCTTCCTATAACCCTAGACAGAAGAATTTTCAGAAACCTCATTGTGATGTGTGCGTTCATCTCACAGAGTGGAGTCTTCCGTTTGATAGAGAAGTTTTGAAACCCTGTTCTTGTAGGATTTCCAAGTGGATATTTAGACCACTTTGAAGCCTATGATAGAAAAGGAAACATCTTCATGGAAACATAGATAGAATCATTCTCAGAAACAACTTTGTGATGTGTGCGTTGAACTCACCGTCTTTAACCTTTCTTTTGGTAGAGAAGTTTTGAAACACTCTCTTTGTAAAGTCTACAAGTGGATATTTTGAGCCCTTGGAGGCATTCTTTGGAAAAGGGAATGTCTTCACATAAAAGGCAGACAGAAGTGTTCTCAGAAACTGCTTTGTGATGTCTGTGTTCAACTCACAGAGTTTAACATTTCCTTTGAGAGAGCGGTTTAGTAACACTCTCTTTGTAGAATTTGGAAGTGTATACTAAGAGCGCTTTGAGGCCTATGGTAGAAAAGGAAATATCTTCCATAAAAGCTAGACAGAAGCAATCTCAGAAACTCCTTTGTGATGTCTGCATTCAACTCACCGAGTGGAACATTCCTCTTGATAGAGCAGTTTGGAAACACTCTTTCTGTAGAATCAGCTTGTTTGTATTTGGACCTCCTTGAGGCCTTCGTTGGAAACGGGTTTTCATCTTATAAACCCAGACAGAAGAATTCTCAGAGTCTTCTTTGTGATGTGTGCTTTCAACTCACCGAGATAAAGATTTCTCTTGATAGAGCAATTTGGAAACACTCTTTTTGTAGAATTTGCAAGGGTACATTGAGAGCGCTTTCAGGCCTATGGTAGAAAAGGGAATATCTTTCCATAAAAGGTAGACAGAAGCAATCTCAGAAACTACTTTGTGATGTGTGCATTCAACTCACCGAGTGCAACATTCCTCTTGACCGAGCAGTTTGGAAACATTGTTTCTGTAGAATCTGCAAGTGGATATATGGACCGCTTTGAGGCCTTCGTTGGAAACGGGATTTCTTCCTATAAACCCAGACAGAAGAATTCTCAGAGATTTCTTTGTGATGTGTGAATTCAACTCACAGTGTGGATCCTTCCTTTTGATAGAGCAGTTTTGAAACACCGTTTTTGTAGTATTTCCAAGCGGATATTTGGAACGCCTTGAAGCGTATGGTAGAAAAAGAAATATGCTTCCCATAAAACCTAGACAGAACCAATCTCAGAAACGACTTTGTGATGTCTGCATTCAACTCACAGAGATGAACATTTCTCTTGATAGAGCAGTTTTGAAACCCTCTTTCTGAAGGATCTGCAAGTGGATATTTGGAACTCCTTTGGGTCTTCGTTGGAAACGGGATTTCTTCGTATAAATCCAGACAGAAGAATTCTCCGAAACTACTTTGGTTGTGTGCATTCAAGTCACAGAGTGGAACCTTCCTTTGGATAGAGCAGTTTGAAACGCTCTGGTTGTAGTATTTCCAAGCGGATATTAGAGCGCCTTGAGGCCTATGGTAGAAAAGGAAATATCTTCCCATAAAACCTAGACGGAAGCAATCTCAGAAACTACTGTGTGATGGCTGCATTCCACACACACGGTGGAATATTTCTCTTGATAGAACAGTTTTGAAACACTCTTTCTGTAGAATCTGCAAGTGGATAATTGGACCGCCTTGAGGCCTTCGTTGGAAACGGGATTTCTTCATGTTACTCTAGACAGAAGAATTCTCAAACACTGCTATGTGATGTTTGCATTCAAGTCACAGAGTGCAACATTCCTCTTGATAGAGCAGTTGGGAAACACTCCTTTTGTAGAATTTGCAATGGGATATTTGGACTTCTTTGAGGCCTTTGTTGGAAACGGGATTTCTTCGTATGAATCTAGACAGAAGAATTCTCAGAAACTTCCTTGTGATGTGTGCATTCAACTCAGCGAGTGGCACCTTCCTTTGGATACAGCAGTTTTGAAACACTGTTTTTGTACTATTTCCAAGCGGATATTTAGAGCGCCTTGAAGCCTATGCTAGAAATGGAAATATCTCCCCATAAAACCAAGACAGAAGCAATCTCAGAAACTAATGTGTGATGGCTGCATTCCACACACACGGTGGACCATTTCTCTTGATAGAGCAGTTTTGAAACACTCTTTCTGTAGAATCTGCAAGTGGATAATTGGACCTCCTAGAGGCCTTCGTTGGAAACGGGATTTCTTCATCTAAACCTACAGAGAAGAATTCTCAGTAACTTCTTCGGATGTGTGCATTCGACTCACAGAATGGAACATTCCCTTTGATAGAGCAGTTTTGAGACACCGTTTTTGTAGAATTCCCAAGTGGATATTTAGAGCACTTTAAAGTCTCTGCTAGAAAAGGAAACATCTTCATGTAAAAAGTAGATAGAATCGTTCTCAGAAAGTGCTTAGTGACGTGTGCGTTCAACTCACAGAGTTTAACGTTTCTTTTGATAGAGCGTTTCTGAAACACCCTTCTTGTAGTAGCTGCAAGTGGATATTTGGACCTATTTGAGGCCTTGCTTTGGAAACGGGATTTCTTCATGTAACTCTAGATTGAAGAATTTTCAGAAACTCCTTTGTGAAGTGTGCATTCAATTCAAAGAGTGAAACCTCTCTTTTCACAGAGCAGTTTTGAAACACTGTTTTTGTAGGATTTCCAAGGGGATATTTATAGCGCATTGATCCTATGGCAGAAAAAGAAACATCTTCCTATAAAAACTAGACAGAATAATTCTCAGAATCTGCTTTGCGATGTGTGCGTTCAACTCACAGAGTAAAACTTTTCTTTTGATAGAGCAGTTTTGAAACACTCTTTTTGTAGTATTTGCATGTGTATATTTAGAGCGCATTGAAGCCCACAGTAGAAAAGGAAATAACTTCACCTAAAACCTAGACAGAAGCAATCTCAGAAACTACTTTGTGATGTGTACATTCAACTCACCGAGTGGAACTTTCCTCTTTATAGAGCAGTGTTGAAACACTCTTTTTGTAGAAACTGCAAGTGGATATTTGGACCTCTTTGAGGCCTTCGTTGGAAACGGGATTTCTTCCTATAACCCTAGACAGAAGAATTTTCAGAAACCTCATTGTGATGTGTGCGTTCATCTCACAGAGTGGAGTCTTCCGTTTGATAGAGAAGTTTTGAAACCCTGTTCTTGTAGGATTTCCAAGTGGATATTTAGACCACTTTGAAGCCTATGATAGAAAAGGAAACATCTTCATGGAAAACATAGATAGAATCATTCTCAGAAACAACTTTGTGATGTGTGCGTTGAACTCACCGTCTTTAACCTTTCTTTTGGTAGAGAAGTTTTGAAACACTCTCTTTGTAAAGTCTACAAGTGGATATTTTGAGCCCTTGGAGGCATTCTTTGGAAAAGGGAATGTCTTCACATAAAAGGCAGACAGAAGTGTTCTCAGAAACTGCTTTGTGATGTCTGTGTTCAACTCACAGAGTTTAACATTTCCTTTGAGAGAGCGGTTTAGTAACACTCTCTTTGTAGAATTTGGAAGTGTATACTAAGAGCGCTTTGAGGCCTATGGTAGAAAAGGAAATATCTTTCCATAAAAGCTAGACAGAAGCAATCTCAGAAACTCCTTTGTGATGTCTGCATTCAACTCACCGAGTGGAACATTCCTCTTGATAGAGCAGTTTGGAAACACTCTTTCTGTAGAATCAGCTTGTTTGTATTTGGACCTCCTTGAGGCCTTCGTTGGAAACGGGTTTTCATCTTATAAACCCAGACAGAAGAATTCTCAGAGTCTTCTTTGTGATGTGTGCTTTCAACTCACCGAGATAAAGATTTCTCTTGATAGAGCAATTTGGAAACACTCTTTTTGTAGAATTTGCAAGGGTACATTGAGAGCGCTTTCAGGCCTATGGTAGAAAAGGGAATATCTTTCCATAAAAGGTAGACAGAAGCAATCTCAGAAACTACTTTGTGATGTGTGCATTCAACTCACCGAGTGCAACATTCCTCTTGATAGAGCAGTTTGGAAACATTGTTTCTGTAGAATCTGCAAGTGGATATATGGACCTCTTTGAGGCCTTCGTTGGAAACGGGATTTCTTCCTATAAACCCAGACAGAAGAATTCTCAGAGATTTCTTTGTGATGTGTGAATTCAACTCACAGTGTGGATCCTTCCTTTTGATAGAGCAGTTTTGAAACACCGTTTTTGTAGTATTTCCAAGCGGATATTTGGAACGCCTTGAAGCGTATGGTAGAAAAGGAAATATCTTCCCATAAAACCTAGACAGAACCCATCTCAGAAACGACTTTGTGATGTCTGCATTCAACTCACAGAGTTGAACATTTCTCTTGATAGAGCAGTTTTGAAACCCTCTTTCTGAAGGAGCTGCAAGTGGATATTTGGAACTCCTTTGGGTCTTCGTTGGAAACGGGATTTCTTCGTATAAATCCAGACAGAAGAATTCTCCGAAACTTCTTTGGTTGTGTGCATTCAAGTCACAGAGTGGAACCTTCCTTTGGATAGAGCAGTTTGAAACGCTGTGGTTGTAGTATTTCCAAGCGGATATTAGAGCGCCTTGAAGCCTATGGTAGAAAAGGAAATATCTTCCCATAAAACCTAGACGGAAGCAATCTCAGAAACTACTGTGTGATGGCTGCATTCCACACACACGGTGGAACATTTCTCTTGATAGAGCAGTTTTGAAACACTCTTTCTGTAGAATCTGCAAGTGGATAATTGGACGGCCTTGAGGCCTTCGTTGGAAACGGGATTTCTTCATGTTACTCTAGACAGAAGAATTCTCAAACACTGCTATGTGATGTTTGCATTCAAGTCACAGAGTGCAACATTCCTCTTGATAGAGCAGTTGGGAAACACTCCTTTTGTAGAATTTGCAATGGGATATTTGGACTTCTTTGAGGCCTTCGTTGGAAACGGGATTTCTTCGTATGAATCTAGACAGAAGAATTCTCAGAAACTTCCTTGTGATGTGTGCATTCAACTCAGCGAGTGGCACCTTCCTTTGGATACAGCAGTTTTGAAACACTGTTTTTGTAGTATTTCCAAGCGGATATTTAGAGCGCCTTGAAGCCTATGCTAGAAATGGAAATATCTCCCCATAAAACCAAGACAGAAGCAATCTCAGAAACTAATGTGTGATGGCTGCATTCCACACACACGGTGGACCATTTCTCTTGATAGAGCAGTTTTGAAACACTCTTTCTGTAGAATCTGCAAGTGGATAATTGGACCTCCTAGAGGCCTTCGTTGGAAACGGGATTTCTTCATCTAAACCTACAGAGAAGAATTCTCAGTAACTTCTTCGGATGTGTGCATTCGACTCACAGAATGGAACATTCCCTTTGATAGAGCAGGTTTGAGACACAGTTTTTGTAGAATTCCCAAGTGGATATTTAGAGCACTTTGAAGTCTCTGCTAGAAAAGGAAACATCTTAATGTAAAAAGTAGATAGAATCGTTCTCAGAAAGTGCTTAGTGACGTGTGTGTTCAACTCACAGAGTTTAACGTTTCTTTTGATAGAGCGTTTCTGAAACACCCTTCTTGTAGTAGCTGCAAGTGGATATTTGGACCTATTTGAGGCCTTCTTTGGAAACGGGATTTCTTCATGTAACTCTAGATTGAAGAATTTTCAGAAACTCCTTTGTGATGTGTGCATTCAATTCAAAGAGTGAAACCTCCCTTTTCACAGAGCAGTTTTGAAACACTGTTTTTGTAGGATTTCCAAGGGGATATTTATAGCGCATTGAGCCTATGGCAGAAAAAGAAACATCTTCCTATAAAAACTAGACAGAATAATTCTCAGAATCTGCTTTGCGATGTGTGCGTTCAACTCACAGAGTAAAACTTTTCTTTTGATAGAGCAGTTTTGAAACACTCTTTTTGTAGTATTTGCATGTGTATATTTAGAGCGCATTGAAGCCCACAGTAGAAAAGGAAATAACTTCACCTAAAACCTAGACAGAAGCAATCTCAGAAACTACTTTGTGATGTGTACATTCAACTCACAGAGTGGAACTTTTCTCTTTATAGAGCAGTGTTGAAACACTCTTTTTGTAGAAACTGCAAGTGGATATTTGGACCTCTTTGAGGCCTTCGTTGGAAACGGGATTTCTTCCTATAACCCTAGACAAGAATTTTCAGAAACCTCATTTTGATGTGTGCGTTCATCTCACAGAGTGGAGTCTTCCGTTTGATAGAGAAGTTTTGAAACCCTGTTCTTGTAGGATTTCCAAGTGGATATTTAGACCACTTTGAAGCCTATGATAGAAAAGGAAACATCTTCATCGAAAACATAGATAGAATCATTCTCAGAAACAACTTTGTGATGTGTGCGTTGAACTCACCGTCTTTAACCTTTCTTTTGGTAGAGAAGTTTTGAAACACTCTCTTTGTAAAGTCTACAAGTGGATACTTTGAGCCCTTGGAGGCATTCTCTGGAAAAGGGAATGTCTTCACATAAAAGGCAGACAGAAGTGTTCTCAGAAACTGCTTTGTGATGTCTGTGTTCAACTCACAGAGTTTAACATTTCCTTTGAGAGAGCGGTTTAGTAACACTCTCTTTGTAGAATTTGGAAGTGTATACTAAGAGTGCTTTGAGGCCTATGGTAGAAAAGGAAATATCTTTCCATAAAAGCTAGACAGAATCAATCTCAGAAACTCCTTTGTGATGTCGGCATTCAACTCTCCGAGTGGAACATTCCTCTTGATAGAGCAGTTTGGAAACACTCTTTCTGTAGAATCAGCTTGTTTGTATTTGGACCTCCTTGAGGCCTTCGTTGGAAACGGGTTTTCATCTTATAAACCCAGACAGAAGAATTCTCAGAGTCTTCTTTGTGATGTGTGCTTTCAACTCACCGAGATAAAGATTTCTCTTGATAGAGCAATTTGGAAACACTCTTTTTGTAGAATTTGCAAGGGTACATTGAGACCGCTTTCAGGCCTATGGTAGAAAAGGGAATATCTTTCCATCAAAGGTAGACAGAAGCAATCTCAGAAACTACTTTGTGATGTGTGCATTCAACTCACCGAGTGCAACATTCCTCTTGATAGAGCAGTTTGGAAACATTGTTTTTGTAGAATCTGCAAGTGGATATATGGACCGCTTTGAGGCCTTCGTTGGAAACGGGATTTCTTCCTATAAACCCAGACAGAAGAATTCTCAGAGACTTCTTTGTGATGTGTGAATTCAACTCACAGTGTGGAACCTTCCTTTTGATAGAGCAGTTTCGAAACACTGTTTTTGTAGTATTTCCAAGCGGATATTTGGAACGCCTTGAAGCGTCTGGTAGAAAAGGAAATATCTTCCCATAAAACCTAGACAGAACCAATCTCAGAAACGAATTTGTGATGTCTGCATTCAACTCACAGAGTTGAACATTTCTCTTGATAGAGCAGTTTTGAAACCCTCTTTCTGAAGGATCTGCAAGTGGATATTTGGAACTCCTTTGGGTCTTCGTTGGAAACGGGATTTCTTCGTACAAATCTAGACAGAAGAATTCTCCGAAACTTCTTTGGTTGTGTGCATTCAAGTCACAGAGTGGAACCTTCCTTTGGATAGAGCAGTTTGAAACGCTCTGGTTGTAGTATTTCCAAGCGGATATTAGAGCGCCTTGAAGCCTATGGTAGAAAAGGAAATATCTTCCCATAAAACCTAGACGGAAGCAATCTCAGAAACTACTGTGTGATGGCTGCATTCCACACACACGGTGGAACATTTCTCTTGATAGAGCAGTTTTGAAACACTCTTTCTGTAGAATCTGCAAGTGGATAATTGGACCGCCTTGAGGCCTTCGTTGGAAACGGGATTTCTTCATGTTACTCTAGACAGAAGAATTCTCAAACACTGCTGTGTGATGTTTGCATTCAAGTCACAGAGTGCAACATTCCTCTTGATAGAGCAGTTGGGAAACACTCCTTTTGTAGAATTTGCAATGGGATATTTGGACTTCTTTGAGGCCTTCGTTGGAAACGGGATTTCTTCGTATGAATCTAGACAGAAGAATTCTCAGAAACTTCCTTGTGATGTGTGCATTCAACTCAGCGAGTGGCACCTTCCTTTGGATACAGCAGTTTTGAAACACTGTTTTTGTAGTATTTCCAAGCGGATATTTAGAGCGCCTTGAAGCCTATGCTAGAAATGGAAATATCTCCCCATAAAACCAAGACAGAAGCAATCTCAGAAACTAATGTGTGATGGCTGCATTCCACACACACGGTGGACCATTTCTCTTGATAGAGCAGTTTTGAAACACTCTTTCTGTAGAATCTGCAAGTGGATAATTGGACCTCCTAGAGGCCTTCGTTGGAAACGGGATTTCTTCATCTAAACCTACAGAGAAGAATTCTCAGTAACTTCTTCGGATGTGTGCATTCGACTCACAGAATGGAACATTC
The DNA here is from genome assembly GCF_000001405.40 of Homo sapiens. Classification (NCBI taxonomy): domain Eukaryota; kingdom Metazoa; phylum Chordata; class Mammalia; order Primates; family Hominidae; genus Homo; species Homo sapiens. Next base: position 59,616,332 of record NC_000006.12, read on the forward strand.
CCTTTGATAGAGCAGTTTTGAGACACCGTTTTTGTAGAATTCCCAAGTGGATATTTAGAGCACTTTGAAGTCTCTGCTAGAAAAGGAAACATCTTCATGTAAAAAGTAGATAGAATCGTTCTCAGAAAGTGCTTAGTGACGTGTGTGTTCAACTCACAGAGTTTAACGTTTCTTTTGATATAGCGTTTCTGAAACACCCAGCTTGTAGTAGCTGCAAGTGGATATTTGGACCTATTTGAGGCCTTCTTTGGAAACGGGATTTCTTCATGTAACTCTAGTTTGAAGAATTTTCAGAAACTCCTTTGTGATGTGTGCATTCAATCAAAGAGTGAAACCTCCCTTTTCACAGAGCAGTTTTGAAACACTGTTTTTGTAGGATTTCCAAGGGGATATTTATAGCGCATTGAGCCTACGGCAGAAAAAGAAACATCTTCCAATAAAAACTAGACAGAATAATTCTCAGAATCTGCTTTGCGATGTGTGCGTTCAACCCACAGAGTAAAACTTTTCTTTTGATAGAGCAGTTTTGAAACACTCTTTCTGTAGTATTTCCATGTGTATATTTAGAGCGCATTGAAGCCCACAGTAGAAAAGGAAATAACTTCACCTAAAACCTAGACAGAAGCAATCTCAGAAACTACTTTGTGATGTGTACATTCAACTCACAGAGTGGAACTTTCCTCTTTATAGAGCAGTGTTGAAACACTCTTTTTGTAGAAACTGCAAGTGGATATTTGGACCTCTTTGAGGCCTTCGTTGGAAACGGGATTTCTTCCTATAACCCTAGACAGAAGAATTTTCAGAAACCTCATTGTGATGTGTGCGTTCATCTCACAGAGTGGAGTCTTCCGTTTGATAGAGAAGCTTTGAAACCCTGTTCTTGTAGGATTTCCAGGTGGATATTTAGACCACTTGGAAGCCTATGATAGAAAAGGAAACATCTTCATGGAAAACATAGATAGAATCATTCTCAGAAACAACTTTGTGATGTGTGCGTTGAACTCACCGTCTTTAACCTTTCTTTTGGTAGAGAAGTTTTGAAACACTCTCTTTGTAAAGTCTACAAGTGGATATTTTGAGCCCTTGGAGGCATTCTTTGGAAAAGGGAATGTCTTCACATAAAAGGCAGACAGAAGTGTTCTCAGAAACTGCTTTGTGATGTCTGTGTTCAACTCACAGAGTTTAACATTTCCTTTGAGAGAGCGGTTTAGTAACACTCTCTTTGTAGAATTTGGAAGTGTATACTAAGAGCGCTTTGAGGCCTACGGTAGAAAAGGAATTATCTTTCCATAAAAGCTAGACAGAAGCAATCTCAGAAACTCCTTTGTGATGTCTGCATTCAACTCACCGAGTGGAACATTCCTCTTGATAGAGCAGTTTGGAAACACTCTTTCTGTAGAATCAGCTTGTTTGTATTTGGACCTCCTTGAGGCCTTCGTTGGAAACGGGTTTTCATCTTATAAACCCAGACAGAAGAATTCTCAGAGTCTTCTTTGTGATGTGTGCTTTCAACTCACCGAGATAAAGATTTCTCTTGATAGAGCAATTTGGAAACACTCTTTTTGTAGAATTTGCAAGGGTACATTGAGAGCGCTTTCAGGCCTATGGTAGAAAAGGGAATATCTTTCCATAAAAGGTAGACAGAAGCAATCTCAGAAACTACTTTGTGATGTGTGCATTCAACTCACCGAGTGCAGCATTCCTCTTGACCGAGCAGTTTGGAAACATTGTTTCTGTAGAATCTGCAAGTGGATATATGGACCTCTTTGAGGCCTTCGTTGGAAACGGGATTTCTTCCTATAAACCCAGACAGAAGAATTCTCAGAGATTTCTTTGTGATGTGTGAATTCAACTCACAGTGTGGATCCTTCCTTTTGATAGAGCAGTTTTGAAACACCGTTTTTGTAGTATTTCCAAGCGGATATTTGGAACGCCTTGAAGCGTATGGTAGAAAAGGAAATATCTTCCCATAAAACCTAGACAGAACCCATCTCAGAAACGACTTTGTGATGTCTGCATTCAACTCACAGAGTTGAACATTTCTCTTGATAGAGCAGTTTTGAAACCCTCTTTCTGAAGGATCTGCAAGTGGATATTTGGAACTCCTTTGGGTCTTCGTTGGAAACGGGATTTCTTCGTATAAATCCAGACAGAAGAATTCTCCGAAACTTCTCTGGTTGTGTGCATTCAAGTCACAGAGTGGAACCTTCCTTTGGATAGAGCAGTTTGAAACGCTGTGGTTGTAGTATTTCCAAGCGGATATTAGAGCGCCTTGAGGCCTATGGTAGAAAAGGAAATATCTTCCCATAAAACCTAGACGGAAGCAATCTCAGAAACTACTGTGTGATGGCTGCATTCCACACACACGGTGGAACATTTCTCTTGATAGAGCAGTTTTGAAACACTCTTTCTGTAGAATCTGCAAGTGGATAATTGGACCGCCTTGAGGCCTTCGTTGGAAACGGGATTTCTTCATGTTACTCTAGACAGAAGAATTCTCAAACACTGCTATGTGATGTTTGCATGCAAGTCAGAGAGTGCAACATTCCTCTTGATAGAGCAGTTGGGAAACACTCCTTTTGTAGAATTTGCAATGGGATATTTGGACTTCTTTGAGGCCTTTGTTGGAAACGGGATTTCTTCGTATGAATCTAGACAGAAGAATTCTCAGAAACTTCTTTGTGATGTGTGCATTCAACTCAGCGAGTGGCACCTTCCTTTGTATACAGCAGTTTTGAAACACAGTTTTTGTAGTATTTCCAAGCGGATATTTAGAGCGCCTTGAATCCTATGCTAGAAATGGAAATATCTCCCCATAAAACCAAGACAGAAGCAATCTCAGAAACTAATGTGTGATGGCTGCATTCCACACACACGGTGGACCATTTCTCTTGATAGAGCAGTTTTGAAACACTCTTTCTGTAGAATCTGCAAGTGGATAATTGGACTTCCTAGAGGCCTTCGTTGGAAACGGGATTTCTTCATCTAAACGTACAGTGAAGAATTCTCAGTAACTTCTTCGGATGTGTGCATTCGACTCACAGAGTGGAACATTCCCTTCGATAGAGCAGTTTTGAGACACCGTTTTGGTAGAATTCCCAAGTGGATATTTAGAGCACTTTGAAGTCTCTGCTAGAAAAGGAAACATCTTCATGTAAAAAGTAGATAGAATCGTTCTCAGAAAGTGCTTAGTGACGTGTGCGTTCAACTCACAGAGTGTAACTTTCCTTTTGATAGAGCGTTTCTGAAACACCCTTCTTGTAGTAGCTGCAAGTGGATATTTGGACCTATTTGAGGCCTTCTTTGGAAACGGGATTTCTTCATGTAACTCTAGATTGAAGAATTTTCAGAAACTCCTTTGTGATGTGTGCATTCAATTCAAAGAGTGAAACTTCCCTTTTCACAGAGCAGTTTTGAAACACTGTTTTTGTAGGATTTCCAAGGGGATATTTATAGCGCATTGATCCTATGGCAGAAAAAGAAACATCTTCCTATAAAAACTAGACAGAATAATTCTCAGAATCTGCTTTGCGATGTGTGCGTTCAACCCACAGAGTAAAACTTTTCTTTTGATAGAGCAGTTTTGAAACACTCTTTTTGTAGTATTTGCATGTGTATATTTAGAGCACATTGAAGCCCACAGTAGAAAAGGAAATAACTTCACCTAAAACCTAGACAGAAGCAATCTCAGAAACTACTTTGTGATGTGTACATTCAACTCACAGAGTGGAACTTTCCTCTTTATAGAGCAGTGTTGAAACACTCTTTTTGTAGAAACTGCAAGTGGATATTTGGACCTCTTTGAGGCCTTCGTTGGAAACGGGATTTCTTCCTATAACCCTAGACAGAAGAATTTTCAGAAACCTCATTGGGATGTGTGCGTTCATCTCACAGAGTGGAGTCTTCCGTTTGATAGAGAAGTTTTGAAACCCTGTTCTTGTAGGATTTCCAAGTGGATATTTAGACCACTTTGAAGCCTATGATAGAAAAGGAAACATCTTCATGGAAAACATAGATAGAATCATTCTCAGAAACAACTTTGTGATGTGTGCGTTGAACTCACCGTCTTTAACCTTTCTTTTGGTAGAGAAGTTTTGAAACACTCTCTTTGTAAAGTCTACAAGTGGATATTTTGAGCCCTTGGAGGCATTCTTTGGAAAAGGGAATGTCTTCACATAAAAGGCAGACAGAAGTGTTCTCAGAAACTGCTTTGTGATGTCTGTGTTCAACTCACAGAGTTTAACATTTCCTTTGAGAAAGCGGTTTAGTAACACTCTCTTTGTAGAATTTGGAAGTGTATACTAAGAGCGCTTTGAGGCCTATGGTAGAAAAGGAAATATCTTTCCATAAAAGCTAGACAGAAGCAATCTCAGAAACTCCTTTGTGATGTCTGCATTCAACTCACCGAGTGGAACATTCCTCTTGATAGAGCAGTTTGGAAACACTCTTTCTGTAGAATCAGCTTGTTTGTATTTGGACCTCCTTGAGGCCTTCGTTGGAAACGGGTTTTCATCTTATAAACCCAGACAGAAGAATTCTCAGAGTCTTCTTTGTGATGTGTGCTTTCAACTCACCGAGATAAAGATTTCTCTTGATAGAGCAATTTGGAAACACTCTTTTTGTAGAATTTGCAAGGGTACATTGAGAGCGCTTTCAGGCCTATGGTAGAAAAGGTAGACAGAAGCAATCTCAGAAACTACTTTGTGATGTGTGCATTCAACTCACCGAGTGCAACATTCCTCTTGATAGAGCAGTTTGGAAACATTGTTTCTGTAGAATCTGCAAGTGGATATATGGACCGCTTTGAGGCCTTCGTTGGAAACGGGATTTCTTCCTATAAACCCAGACAGAAGAATTCTCAGAGATTTCTTTGTGATGTGTGAATTCAACTCACAGTGTGGATCCTTCCTTTTGATAGAGCAGTTTTGAAACACCGTTTTTGTAGTATTTCCAAGCGGATATTTGGAACGCCTTGAAGCGTATGGTAGAAAAGGAAATATCTTCCCATAAAACCTAGACAGAACCAATCTCAGAAACGACTTTGTGATGTCTGCATTCAACTCACAGAGTTGAACATTTCTCCTGATAGAGCAGTTTTGAAACCCTCTTTCTGAAGGATCTGCAAGTGGATATTTGGAACTCCGTTGGGTCTTCGTTGTAAACGGGATTTCTTCGTATAAATCCAGACAGAAGAATTCTCCGAAACTTCTTTGGTTGTGTGCATTCAAGTCACAGAGTGGAACCTTCCTTTGGATAGAGCAGTTTGAAACGATCTGGTTGTAGTATTTCCAAGCGGATATTAGAGCGCCTTGAGGCCTATGGTAGAAAAGGAAATATCTTCCCATAAAACCTAGACGGAAGCAATCTCAGAAACTACTGTGTGATGGCTGCATTCCACACACACGGTGGAACATTTCTCTTGATAGAGCAGTTTTGAAACACTCTTTCTGTAGAATCTGCAAGTGGATAATTGGACCGCCTTGAGGCCTTCGTTGGAAACGGGATTTCTTCATGTTACTCTAGACAGAAGAATTCTCAAACACTGCTATGTGATGTTTGCATTCAAGTCACAGAGTGCAACATTCCTCTTGATAGAGCAGTTGGGAAACACTCCTTTTGTAGAATTTGCAATGGGATATTTGGACTTCTTTGAGGCCTTCGTTGGAAACGGGATTTCTTCGTATGAATCTAGACAGAAGAATTCTCAGAAACTTCTTTGTGATGTGTGCATTCAACTCAGCGAGTGGCACCTTCCTTTGGATACAGCAGTTTTGAAACACTGTTTTTGTAGTATTTCCAAGCGGATATTTAGAGCGCCTTGAAGCCTACGCTAGAAATGGTAATATCTCCCCATAAAACCAAGACAGAAGCAATCTCAGAAACTAATGTGTGATGGCTGCATTCCACACACACGGTGGACCATTTCTCTTGATAGAGCAGTTTTGAAACACTCTTTCTGTAGAATCTGCAAGTGGATAATTGGACCTCCTAGAGGCCTTCGTTGGAAACGGGATTTCTTCATCTAAACCTACAGAGAAGAATTCTCAGTAACTTCTTCGGATGTGTGCATTCGACTCACAGAATGGAACATTCCCTTTGATGGAGCAGGTTTGAGACACCGTTTTTGTAGAATTCCCAAGTGGATATTTAGAGCACTTTGAAGTCTCTGCTAGAAAAGGAAACATCTTCATGTAAAAAGTAGATAGAATCGTTCTCAGAAAGTGCTTAGTGACGTGTGCGTTCAACTCACAGAGTTTAACGTTTCTTTTGATAGAGCGTTTCTGAAACACCCTTCTTGTAGTAGCTGCAAGTGGATATTTGGACCTATTTGAGGCCTTCTTTGGAAACGGGATTTCTTCATGTAACTCTAGTTTGAAGAATTTTCAGAAACTCCTTTGTGATGTGTGCATTCAATTCAAAGAGTGAAACCTCCCTTTTCACAGAGCAGTTTTGAAACACTGTTTTTGTAGGATTTCCAAGGGGATATTTATAGCGCATTGAGCCTATGGCAGAAAAAGAAACATCTTCCTATAAAAACTAGACAGAATAATTCTCAGAATCTGCTTTGCGATGTGTGCGTTCAACTCACAGAGTAAAACTTTTCTTTTGATAGAGCAGTTTTGAAACACTCTTTTTGTAGTATTTGCATGTGTATATTTAGAGCGCATTGAAGCCCACAGTAGAAAAGGAAATAACTTCACCTAAAACCTAGACAGAAGCAATCTCAGAAACTACTTTGTGATGTGTACATTCAACTCACAGAGTGGAACTTTTCTCTTTATAGAGCAGTGTTGAAACACTCTTTTTGTAGAAACTGCAAGTGGATATTTGGACCTCTTTGAGGCCTTCGTTGGAAACGGGATTTCTTCCTATAACCCTAGACAGAAGAATTTTCAGAAACCTCATTGTGATGTGTGCGTTCATCTCACAGAGTGGAGTCTTCCGTTTGATAGAGAAGTTTTGAAACCCTGTTCTTGTAGGATTTCCAAGTGGATATTTAGACCACTTTGAAGCCTATGATAGAAAAGGAAACATCTTCATGGAAAACATAGATAGAATCATTCTCAGAAACAACTTTGTGATGTGTGCGTTGAACTCACAGTCTTTAACCTTTCTTTTGGTAGAGAAGTTTTGAAACACTCTCTTTGTAAAGTCTACAAGTGGATATTTTGGGCCCTTGGAGGCATTCTTTGGAAAAGGGAATGTCTTCACATAAAAGGCAGACAGAAGTGTTCTCAAAAACTGCTTTGTGATGTCTGTGTTCAACTCACAGAGTTTAACATTTCCTTTGATAGAGCAGTTTAGTAACACTCTCTTTGTAGAATTTGGAAGTGTATACTAAGAGCGCTTTGAGGCCTATGGTAGAAAAGGAAATATCTTTCCATAAAAGCTAGACAGAAGCAATCTCAGAAACTCCTTTGTGATGTCTGCATTCAACTCACCGAGTGGAACATTCCTCTTGATAGAGCAGTTTGGAAACACTCTTTCTGTAGAATCAGCTTGTTTGTATTTGGACCTCCTTGAGGCCTTCGTTGGAAACGGGTTTTCATCTTATAAACCCAGACAGAAGAATTCTCAGAGTCTTCTTTGTGATGTGTGCTTTCAACTCACCGAGATAAAGATTTCTCTTGATAGAGCAATTTGGAAACACTCTTTTTGTAGAATTTGCAAGGGTACATTGAGAGCGCTTTCAGGCCTATGGTAGAAAAGGGAATATCTTTCCATAAAAGGTAGACAGAAGCAATCTCAGAAACTACTTTGTGATGTGTGCATTCAACTCACCGAGTGCAACATTCCTCTTGACCGAGCAGTTTGGAAACATTGTTTCTGTAGAATCTGCAAGTGGATATATGGACCGCTTTGAGGCCTTCGTTGGAAACGGGATTTCTTCCTATAAACCCAGACAGAAGAATTCTCAGAGATTTCTTTGTGATGTGTGAATTCAACTCACAGTGTGGATCCTTCCTTTTGATAGAGCAGTTTTGAAACACTGTTTTTGTAGTATTTCCAAGCGGATATTTGGAAAGCCTTGAAGCGTATGGTAGAAAAGGAAATATCTTCCCATAAAACCTAGACAGAACCCATCTCAGAAACGACTTTGTGATGTCTGCATTCAACTCACAGAGTTGAACATTTCTCTTGATAGAGCAGTTTTGAAACCCTCTTTCTGAAGGATCTGCAAGTGGATATTTGGAACTCCTTTGGGTCTTCGTTGGAAACGGGATTTCTTCGTATAAATCCAGACAGAAGAATTCTCCGAAACTTCTTTGGTTGTGTGCATTCAAGTCACAGAGTGGAACCTTCCTTTGGATAGAGCAGTTTGAAACGCTGTGGTTGTAGTATTTCAAAGCGGATATTAGAGCGCCTTGAAGCCTATGGTAGAAAAGGAAATATCTTCCCATAAAACCTAGACGGAAGCAATCTCAGAAACTACTGTGTGATGGCTGCATTCCACACACACGGTGGAACATTTCTCTTGATAGAGCAGTTTTGAAACACTCTTTCTGTAGAATCTGCAAGTGGATAATTGGACCGCCTTGAGGCCTTCGTTGGAAACGGGATTTCTTCATGTTACTCTAGACAGAAGAATTCTCAAACACTGTTATGTGATGTTTGCATTCAAGTCACAGAGTGCAACATTCCTCTTGATAGAGCAGTTGGGAAACACTCCTTTTGTAGAATTTGCAATGGGATATTTGGACTTCTTTGAGGCCTTCGTTGGAAACGGGATTTCTTCGTATGAATCTAGACAGAAGAATTCTCAGAAACTTCCTTGTGATGTGTGCATTCAACTCAGCGAGTGGCACCTTCCTTTGGATACAGCAGTTTTGAAACACTGTTTTTGTAGTATTTCCAAGCGGATATTTAGAGCGCCTTGAAGCCTATGCTAGAAATGGAAATATCTCCCCATAAAACCAAGACAGAAGCAATCTCAGAAACTAATGTGTGATGGCTGCATTCCACACACACGGTGGACCATTTCTCTTGATAGAGCAGTTTTGAAACACTCTTTCTGTAGAATCTGCAAGTGGATAATTGGACCTCCTAGAGGCCTTCGTTGGAAACGGGATTTCTTCATCTAAACCTACAGAGAAGAATTCTCAGTAACTTCTTCGGATGTGTGCATTCGACTCACAGAATGGAACATTCCGTTTGATAGAGCAGTTTTGAGACACCGTTTTTGTAGAATTCCCAAGTGGATATTTAGAGCACTTTGAAGTCTCTGCTAGAAAAGGAAACATCTTCATGTAAAAAGTAGATAGAATCGTTCTCAGAAAGTGCTTAGTGACGTGTGTGTTCAACTCACAGAGTTTAACGTTTCTTTTGATAGAGCGTTTCTGAAACACCCTTCTTGTAGTAGCTGCAAGTGGATATTTGGACCTATTTGAGGCCTTCTTTGGAAACGGGATTTCTTCATGTAACTCTAGATTGAAGAATTTTCAGAAACTCCTTTGTGATGTGTGCATTCAATTCAAAGAGTGAAACCTCCCTTTTCACAGAGCAGTTTTGAAACACTGTTTTTGTAGGATTTCCAAGGGGATATTTATAGCGCATTGAGCCTATGGCAGAAAAAGAAACATCTTCCTATAAAAACTAGACAGAATAATTCTCAGAATCTGCTTTGCGATGTGTGCGTTCAACCCACAGAGTAAAACTTTTCTTTTGATAGAGCAGTTTTGAAACACTCTTTTTGTAGTATTTGCATGTGTATATTTAGAGCGCATTGAAGCCCACAGTAGAAAAGGAAATAACTTCACCTAAAACCTAGACAGAAGCAATCTCAGAAACTACTTTGTGATGTGTACATTCAACTCACAGAGTGGAACTTTCCTCTTTATAGAGCAGTGTTGAAACACTCTTTTTGTAGAAACTGCAAGTGGATATTTGGACCTTCTTTGAGGCCTTCGTTGGAAACGGGATTTCTTCCTATAACCCTAGACAGAAGAATTTTCAGAAACCTCATTGTGATGTGTGCGTTCATCTCACAGAGTGGAGTCTTCCGTTTGATAGAGAAGTTTTGAAACCCTGTTCTTGTAGGATTTCCAAGTGGATATTTAGACCACCTTGAAGCCTATGATAGAAAAGGAAACATCTTCATGGAAAACATAGATAGAATCATTCTCAGAAACAACTTTGTGATGTGTGCGTTGAACTCACCGTCTTTAACCTTTCTTTTGGTAGAGAAGTTTTGAAACACTCTCTTTGTAAAGTCTACAAGTGGATATTTTGAGCCCTTGGAGGCATTCTTTGGAAAAGGGAATGTCTTCACATAAAAGGCAGACAGAAGTGTTCTCAGAAACTGCTTTGTGATGTCTGTGTTCAACTCACAGAGTTTAACATTTCCTTTGAGAGAGCGGTTTAGTAACACTCTCATTGTAGAATTTGGAAGTGTATACTAAGAGCGCTTTGAGGCCTATGGTAGAAAAGGAAATATCTTTCCATAAAAGCTAGACAGAAGCAATCTCAGAAACTCCTTTGTGATGTCTGCATTCAACTCACCGAGTGGAACATTCCTCTTGATAGAGCAGTTTGGAAACACTCTTTCTGTAGAATCAGCTTGTTTGTATTTGGACCTCCTTGAGGCCTTCGTTGGAAACGGGTTTTCATCTTATAAACCCAGACAGAAGAATTCTCAGAGTCTTCTTTGTGATGTGTGCTTTCAACTCACCGAGATAAAGATTTCTCTTGATAGAGCAATTTGGAAACACTCTTTTTGTAGAATTTGCAAGGGTACATTGAGAGCGCTTTCAGGCCTATGGTAGAAAAGGTAGACAGAAGCAATCTCAGAAACTACTTTGTGATGTGTGCATTCAACTCACCGAGTGCAACATTCCTCTTGATAGAGCAGTTTGGAAACATTGTTTCTGTAGAATCTGCAAGTGGATATATGGACCGCTTTGAGGCCTTCGTTGGAAACGGGATTTCTTCCTATAAACCCAGACAGAAGAATTCTCAGAGACTTCTTTGTGATGTGTGAATTCAACTCACAGTGTGGATCCTTCCTTTTGATAGAGCAGTTTTGAAACACTGTTTTTGTAGTATTTCCAAGCGGATATTTGGAACGCCTTGAAGCGTATGGTAGAAAAGGAAATATCTTCCCATAAAACCTAGACAGAACCCATCTCAGAAACGACTTTGTGATGTCTGCATTCAACTCACAGAGTTGAACATTTCTCTTGATAGAGCAGTTTTGAAACCCTCTTTCTGAAGGATCTGCAAGTGGATATTTGGAACTCCTTTGGGTCTTCGTTGGAAACGGGATTTCTTCGTATAAATCCAGACAGAAGAATTCTCCGAAACTTCTTTGGTTGTGTGCATTCAAGTCACAGAGTGGAACCTTCTTTTGGATAGAGCAGTTTGAAACGCTGTGGTTGTAGTATTCCCAAGCGGATATTAGAGCGCCTTGAGGCCTATGGTAGAAAAGGAAATATCTTCCCATAAAACCTAGACGGAAGCAATCTCAGAAACTACTGTGTGATGGCTGCATTCCACACACACGGTGGAACATTTCTCTTGATAGAGCAGTTTTGAAACACTCTTTCTGTAGAATCTGCAAGTGGATAATTGGACCGCCTTGAGGCCTTCGTTGGAAACGGGATTTCTTCATGTTACTCTAGACAGAAGAATTCTCAAACACTGCTATGTGATGTTTGCATTCAAGTCACAGAGTGCAACATTCCTCTTGATAGAGCAGTTGGGAAACACTCCTTTTGTAGAATTTGCAATGGGATATTTGGACTTCTTTGAGGCCTTCGTTGGAAACGGGATTTCTTCGTATGAATCTAGACAGAAGAATTCTCAGAAACTTCCTTGTGATGTGTGCATTCAACTCAGCGAGTGGCACCTTCCTTTGGATACAGCAGTTTTGAAACACTGTTTTTGTAGTATTTCCAAGCGGATATTTAGAGCGCCTTGAAGCCTATGCTAGAAATGGAAATATCTCCCCATAAAACCAAGACAGAAGCAATCTCAGAAACTAATGTGTGATGGCTGCATTCCACACACACGGTGGACCATTTCTCTTGATAGAGCAGTTTTGAAACACTCTTTCTGTAGAATCTGCAAGTGGATAATTGGACCTCCTAGAGGCCTTCGTTGGAAACGGGATTTCTTCATCTAAACCTACAGAGAAGAATTCTCAGTAACTTCTTCGGATGTGTGCATTCGACTCACAGAATGGAACATTCCCTTTGGTAGAGCAGTTTTGAGACACCGTTTTTGTAGAATTCCCAAGTGGATATTTAGAGCACTTTGAAGTCTCTGCTAGAAAAGGAAACATCTTCATGTAAAAAGTAGATAGAATCGTTCTCAGAAAGTGCTTAGTGACGTGTGTGTTCAACTCACAGAGTTTAACGTTTCTTTTGATAGAGCGTTTCTGAAACACCCTTCTTGTAGTAGCTGCAAGTGGATATTTGGACCTATTTGAGGCCTTCTTTGGAAACGGGATTTCTTCATGTAACTCTAGATTGAAGAATTTTCAGAAACTCCTTTGTGATGTGTGCATTCAATTCAAAGAGTGAAACCTCCCTTTTCACAGAGCAGTTTTGAAACACTGTTTTTGTAGGATTTCCAAGGGGATATTTATAGCGCATTGAGCCTATGGCAGAAAAAGAAACATCTTCCTATAAAAACTAGACAGAATAATTCTCAGAATCTGCTTTGCGATGTGTGCGTTCAACCCACAGAGTAAAACTTTTCTTTTGATAGAGCAGTTTTGAAACACTCTTTTTGTAGTATTTGCATGTGTATATTTAGAGCGCATTGAAGCCCACAGTAGAAAAGGAAATAACTTCACCTAAAACCTAGACAGAAGCAATCTCAGAAACTACTTTGTGATGTGTACATTCAACTCACAGAGTGGAACTTTCCTCTTTATAGAGCAGTGTTGAAACACTCTTTTTGTAGAAACTGCAAGTGGATATTTGGACCTCTTTGAGGCCTTCGTTGGAAAGGGGATTACTTCCTATAACCCTAGACAGAAGAATTTTCAGAAACCTCATTGTGATGTGTGCGTTCATCTCACAGAGTGGAGTCTTCCGTTTGATAGAGAAGCTTTGAAACCCTGTTCTTGTAGGATTTCCAGGTGGATATTTAGACCACTTTGAAGCCTATGATAGAAAAGGAAACATCTTCATGGAAAACATAGATAGAATCATTCTCAGAAACAACTTTGTGATGTGTGCGTTGAACTCACCGTCTTTAACCTTTCTTTTGGTAGAGAAGTTTTGAAACACTCTCTTTGTAAAGTCTACAAGTGGATATTTTGAGTCCTTGGAGGCATTCTTTGGAAAAGGGAATGTCTTCACACTAAAAGGCAGACAGAAGTGTTCTCAGAAACTGCTTTGTGATGTCTGTGTTCAACTAACAGAGTGTAACATTTCCTTTGAGAGAGCGGTTTAGTAACACTCTCTTTGTAGAATTTGGAAGTGTATACTAAGAGCGCTTTGAGGCCTATGGTAGAAAAGGAAATATCTTTCCATAAAAGCTAGACAGAAGCAATCTCAGAAACTCCTTTGTGATGTCTGCATTCAACTCACCGAGTGGAACATTCCTCTTGATAGAGCAGTTTGGAAACACTCTTTCTGTAGAATCACCCTGTTTGTATTTGGACCTCCTTGAGGCCTTCGTTGGAAACGGGTTTTCATCTTATAAACCCAGACAGAAGAATTCTCAGAGTCTTCTTTGTGATGTGTGCTTTCAACTCACCGAGATAAAGATTTCTCTTGATAGAGCAATTTGGAAACACTCTTTTTGTAGAATTTGCAAGGGTACATTGAGAGCGCTTTCAGGCCTATGGTAGAAAAGGGAATATCTTTCCATAAAAGGTAGACAGAAGCAATCTCAGAAACTATTTTGTGATGTGTGCATTCAACTCACCGAGTGCAACATTCCTCTTGACCGAGCAGTTTGGAAACATTGTTTCTGTAGAATCTGCAAGTGGATATATGGACCGCTTTGAGGCCTTCGTTGGAAACGGGATTTCTTCCTATAAACCCAGACAGAAGAATTCTCAGAGATTTCTTTGTGATGTGTGAATTCAACTCACAGTGTGGATCCTTTCCTTTTGATAGAGCAGTTTTGAAACACTGTTTTTGTAGTATTTCCAAGCGGATATTTGGAAAGCCTTGAAGCGTATGGTAGAAAAGGAAATATCTTCCCATAAAACCTAGACAGAACCAATCTCAGAAACGACTTTGTGATGTCTGCATTCAACTCACAGAGTTGAACATTTCTCTTGATAGAGCCGTTTTGAAACCCTCTTTCTGAAGGATCTGCAAGTGGATATTTGGAACTCCTTTGGGTCTTCGTTGGAAACGGGATTTCTTCGTATAAATCTAGACAGAAGAATTCTCCGAAACTTCTTTGGTTGTGTGCATTCAAGTCACAGAGTGGAACCTTCCTTTGGATAGAGCAGTTTGAAACGCTGTGGTTGTAGTATTTCCAAGCGGATATTAGAGCGCCTTGAGGCCTATGGTAGAAAAGGAAATATCTTCCCATAAAACCTAGACGGAAGCAATCTCACAAACTACTGTGTGATGGCTGCATTCCACACACACGGTGGAACATTTCTCTTGATAGAGCAGTTTTGAAACACTCTTTCTGTAGAATCTGCAAGTGGATAATTGGACCGCCTTGAGGCCTTCGTTGGAAACGGGATTTCTTCATGTTACTCTAGACAGAAGAATTCTCAAACACTGCTATATGATGTTTGCATGCAAGTCACAGAGTGCAACATTCCTCTTGATAGAGCAGTTGGGAAACACTCCTTTTGTAGAATTTGCAATGGGATATTTGGACTTCTTTGAGGCCTTCGTTGGAAACGGGATTTCTTCGTATGAATCTAGACAGAAGAATTCTCAGAAACTTCCTTGTGATGTGTGCATTCAACTCAGCGAGTGGCACCTTCCTTTGGATACAGCAGTTTTGAAACACTGTTTTTGTAGTATTTCCAAGCGGATATTTAGAGCGCCTTGAAGCCTATGCTAGAAATGGAAATATCTCCCCATAAAACCAAGACAGAAGCAATCTCAGAAACTAATGTGTGATGGCTGCATTCCACACACACGGTGGACCATTTCTCTTGATAGAGCAGTTTTGAAACACTCTTTCTGTAGAATCTGCAAGTGGATAATTGGACCTCCTAGAGGCCTTCGTTGGAAACGGGATTTCTTCATCTAAACCTACAGAGAAGAATTCTCAGTAACTTCTTCGGATGTGTGCATTCGACTCACAGAATGGAACATTCCCTTTGGTAGAGCAGTTTTGAGACACCGTTTTTGTAGAATTCCCAAGTGGATATTTAGAGCACTTTGAAGTCTCTGCTAGAAAAGGAAACATCTTCATGTAAAAAGTAGATAGAATCGTTCTCAGAAAGTGCTTAGTGACGTGTGTGTTCAACTCACAGAGTTTAACGTTTCTTTTGATAGAGCGTTTCTGAAACACCCTTCTTGTAGTAGCTGCAAGTGGATATTTGGACCTATTTGAGGCCTTCTTTGGAAACGGGATTTCTTCATGTAACTCTAGTTTGAAGAATTTTCAGAAACTCCTTTGTGATGTGTGCATTCAATTCAAAGAGTGAAACGTCCCTTTTCACAGAGCAGTTTTGAAACACTGTTTTTGTAGGATTTCCAAGGGGATATTTATAGCGCATTGATACCTATGGCAGAAAAAGAAACATCTTCCTATAAAAACTAGACAGAGTAATTCTCAGAATCTGCTTTGCGATGTGTGCGTTCAACCCACAGAGTAAAACTTTTCTTTTGATAGAGCAGTTTTGAAACACTCTTTTTGTAGTATTTGCAAGTGTATATTTAGAGCGCATTGAAGCCCACAGTAGAAAAGGAAATAACTTCACCTAAAACCTAGACAGAAGCAATCTCAGAAACTACTTTGTGATGTGTACATTCAACTCACAGAGTGGAACTTTCCTCTTTATAGAGCAGTGTTGAAACACTCTTTTTGTAGAAACTGCAAGTGGATATTTGGACCTCTTTGAGGCCTTCGTTGGAAACGGGATTTCTTCCTATAACCCTAGACAGAAGAATTTTCAGAAACCTCATTGTGATGTGTGCGTTCATCTCACAGAGTGGAGTCTTCCGTTTGATAGAGAAGTTTTGAAACCCTGTTCTTCTAGGATTTCCAAGTGGATATTTAGACCACTTTGAAGCCTATGATAGAAAAGGAAACATCTTCATGGAAAACATAGATAGAATCATTGTCAGAAACAACTTTGTGATGTGTGCGTTGAACTCACCGTCTTTAACCTTTCTTTTGGTAGAGAAGTTTTGAAACACTCTCTTTGTAAAGTCTACAAGTGGATATTTTGAGCCCTTGGAGGCATTCTTTGGAAAAGGGAATGTCTTCACATGAAAGGCAGACAGAAGTGTTCTCAGAAACTGCTTTGTGATGTCTGTGTTCAACTCACAGAGTTTAACATTTCCTTTGAGAGAGCGGTTTAGTAACACTCTCTTTGTAGAATTTGGAAGTGTATACTAAGAGCGCTTTGAGGCCTATGGTAGAAAAGGAAATATCTTTCCATAAAAGCTAGACAGAAGCAATCTCAGAAACTCCTTTGTGATGTCTGCATTCAACTCACCGAGTGGAACATTCCTCTTGATAGAGCAGTTTGGAAACACTCTTTCTGTAGAATCAGCTTGTTTGTATTTGGACCTCCTTGAGGCCTTCGTTGGAAACGGGTTTTCATCTTATAAACCCAGACAGAAAGAATTCTCAGGTTCTTCTTTGTGATGTGTGCTTTCAACTCACCGAGATAAAGATTTCTCTTGATAGAGCAATTTGGAAACACTCTTTTTGTAGAATTTGCAAGGGTACATTGAGAGCGCTTTCAGGCCTATGGTAGAAAAGGGAATATCTTTCCATCAAAGGTAGACAGAGCAATCTCAGAAACTACTTTGTGATGTGTGCATTCAACTCACCGAGTGCAACATTCCTCTTGATAGAGCAGTTTGGAAACATTGTTTCTGTAGAATCTGCAAGTGGATATATGGACCGCTTTGAGGCCTTCGTTGGAAACGGGATTTCTTCCTATAAACCCAGACAGAAGAATTCTCAGAGACTTCTTTGTGATGTGTGAATTCAACTCACAGTGTGGATCCTTCCTTTTGATAGAGCAGTTTTGAAACACCGTTTTTGTAGTATTTCCAAGCGGATATTTGGAACGCCTTGAAGCGTATGGTAGAAAAGGAAATATCTTCCCATAAAACCTAGACAGAACCCATCTCAGAAACGACTTTGTGATGTCTGCATTCAACTCACAGAGTTGAACATTTCTCTTGATAGAGCAGTTTTGAAACCCTCTTTCTGAAGGATCTGCAAGTGGATATTTGGAACTCCTTTGGGTCTTCGTTGGAAACGGGATTTCTTCGTATAAATCCAGACAGAAGAATTCTCCGAAACTTCTTTGGTTGTGTGCATTCAAGTCACAGAGTGGAACCTTCCTTTGGATAGAGCAGTTTGAAACGCTGTGGTTGTAGTATTTCCAAGTGGATATTAGAGCGCCTTGAAGCCTATGGTAGAAAAGGAAATATCTTCCCATAAAACCTAGACGGAAGCAATCTCAGAAACTACTGTGTGATGGCTGCATTCCACACACACGGTGGAACATTTCTGTTGATAGAGCAGTTTTGAAACACTCTTTCTGTAGAATCTGCAAGTGGATAATTGGACCGCCTTGAGGCCTTCGTTGGAAACGGGATTTCTTCATGTTACTCTAGACAGAAGAATTCTCAAACACTGCTATGTGATGTTTGCATTCAAGTCACAGAGTGCAACATTCCTCTTGATAGAGCAGTTGGGAAACACTCCTTTAGTAGAATTTGCAATGGGATATTTGGACTTCTTTGAGGCCTTCGTTGGAAACGGGATTTCTTCGTATGAATCTAGACAGAAGAATTCTCAGAAACTTCCTTGTGATGTGTGCATTCAACTCAGCGAGTGGCACCTTCTTTTGGATACAGCAGTTTTGAAACACTGTTTTTGTAGTATTTCCAAGCGGATATTTAGAGCGCCTTGAAGCCTATGCTAGAAATGGAAATATCTCCCCATAAAACCAAGACAGAAGCAATCTCAGAAACTAATGTGTGATGGCTGCATTCCACACACACGGTGGACCATTTCTCTTGATAGAGCAGTTTTGAAACACTCTTTCTGTAGAATCTGCAAGTGGATAATTGGACCTCCTAGAGGCCTTCGTTGGAAACGGGATTTCTTCATCTAAACCTACAGAGAAGAATTCTCAGTAACTTCTTCGGATGTGTGCATTCGACTCACAGAATGGAACATTCCGTTTGATAGAGCAGTTTTGAGACACCGTTTTTGTAGAATTCCCAAGTGGATATTTAGAGCACTTTGAAGTCTCTGCTAGAAAAGGAAACATCTTCATGTAAAAAGTAGATAGAATCGTTCTCAGAAAGTGCTTAGTGACGTGTGTGTTCAACTCACAGAGTTTAACGTTTCTTTTGATAGAGCGTTTCTGAAACACCCTTCTTGTAGTAGCTGCAAGTGGATATTTGGACCTATTTGAGGCCTTCTTTGGAAACGGGATTTCTTCATGTAACTCTAGATTGAAGAATTTTCAGAAACTCCTTTGTGATGTGTGCATTCAATTCAAAGAGTGAAACCTCCCTTTTCACAGAGCAGTTTTGAAACACTGTTTTTGTAGGATTTCCAAGGGGATATTTATAGCGCATTGAGCCTATGGCAGAAAAAGAAACATCTTCCTATAAAAACTAGACAGAATAATTCTCAGAATCTGCTTTGCGATGTGTGCGTTCAACCCACAGAGTAAAACTTTTCTTTTGATAGAGCAGTTTTGAAACACTCTTTTTGTAGTATTTGCATGTGTATATTTAGAGCGCATTGAAGCCCACAGTAGAAAAGGAAATAACTTCACCTAAAACCTAGACAGAAGCAATCTCAGAAACTACTTTGTGATGTGTACATTCAACTCACAGAGTGGAACTTTCCTCTTTATAGAGCAGTGTTGAAACACTCTTTTTGTAGAAACTGCAAGTGGATATTTGGACCTCTTTGAGGCCTTCGTTGGAAAGGGGATTTCTTCCTATAACCCTAGACAGAAGAATTTTCAGAAACCTCATTGAGATGTGTGCGTTCATCTCACAGAGTGGAGTGTTCCGTTTGATAGAGAAGTTTTGAAACCCTGTTCTTGTAGGATTTCCAAGTGGATATTTAGACCACTTTGAAGCCTATGATAGAAAAGGAAACATCTTCATGGAAAACATAGATAGAATCATTCTCAGAAACAACTTTGTGATGTGTGCGTTGAACTCACCGTCTTTAACCTTTCTTTTGGTAGAGAAGTTTTGAAACACTCTCTTTGTAAAGTCTACAAGTGGATATTTTGAGCCCTTGGAGGCATTCTTTGGAAAAGGGAATGTCTTCACATAAAAGGCAGACAGAAGTGTTCTCAGAAACTGCTTTGTGATGTCTGTGTTCAACTCACAGAGTTTAACATTTCCTTTGAGAGAGCGGTTTAGTAACACTCTCTTTGTAGAATTTGGAAGTGTATACTAAGAGCGCTTTGAGGCCTATGGTAGAAAAGGAAATATCTTTCCATAAAAGCTAGACAGAAGCAATCTCAGAAACTCCTTTGTGATGTCTGCATTCAACTCACCGAGTGGAACATTCCTCTTGATAGAGCAGTTTGGAAACACTCTTTCTGTAGAATCAGCTTGTTTGTATTTGGACCTCCTTGAGGCCTTCGTTGGAAACGGGTTTTCATCTTATAAACCCAGACAGAAGAATTCTCAGAGTCTTCTTTGTGATGTGTGCTTTCAACTCACCGAGATAAAGATTTCTCTTGATAGAGCAATTTGGAAACACTCTTTTTGTAGAATTTGCAAGGGTACATTGAGAGCGCTTTCAGGCCTATGGTAGAAATGGTAGACAGAAGCAATCTCAGAAACTACTTTGTGATGTGTGCATTCAACTCACCGAGTGCAACATTCCTCTTGATAGAGCAGTTTGGAAACATTGTTTCTGTAGAATCTGCAAGTGGATATATGGACCGCTTTGAGGCCTTCGTTGGAAACGGGATTTCTTCCTATAAACCCAGACAGAAGAATTCTCAGAGATTTCTTTGTGATGTGTGAATTCAACTCACAGTGTGGATCCTTCCTTTTGATAGAGCAGTTTTGAAACACTGTTTTTGTAGTATTTCCAAGCGGATATTTGGAACGCCTTGAAGCGTATGGTAGAAAAGGAAATATCTTCCCATAAAACCT
This sequence comes from Homo sapiens, assembly GCF_000001405.40. Classification (NCBI taxonomy): domain Eukaryota; kingdom Metazoa; phylum Chordata; class Mammalia; order Primates; family Hominidae; genus Homo; species Homo sapiens. Next base: position 59,636,596 of record NC_000006.12, read on the forward strand.
AGACAGAACCAATCTCAGAAACGACTTTGTGATGTCTGCATTCAACTCACAGAGTTGAACATTTCTCTTGATAGAGCAGTTTTGAAACCCTCTTTCTGAAGGATCTGCAAGTGGATATTTGGAACTCCTTTGGGTCTTCGTTGGAAACGGGATTTCTTCGTATAAATCCAGACAGAAGAATTCTCCGAAACATCTTTGGTTGTGTGCATTCAACTCACAGAGTGGAACCTTCCTTTGGATAGAGCAGTTTGAAACGCTGTGGTTGTAGTATTTCCAAGCGGATATTAGAGCGCCTTGAGGCCTATGGTAGAAAAGGAAATATCTTCCCATAAAACCTAGACGGAAGCAATCTCAGAAACTACTGTGTGATGGCTGCATTCCACACACACGGTGGAACATTTCTCTTGATAGAGCAGTTTTGAAACACTCTTTCTGTAGAATCTGCAAGTGGATAATTGGACCGCCTTGAGGCCTTCGTTGGAAACGGGATTTCTTCATGTTACTCTAGACAGAAGAATTCTCAAACACTACTATGTGATGTTTGCATTCAAGTCACAGAGTGCCACATTCCTCTTGATAGAGCAGTTGGGAAACACTCCTTTTGTAGAATTTGCAATGGGATATTTGGACTTCTTTGAGGCCTTCGTTGGAAACGGGATTTCTTCGTATGAATCTAGACAGAAGAATTCTCAGAAACTTCCTTGTGATGTGTGCATTCAACTCAGCGAGTGGCACCTTCCTGTGGATACAGCAGTTTGGAAACACTGTTTTTGTAGTATTTCCAAGCGGATATTTAGAGTGCCTTGAAGCCTATGCTAGAAATGGAAATATCTCCCCATAAAACCAAGACAGAAGCAATCTCAGAAACTAATGTGTGATGGCTGCATTCCACACACACGGTGGACCATTTCTCTTGATAGAGCAGTTTTGAAACACTCTTTCTGTAGAATCTGCAAGTGAATAATTGGACCTCCTAGAGGCCTTCGTTGGAAACGGGATTTCATCATCTAAACCTACAGAGAAGAATTCTCAGTAACTTCTTCGGATGTGTGCATTCGACTCACAGAGTGGAACATTCCCTTCGATAGAGCAGTTTTGAGACACCGTTTTGGTAGAATTCCCAAGTGGATATTTAGAGCACTTTGAAGTCTCTGCTAGAAAAGGAAACATCTTCATGTAAAAAGTAGATAGAATCGTTCTCAGAAAGTGCTTAGTGACGTGTGCGTTCAACTCACAGAGTGTAACGTTTCTTTTGATAGAGCGTTTCTGAAACACCCTTCTTGTAGTAGCTGCAAGTGGATATTTGGACCTATTGGAGGCCTTCTTTGGAAACGGGATTTCTTCCTGTAACTCTAGATTGAAGAATTTTCAGAAACTCCTTTGTGATGTGTGCATTCAATTCAAAGAGTGAAACCTCCCTTTTCACAGAGCAGTTTTGAAACACTGTTTTTGTAGGATTTCCAAGGGGATATTTATAGCGCATTGAGCCTATGGCAGAAAAAGAAACATCTTCCTATAAAAACTAGACAGAATAATTCTCAGAATCTGCTTTGCGATGTGTGTGTTCAACCCACAGAGTAAAACTTTTCTTTGGATAGAGCAGTTTTGAAACACTCTTTTTGTAGTATTTGCATGTGTATATTTAGAGCGCATTGAAGCACACAGTAGAAAAGGAAATAACTTCACCTAAAACCTAGACAGAAGCAATCTCAGAAACTACTTTGTGATGTGTACATTCAACTCACAGAGTGGAACTTTTCTCTTTATAGAGCAGTGTTGAAACACTCTTTTTGTAGAAACTGCAAGTGGATATTTGGACCTCTTTGAGGCCTTCGTTGGAAACGGGATTTCTTCCTATAACCCTAGACAGAAGAATTTTCAGAAACCTCATTGTGATGTGTGCGTTCATCTCACAGAGTGGAGTCTTCCGTTTGATAGAGAAGTTTTGAAACCCTGTTCTTGTAGGATTTCCAAGTGGATATTTAGACCACTTTGAAGCCTATGATAGAAAAGGAAACATCTTCATGGAAAACATAGATAGAATCATTCTCAGAAACAACTTTGTGATGTGTGCGTTGAACTCACCGTCTTTAACCTTTCTTTTGGTAGAGAAGTTTTGAAACACTCTCTTTGTAAAGTCTACAAGTGGATATTTTGAGCCCTTGGAGGCATTCTTTGGAAAAGGGAATGTCTTCACATAAAAGGCAGACAGAAGTGTTCTCAGAAACTGCTTTGTGATGTCTGTGTTCAACTCACAGAGTTTAACATTTCCTTTGAGAGAGCGGTTTAGTAACACTCTCTTTGTAGAATTTGGAAGTGTATACTAAGAGCGCTTTGAGGCCTATGGTAGAAAAGGAAATATCTTTCCATAAAAGCTAGACAGAAGCAATCTCAGAAACTCCTTTGTGATGTCTGCATTCAACTCACCGAGTGGAACATTCCTCTTGATAGAGCAGTTTGGAAACACTCTTTCTGTAGAATCAGCTTGTTTGTATTTGGACCTCCTTGAGGCCTTCGTTGGAAACGGGTTTTCATCTTATAAACCCAGACAGAAGAATTCTCAGAGTCTTCTTTGTGATGTGTGCTTTCAACTCACCGAGATAAAGATTTCTCTTGATAGAGCAATTTGGAAACACTCTTTTTGTAGAATTTGCAAGGGTACATTGAGAGCGCTTTCAGGCCTATGGTAGAAAAGGGAATATCTTTCCATAAAAGGTAGACAGAAGCAATCTCAGAAACTACTTTGTGATGTGTGTATTCAACACACCGAGTGCAACATTCCTCTTGACCGAGCAGTTTGGAAACATTGTTTCTGTAGAATCTGCAAGTGGATATTTGGACCTCTTTGAGGCCTTCGTTGGAAACGGGATTTCTTCCTATAAACCCAGACAGAAGAATTCTCAGAGACTTCTTTGTGATGTGTGAATTCAACTCACAGTGTGGATCCTTCCTTTTGATAGAGCAGTTTTGAAACACTGTTTTTGTAGTATTTCCAAGCGGATATTTGGAACCCCTTGAAGCGTCTGGTAGAAAAGGAAATATCTTCCCATAAAACCTAGACAGAACCAATCTCAGAAACGACTTTGTGATGTCTGCATTCAACTCACAGAGTTGAACATTTCTCTTGATAGAGCAGTTTTGAAACCCTCTTTCTGAAGGATCTGCAAGTGGATATTTGGAACTCCTTTGGGTCTTCGTTGGAAACGGGATTTCTTCGTATAAATCTAGACAGAAGAATTCTCCGAAACTTCTTTGGTTGTGTGCATTCAAGTCACAGGGTGGAACCTTCCTTTGGGTAGAGCAGTTTGAAACGCTGTGGTTGTAGTATTTCCAAGCGGATATTAGAGCGCCTTGAGGCCTATGGTAGAAAAGGAAATATCTTCCCATAAAACCTAGACGGAAGCAATCTCAGAAACTACTGTGTGATGGCTGCATTCCACACACACGGTGGAACATTTCTCTTGATAGAGCAGTTTTGAAACACTCTTTCTGTAGAATCTGCAAGTGGATAATTGGACCGCCTTGAGGCCTTCGTTGGAAACGGGATTTCTTCATGTTACTCTAGATAGAAGAATTCTCAAACACTGCTATGTGATGTTTGCATTCAAGTCACAGAGTGCAACATTCCTCTTGATAGAGCAGTTGGGAAACACTCCTTTTGTAGAATTTGCAATGGGATATTTGGACTTCTTTGAGGCCTTCGTTGGAAACGGGATTTCTTCGTATGAATCTAGACAGAAGAATTCTCAGAAACTTCCTTGTGATGTGTGCATTCAACTCAGCGAGTGGCACCTTCCTTTGGATACAGCAGTTTTGAAACACTGTTTTTGTAGTATTTCCAAGCGGATATTTAGAGCGCCTTGAAGCCTATGCTAGAAATGGAAATATCTCCCCATAAAACCAAGACAGAAGCAATCTCAGAAACTAATGTGTGATGGCTGCATTCCACACACACGGTGGACCATTTCTCTTGATAGAGCAGTTTTGAAACACTCTTTCTGTAGAATCTGCAAGTGGATAATTGGACCTCCTAGAGGCCTTCGTAGGAAACGGGATTTCTTCATCTAAACCTACAGAGAAGAATTCTCAGTAACTTCTTCGGATGTGTGCATTCGACTCACAGAATGGAACATTCCGTTTGATAGAGCAGTTTTGCGACACCGTTTTTGTAGAATTCCCAAGTGGATATTTAGAGCACTTTGAAGTCTCTGTTAGAAAAGGAAACATCTTCATGTAAAAAGTAGATAGAATCGTTCTCAGAAAGTGCTTAGTGACGTGTGTGTTCAACTCACAGAGTTTAACGTTTCTTTTGATAGAGCGTTTCTGAAACACCCTTCTTGTAGTAGCTGCAAGTGGATATTTGGACCTATTTGAGGCCTTCTTTGGAAACGGGATTTCTTCATGTAACTCTAGATTGAAGAATTCTCAGAAACTCCTTTGTGATGTGTGCATTCAATTCAAAGAGTGAAACCTCCCTTTTCACAGAGCAGTTTGGAAACACTGTTTTTGTAGGATTTCCAAGGGGATATTTATAGCGCATTGAGCCCACGGCAGAAAAAGAAACACCTTCCTATAAAAACTAGACAGAATAATTCTCAGAATCTGCTTTGCGATGTGTGCGTTCAACCCACAGAGTAAAACTTTTCTTTTGATAGAGCAGTTTTGAAACACTCTTTTTGTAGTATTTGCATGTGTATATTTAGAGCGCATTGAAGCCCACAGTAGAAAAGGAAATAACTTCACCTAAAACCTAGACAGAAGCAATCTCAGAAACTACTTTGTGATGTGTACATTCAACTCACAGAGTGGAACTTTCCTCTTTATAGAGCAGTGTTGAAACACTCTTTTTGTAGAAACTGCAAGTGGATATTTGGACCTCTTTGAGGCCTTCGTTGGAAACGGGATTTCTTCCTATAACCCTAGACAGAAGAATTTTCAGAAACCTCATTGTGATGTGTGCGTTCATCTCACAGAGTGGAGTCTTCCGTTTGATAGAGAAGTTTTGAAACCCTGTTCTTGTAGGATTTCCAAGTGGATATTTAGACCACTTTGAAGCCTATGATAGAAAAGGAAACATCTTCATGGAAAACATAGATAGAATCATTCTCAGAAACAACTTTGTGATGTGTGCGTTGAACTCACCGTCTTTAACCTTTCTTTTGGTAGAGAAGTTTTGAAACACTCTCTTTGTAAAGTCTACGAGTGGATATTTTGAGCCCTTGGAGGCATTCTTTGGAAAAGGGAATGTCTTCACATAAAAGGCAGACAGAAGTGTTCTCAGAAACTGCTTTGTGATGTCTGTGTTCAACTCACAGAGTTTAACATTTCCTTTGAGAGAGCGGTTTAGTAACACTCTCTTTGTAGAATTTGGAAGTGTATACTAAGAGCGCTTTGAGGCCTATGGTAGAAAAGGAAATATCTTTCCATAAAAGCTAGACAGAAGCAATCCCAGAAACTCCTTTGTGATGTCTGCATTCAACTCACCGAGTGGAACATTCCTCTTGATAGAGCAGTTTGGAAACACTCTTTCTGTAGAATCAGCTTGTTTGTATTTGGACCTCCTTGAGGCCTTCGTTGGAAACGGGTTTTCATCTTATAAACCCAGACAGAAGAATTCTCAGAGTCTTCTTTGTGATGTGTGCTTTCAACTCACCGAGATAAAGATTTCTCTTGATAGAGCAATTTGGAAACACTCTTTTTGTAGAATTTGCAAGGGTACATTGAGAGCGCTTTCAGGCCTATGGTAGAAAAGGGAATATCTTTCCATAAAAGGTAGACAGAAGCAATCTCAGAAACTACTTTGTGATGTGTGCATTCAACTCACCGAGTGCAACATTCCTCTTGATAGAGCAGTTTGGAAACATTGTTTCTGTAGAATCTGCAAGTGGATATATGGACCGGCTTTGAGGCCTTCGTTGGAAACGGGATTTCTTCCTATAAACCCAGACAGAAGAATTCTCAGAGATTTCTTTGTGATGTGTGAATTCAACTCACAGTGTGGATCCTTCCTTTTGATAGAGCAGTTTTGAAACACCGTTTTTGTAGTATTTCCAAGCGGATATTTGGAACGCCTTGAAGCGTATGGTAGAAAAAGAAATATCTTCCCATAAAACCTAGACAGAACCCATCTCAGAAACGACTTTGTGATGTCTGCATTCAACTCACAGAGTTGAACATTTCTCTTGATAGAGCAGTTTTGAAACCCTCTTTCTGAAGGATCTGCAAGTGGATATTTGGAACTCCTTTGGGTCTTCGTTGGAAACGGGATTTCTTCGTATAAATCCAGACAGAAGAATTCTCCGAAACTTCTTTGGTTGTGTGCATTCAAGTCACAGAGTGGAACCTTCCTTTGGATAGAGCAGTTTGAAACACTGTGGTTGTAGTATTTCCAAGCGGATATTAGAGCGCCTTGAAGCCTATGGTAGAAAAGGAAATATCTTCCCATAAAACCTAGACGGAAGCAATCTCAGAAACTACTGTGTGATGGCTGCATTCCACACACACGGTGGAACATTTCTCTTGATAGAGCAGTTTTGAAACACTCTTTCTGTAGAATCTGCAAGTGGATAATTGGACCGCCTTGAGGCCTTCGTTGGAAACGGGATTTCTTCATGTTACTCTAGACAGAAGAATTCTCAAACACTGCTATGTGATGTTTGCATGCAAGTCACAGAGTGCAACATTCCTCTTGATAGAGCAGTTGGGAAACACTCCTTTTGTAGAATTTGCAATGGGATATTTGGACTTCTTTGAGGCCTTCGTTGGAAACGGGATTTCTTCATATGAATCTAGACAGAAGAATTCTCAGAAACTTCCTTGTGATGTGTGCATTCAACTCAGCGAGTGGCACCTTCCTGTGGATACAGCAGTTTTGAAACACTGTTTTTGTAGTATTTCCAAGTGGATATTTAGAGCGCCTTGAAGCCTATGCTAGAAATGGAAATATCTCCCCATAAAACCAAGACAGAAGCCATCTCAGAAACTAATGTGTGATGGCTGCATTCCACACACACGGTGGACCATTTCTCTTGATAGAGCAGTTTTGAAACACTCTTTCTGTAGAATCTGCAAGTGGATAATTGGACCTCCTAGAGGCCTTCGTTGGAAACGGGATTTCTTCATCTAAACTTACAGAGAAGAATTCTCAGTAACTTCTTCGGATGTGTGCATTCGACTCACAGAATGGAACATTCCCTTTGATAGAGCAGTTTTGAGACACCGTTTTTGTAGAATTCCCAAGTGGATATTTAGAGCACTTTGAAGTCTCTGCTAGAAAAGGAAACATCTTCATGAAAAAAGTAGATAGAATCGTTCTCAGAAAGTGCTTAGTGACGTGTGTGTTCAACTCACAGAGTTTAACGTTTCTTTTGATAGAGCGTTTCTGAAACACCCTGCTTGTAGTAGCTGCAAGTGGATATTTGGACCTATTTGAGGCCTTCTTTGGAAACGGGATTTCTTCATGTAACTCTAGATTGAAGAATTTTCAGAAACTCCTTTGTGATGTGTGCATTCAATTCAAAGAGTGAAACCTCCCTTTTCACAGAGCAGTTTTGAAACACTGTTTTTGTAGGACTTCCAAGGGGATATTTATAGCGCATTGATCCTATGGCAGAAAAAGAAACATCTTCCTATAAAAACTAGACAGAATAATTCTCAGAATCTGCTTTGCGATGTGTGCGTTCAACTCACAGAGTAAAACTTTTCTTTTGATAGAGCAGTTTTGAAACACTTTTTGTAGTATTTGCATGTGTATATTTAGAGCGCATTGAAGCCCACAGTAGAAAAGGAAATAACTTCACCTAAAACCTAGACAGAAGCAATCTCAGAAACTACTTTGTGATGTGTACATTCAACTCACAGAGTGGAACTTTTCTCTTTATAGAGCAGTGTTGAAACACTCTTTTTGTAGAAACTGCAAGTGGATATTTGGACCTCTTTGAGGCCTTCGTTGGAAACGGGATTTCTTCCTATAACCCTAGACAGAAGAATTTTCAGAAACCTCATTGTGATGTGTGCGTTCATCTCACAGAGTGGAGTCTTCCGTTTGATAGAGAAGTTTTGAAACCCTGTTCTTGTAGGATTTCCAAGTGGATATTTAGACCACTTTGAAGCCTATGATAGAAAAGGAAACATCTTCATGGAAAACATAGATAGAATCATTCTCAGAAACAACTTTGTGATGTGTGCGTTGAACTCACCGTCTTTAACCTTTCTTTTGGTAGAGAAGTTTTGAAACACTCTCTTTGTAAAGTCTACAAGTGGATATTTTGAGCCCTTGGAGGCATTCTTTGGAAAAGGGAATGTCTTCACATAAAAGGCAGACAGAAGTGTTCTCAGAAACTGCTTTGTGATGTCTGTGTTCAACTCACAGAGTTTAACATTTCCTTTGAGAGAGCGGTTTAGTAACACTCTCTTTGTAGAATTTGGAAGTGTATACTAAGAGCGCTTTGAGGCCTATGGTAGAAAAGGAAATATCTTTCCATAAAAGCTAGACAGAAGCAATCTCAGAAACTCCTTTGTGATGTCTGCATTCAACTCACCGAGTGGAACATTCCTCTTGATAGAGCAGTTTGGAAACACTCTTTCTGTAGAATCAGCTTGTTTGTATTTGGACCTCCTTGAGGCCTTCGTTGGAAACGGGTTTTCATCTTATAAACCCAGACAGAAGAATTCTCAGAGTCTTCTTTGTGATGTGTGCTTTCAACTCACCGAGATAAAGATTTCTCTTGATAGAGCAATTTGGAAACACTCTTTTTGTAGAATTTGCAAGGGTACATTGAGAGCGCTTTCAGGCCTATGGTAGAAAAGGGAATATCTTTCCATAAAAGGTAGACAGAAGCAATCTCAGAAACTACTTTGTGATGTGTGCATTCAACTCACCGAGTGCAACATTCCTCTTGATAGAGCAGTTTGGAAACATTGTTTCTGTAGAATCTGCAAGTGGATATATGGACCGGCTTTGAGGCCTTCGTTGGAAACGGGATTTCTTCCTATAAACCCAGACAGAAGAATTCTCAGAGATTTCTTTGTGATGTGTGAATTCAACTCACAGTGTGGATCCTTCCTTTTGATAGAGCAGTTTTGAAACACCGTTTTTGTAGTATTTCCAAGCGGATATTTGGAACGCCTTGAAGCGTATGGTAGAAAAGGAAATATCTTCCCATAAAACCTAGACAGAACCAATCTCAGAAACGACTTTGTGATGTCTGCATTCAACTCACAGAGTTGAACATTTCTCTTGATAGAGCAGTTTTGAAACCCTCTTTCTGAAGGATCTGCAAGTGGATATTTGGAACTCCTTTGGGTCTTCGTTGGAAACGGGATTTCTTCGTATAAATCTAGACAGAAGAATTCTCCGAAACTTCTTTGGTTGTGTGCATTCAAGTCACAGGAGTGGAACCTTCCTTTGGATAGAGCAGTTTGAAACGCTGTGGTTGTAGTATTTCCAAGCGGATATTAGATCGCCTTGAAGCCTATGGTAGAAAAGGAAATATCTTCCCATAAAACCTAGACGGAAGCAATCTCAGAAACTACTGTGTGATGGCTGCATTCCATACACACGGTGGAACATTTCTCTTGATAGAGCAGTTTTGAAACACTCTTTCTGTAGAATCTGCAAGTGGATAATTGGACCGCCTTGAGGCCTTCGTTGGAAACGGGATTTCTTCATGTTACTCTAGACAGAAGAATTCTCAAACACTGCTATGTGATGTTTGCATTCAAGTCACAGAGTGCAACATTCCTCTTGATAGAGCAGTTGGGAAACACTCCTTTTGTAGAATTTGCAATGGGATATTTGGACTTCTTTGAGGCCTTCGTTGGAAACGGGATTTCTTCGTATGAATCTAGACAGAAGAATTCTCAGAAACTTCCTTGTGATGTGTGCATTCAACTCAGCGAGTGGCACCTTCCTTTGGATACAGCAGTTTTGAAACACTGTTTTTGTAGTATTTCCAAGCGGATATTTAGAGCGCCTTGAAGCCTATGCTAGAAATGGAAATATCTCCCCATAAAACCAAGACAGAAGCAATCTCAGAAACTAATGTGTGATGGCTGCATTCCACACACACGGTGGACCATTTCTCTTGATAGAGCAGTTTTGAAACACTCTTTCTGTAGAATCTGCAAGTGGATAATTGGACCTCCTAGAGGCCTTCGTTGGAAACGGGATTTCTTCATCTAAACCTACAGAGAAGAATTCTCAGTAACTTCTTCGGATGTGTGCATTCGACTCACAGAATGGAACATTCCCTTTGATAGAGCAGTTTTGAGACACCGTTTTTGTAGAATTCCCAAGTGGATATTTAGAGCACTTTGAAGTCTCTGCTAGAAAAGGAAACATCTTCATGTAAAAAGTAGATAGAATCGTTCTCAGAAAGTGCTTAGTGACGTGTGTGTTCAACTCACAGAGTTTAACGTTTCTTTTGATAGAGCGTTTCTGAAACACCCTTCTTGTAGTAACTGCAAGTGGATATTTGGACCTATTTGAGGCCTTCTTTGGAAACGGGATTTCTTCATGTAACTCTAGATTGAAGAATTTTCAGAAACTCCTTTGTGATGTGTGCATTCAATTCAAAGAGTGAAACCTCCCTTTTCACAGAGCAGTTTTGAAACACTGTTTTTGTAGGATTTCCAAGGGGATATTTATAGCGCATTGAGCCTATGGCAGAAAAAGAAACATCTTCCTATAAAAACTAGACAGAATAATTCTCAGAATCTGCTTTGCGATGTGTGCGTTCAACCCACAGAGTAAAACTTTTCTTTTCATAGAGCAGTTTTGAAACACTCTTTTTGTAGTATTTGCATGTGTATATTTAGAGCGCATTGAAGCCCACAGTAGAAAAGGAAATAACTTCACCTAAAACCTAGACAGAAGCAATCTCAGAAACTACTTTCTGATGTGTACATTCAACTCACAGAGTGGAACTTTCCTCTTTATAGAGCAGTGTTGAAACACTCTTTTTGTAGAAACTGCAAGTGGATATTTGGACCTCTTTGAGGCCTTCGTTGGAAACGGGATTTCTTCCTATAACCCTAGACAGAAGAATTTTCAGAAACCTCATTGTGATGTGTGCGTTCATCTCACAGAGTGGAGTCTTCCGTTTGATAGAGAAGTTTTGAAACCCTGTTCTTGTAGGATTTCCAAGTGGATATTTAGACCACTTTGAAGCCTATGATAGAAAAGGAAACATCTTCATGGAAAACATAGATAGAATCATTCTCAGAAACAACTTTGTGATGTGTGCGTTGAACTCACCGTCTTTAACCTTTCTTTTGGTAGAGAAGTTTTGAAACACTCTCTTTGTAAAGTCTACAAGTGGATATTTTGAGCCCTTGGAGGCATTCTTTGGAAAAGGGAATGTCTTCACATAAAAGGCAGACAGAAAGTGTTCTCAGAAACTGCTTTGTGATGTCTGTGTTCAACTCACAGAGTTTAACATTTCCTTTGAGAGAGCGGTTTAGTAACACTCTCTTTGTAGAATTTGGAAGTGTATACTAAGAGCGCTTTGAGGCCTATGGTAGAAAAGGAAATATCTTTCCATAAAAGCTAGACAGAAGCAATCTCAGAAACTCCTTTGTGATGTCTGCATTCAACTCACCGAGTGGAACATTCCTCTTGATAGAGCAGTTTGGAAACACTCTTTCTGTAGAATCAGCTTGTTTGTATTTGGACCTCCTTGAGGCCTTCGTTGGAAACGGGTTTTCATCTTATAAACCCAGGCAGAAGAATTCTCAGAGTCTTCTTTGTGATGTGTGCTTTCAACTCACCGAGATAAAGATTTCTCTTGATAGAGCAATTTGGAAACACTCTTTTTGTAGAATTTGCAAGGGTACATTGAGAGCGCTTTCAGGCCTATGGTAGAAAAGGGAATATCTTTCCATAAAAGGTAGACAGAAGCAATCTCAGAAACTACTTTGTGATGTGTGCATTCAACTCACCAAGTGCAACATTCCTCTTGACCGAGCAGTTTGGAAACATTGTTTCTGTAGAATCTGCAAGTGGATATATGGACCGCTTTGAGGCCTTCGTTGGAAACGGGATTTCTTCCTATAAACCCAGACAGAAGAATTCTCAGAGATTTCTTTGTGATGTGTGAATTCAACTCACAGTGTGGATCCCTCCTTTTGATAGAGCAGTTTTGAAACACCGTTTTTGTAGTATTTCCAAGCGGATATTTGGAACGCCTTGAAGCGTATGGTAGAAAAGGAAATATCTTCCCATAAAACCTAGACAGAACCAATCTCAGAAACGACTTTGTGATGTCTGCATTCAACTCACAGAGTTGAACATTTCTCTTGATAGAGCAGTTTTGAAACCCTCTTTCTGAAGGATCTGCAAGTGGATATTTGGAACTCCTTTGGGTCTTCGTTGGAAACGGGATTTCTTCGTATAAATCTAGACAGAAGAATTCTCCGAAACTTCTTTGGTTGTGTGCATTCAAGTCACAGAGTGGAACCTTCCTTTGGATAGAGCAGTTTGAAACGCTGTGGTTGTAGTATTTCCAAGCGGATATTAGAGCGCCTTGAGGCCTATGGTAGAAAAGGAAATATCTTCCCATAAAACCTAGACGGAAGCAATCTCAGAAACTACTTTGTGATGGCTGCATTCCACACACACGGTGGAACATTTCTCTTGATAGAGCAGTTTTGAAACACTCTTTCTGTAGAATCTGCAAGTGGATAATTGGACCGCCTTGAGGCCTTCGTTGGAAACGGGATTTCTTCATGTTACTCTAGATAGAAGAATTCTCAAACACTACTATGTGATGTTTGCATTCAAGTCACAGAGTGCAACATTCCTCTTGATAGAGCAGTTGGGAAACACTCCTTTTGTAGAATGTGCAATGGGATATTTGGACTTCTTTGAGGCCTTCGTTGGAAACGGGGTTTCTTCGTATGAATCTAGACAGAAGAATTCTCAGAAACTTCCTTGTGATGTGTGCATTCAACTCAGCGAGTGGCACCTTCCTTTGGATACAGCAGTTTTGAAACACTGTTTTTGTAGTATTTCCAAGCGGATATTTAGAGCGCCTTGAAGCCTACGCTAGAAATGGAAATATCTCCACATAAAACCAAGATAGAAGCAATCTCAGAAACTAATGTGTGATGGCTGCATTCCACACACACGGTGGACCATTTCTCTTGATAGAGCAGTTTTGAAACACTCTTTCTGTAGAATCTGCAAGTGGATAATTGGACCTCCTAGAGGTCTTCGTTGGAAACGGGATTTCTTCATCTAAACCTACAGAGAAGAATTCTCAGTAACTTCTTCGGATGTGTGCATTCGACTCACAGAATGGAACATTCCCTTTGACAGAGCAGTTTTGAGCCACCGTTTTTGTAGAATTCCCAAGTGGATATTTAGAGCACTTTGAAGTCTCTGCTAGAAAAGGAAACATCTTCATGTAAAAAGTAGATGGAATCGTTCTCAGAAAGTGCTTAGTGACGTGTGCATTTAACTCACAGAGTGTAACGTTTCTTTTGATAGAGCGTTTCTGAAACACCCTTCTTGTAGTAGCTGCAAGTGGATATTTGGACCTATTTGAGGCCTTCTTTGGAAACGGGATTTCTTCATGTAACTCTAGATTGAAGAATTCTCAGAAACTCCTTTGTGATGTGTGCATTCAATTCAAAGAGTGAAACCTCCCTTTTCACAGAGCAATTTTGAAACACTGTTTTTGTAGGATTTCCAAGGGTATATTTATAGCGCATTGAGCCTACGGCAGAAAAAGAAACATCTTCCTATAAAAACTAGACAGAATGATTCTCAGAATCTGCTTTGCGATGTGTGCGTTCAACCCACAGAGTAAAACTTTTCTTTTGATAGAGCAGTTTTGAAACACTCTTTTTGTAGTATTTGCATGTGTATATTTAGAGCGCATTGAAGCCCACAGTAGAAAAGGAAATAACTTCACCTAAAACCTAGACAGAAGCAATCTCAGAAACTATTTTGTGATGTGTACATTCAACTCACAGAGTGGAACTTTCCTCTTTATAGAGCAGTGTTGAAACACTCTTTTTGTAGAAACTGCAAGTGGATATTTGGACCTCTTTGAGGCCTTCGTTGGAAACGGGATTTCTTCCTATAACCCTAGACAGAAGAATTTTCAGAAACCTCATTGTGATGTGTGCGTTCATCTCACAGAGTGGAGTCTTCCGTTTGATAGAGAAGTTTTGAAACCCTGTTCTTGTAGGATTTCCAAGTGGATATTTAGACCACTTTGAAGCCTATGATAGAAAAGGAAACATCTTCATGGAAAACATAGATAGAATCATTCTCAGAAACAACTTTGTGATGTGTGCGTTGAACTCACCGTCTTTAACCTTTCTTTTGGTAGAGAAGTTTTGAAACACTCTCTTTGTAAAGTCTACAAGTGGATATTTTGAGCCCTTGGAGGCATTCTTTGGAAAAGGGAATGTCTTCACATAAAAGGCAGACAGAAGTGTTCTCAGAAACTGCTTTGTGATGTCTGTGTTCAACTCACAGAGTTTAACATTTCCTTTGAGAGAGCGGTTTAGTAACACTCTCTTTGTAGAATTTGGAAGTGTATACTAAGAGCGCTTTGAGGCCTATGGTAGAAAAGGAAATATCTTTCCATAAAAGCTAGACAGAAGCAATCTCAGAAACTCCTTTGTGATGTCTGCATTCAACTCACCGAGTGGAACATTCCTCTTGATAGAGCAGTTTGGAAACACTCTTTCTGTAGAATCAGCTTGTTTGTATTTGGACCTCCTTGAGGCCTTCGTTGGAAACGGGTTTTCATCTTATAAACCCAGACAGAAGAATTCTCAGAGTCTTCTTTGTGATGTGTGCTTTCAACTCACCGAGATAAAGATTTCTCTTGATAGAGCAATTTGGAAACACTCTTTTTGTAGAATTTGCAAGGGTACATTGAGAGCGCTTTCAGGCCTATGGTAGAAAAGGGAATATCTTTCCATCAAAGGTAGACAGAAGCAATCTCAGAAACTACTTTGTGATGTGTGCATTCAACTCACCGAGTGCAACATTCCTCTTGACCGAGCAGTTTGGAAACATTGTTTCTGTAGAATCTGCAAGTGGATATTTGGACCTCTTTGAGGCCTTCGTTGGAAACGGGATTTCTTCCTATAAACCCAGACAGAAGAATTCTCAGAGACTTCTTTCTGATGTGTGAATTCAACTCACAGTGTGGATCCTTCCTTTTGATAGAGCAGTTTTGAAACACTGTTTTTGTAGTATTTCCAAGCGGATATTTGGAACGCCTTGAAGCGTATGGTAGAAAAGGAAATATCTTCCCATAAAACCTAGACAGAACCAATCTCAGAAACGACTTTGTGATGTCTGCATTCAACTCACAGAGTTGAACATTTCTCTTGATAGAGCAGTTTTGAAACCCTCTTTCTGAAGGATCTGCAAGTGGATATTTGGAACTCCTTTGGGTCTTCGTTGGAAACGGGATTTCTTCGTATAAATCCAGACAGAAGAATTCTCCGAAACTTCTTTTGTTGTGTGCATTCAAGTCACAGGGTGGAACCTTCCTTTGGGTAGAGCAGATTGAAACGCTGTGGTTGTAGTATTTCCAAGCGGATATTAGAGCGCCTTGAGGCCTATGGTAGAAAAGGAAATATCTTCCCATAAAACCTAGACGGAAGCAATCTCAGAAACTACTTTGTGATGGCTGCATTCCACACACACGGTGGAACATTTCTCTTGATAGAGCAGTTTTGAAACACTCTTTCTGTAGAATCTGCAAGTGGATAATTGGACCGCCTTGAGGCCTTCGTTGGAAACGGGATTTCTTCATGTTACTCTAGATAGAAGAATTCTCAAACACTACTATGTGATGTTTGCATTCAAGTCACAGAGTGCAACATTCCTCTTGATAGGGCAGTTGGCAAAGACTCCTTTGTAGAATTTGCAATGGGATATTTGGACTTTTTCGAGGCCTTCGTTGGAAACGGGATTTCTTCGTATAAATCTAGACAGAAGAATTCTCAGAAACTTCTTTGTGATGTGTGCATTCAACTCAGCGAGTGGCACCTTCCTTTGGATACAGCAGTTTTGAAACACTGTTTTTGTAGTATTTCCAAGCGGATATTTAGAGCGCCTTCAAGCCTACGCTAGAAATGGTAATATCTCCCCATAAAACCAAGACAGAAGCAATCTCAGAAACTAATGTGTGATGGCTGCATTCCACACACACGGTGGACCATTTCTCTTGATAGAGCAGTTTTGAAACACTCTTTCTGTAGAATCTGCAAGTGGATAATTGGACCTCCTAGAGGCCTTCGTTGGAAACGGGATTTCGTCATCTAAACCTACAGAGAAGAATTCTCAGTAACTTCTTCAGATGTGTGCATTCGACTCACAGAGTGGAACATTCCCTTCGATAGAGCAGTTTTGAGACACCGTTTTGGTAGAATTCC
The DNA here is from genome assembly GCF_000001405.40 of Homo sapiens. Lineage (NCBI taxonomy): Eukaryota > Metazoa > Chordata > Mammalia > Primates > Hominidae > Homo > Homo sapiens. The sequence continues at coordinate 59,653,003 of NC_000006.12, forward strand.
CAAGCGGATATTTAGAGCACTTTGAAGTCTCTGCTAGAAAAGGAAACATCTTCATGTAAAAAGTAGATAGAATCGTTCTCAGAAAGTGCTTAGTGACGTGTGCGTTCAACTCACAGAGTGTAACGTTTCTTTTGATGGAGCGTTTCTGAAACACCCTTCTTGTAGTAGCTGCAAGTGGATATTTGGACCTATTGGAGGCCTTCTTTGGAAACGGGATTTCTTCATGTAACTCTAGATTGAAGAATTCTCAGAAACTCCTTTGTGATGTGTGCATTCAATTCAAAGAGTGAAACCTCAATTTTCACAGAGCAGTTTGGAAACACTGTTTTTGTAGGATTTCCAAGGGGATATTTATAGCGCATTGAGCCTACGGCACAAAAAGAAACACCTTCCTATAAAAACTAGACAGAATAATTCTCAGAATCTGCTTTGCCATGTGTGCGTTCAACTCACAGAGTAAAACTTTTCTTTTGATAGAGCAGTTTTGAAACACTCTTTTTGTAGTATTTGCATGTGTATATTTAGAGCGCATTGAAGCCCACAGTAGAAAAGGAAATAACTTCACCTAAAACCTAGACAGAAGCAATCTCAGAAACTACTTTGTGATGTGTACATTCAACTCACAGAGTGGAACTTTCCTCTTTATAGAGCAGTGTTGAAACACTCTTTTTGTAGAAACTGCAAGTGGATATGTGGACCTCTTTGAGGTCCTCGTTGGAAACGGGATTTCTTCCTATAACCCTAGACAGAAGAATTTTCAGAAACCTCATTGTGATGTGTGCGTTCATCTCACAGAGTGGAGTCTTCCGTTTGATAGAGAAGTTTTGAAACCCTGTTCTTGTAGGATTTCCAAGTGGATATTTAGACCACTTTGAAGCCTATGATAGAAAAGGAAACATCTTCATGGAAAACATAGATAGAATCATTCTCAGAAACAACTTTGTGATGTGTGCGTTGAACTCACAGTCTTTAACCTTTCTTTTGGTAGAGAAGTTTTGAAACACTCTCTTTGTAAAGTCTACAAGTGGATATTTTGGGCCCTTGGAGGCATTCTTTGGAAAAGGGAATGTCTTCACATAAAAGGCAGACAGAAGTGTTCTCAGAAACTGCTTTGTGATGTCTGTGTTCAACTCACAGAGTTTAACATTTCCTTTGAGAGAGCGGTTTAGTAACACTCTCTTTGTAGAATTTGGAAGTGTATACTAAGAGCGCTTTGAGGCCTATGGTAGAAAAGGAAATATCTTTCCATAAAAGCTAGACAGAAGCAATCTCAGAAACTCCTTTGTGATGTCTGCATTCAACTCACCGAGTGGAACATTCCTCTTGATAGAGCAGTTTGGAAACACTCTTTCTGTAGAATCAGCTTGTTTGTATTTGGACCTCCTTGAGGCCTTCGTTGGAAACGGGTTTTCATCTTATAAACCCAGACAGAAGAATTCTCAGAGTCTTCTTTGTGATGTGTGCTTTCAACTCACCGAGATAAAGATTTCTCTTGATAGAGCAATTTGGAAACACTCTTTTTGTAGAATTTGCAAGGGTACATTGAGAGCGCTTTCAGGCCTATGGTAGAAAAGGGAATATCTTTCCATAAAAGGTAGACAGAAGCAATCTCAGAAACTACTTTGTGATGTGTGCATTCAACTCACCGAGTGCAACATTCCTCTTGATAGAGCAGTTTGGAAACATTGTTTCTGTAGAATCTGCAAGTGGATATATGGACCGCTTTGAGGCCTTCGTTGGAAACGGGATTTCTTACTATAAACCCAGACAGAAGAATTCTCAGAGATTTCTTTGTGATGTGTGAATTCAACTCACAGTGTGGATCCTTCCTTTTGATAGAGCAGTTTTGAAACACTGTTTTTGTAGTATTTCCAAGCGGATATTTGGAACGCCTTGAAGCGTATGGTAGAAAAGGAAATATCTTCCCATAAAACCTAGACAGAACCCATCTCAGAAACGACTTTGTGATGTCTGCATTCAACTCACAGAGTTGAACATTTCTCTTGATAGAGCAGTTTTGAAACCCTCTTTCTGAAGGATCTGCAAGTGGATATTTGGAACTCCTTTGGGTCTTCGTTGGAAACGGGATTTCTTCGTATAAATCCAGACAGAAGAATTCTCCGAAACTTCTTTGGTTGTGTGCATTCAAGTCACAGAGTGGAACCTTCCTTTGGATAGAGCAGTTTGAAACGCTGTGGTTGTAGTATTTCCAAGCGGATATTAGAGCGCCTTGAGGCCTATGGTAGAAAAGGAAATATCTTCCCATAAAACCTAGACGGAAGCAATCTCAGAAACTACTGTGTGATGGCTGCATTCCACACACACGGTGGAACATTACTCTTGATAGAGCAGTTTTGAAACACTCTTTCTGTAGAATCTGCAAGTGGATAATTGGACCGCCTTGAGGCCTTCGTTGGAAACGGGATTTCTTCATGTTACTCTAGATAGAAGAATTCTCAAACACTACTATGTGATGTTTGCATTCAAGTCACAGAGTGCAACATTCCTCTTGATAGAGCAGTTGGGAAACACTCCTTTTGTAGAATGTGCAATGGGATATTTGGACTTCTTTGAGGCCTTCGTTGGAAACGGGATTTCTTCGTATGAATCTAGACAGAAGAATTCTCAGAAACTTCCTTGTGATGTGTGCATTCAACTCAGCGAGTGGCACCTTCCTTTGGATACAGCAGTTTTGAAACACTGTTTTTGTAGTATTTCCAAGCGGATATTTAGAGCGCCTTGAAGCCTATGCTAGAAATGGAAATATCTCCCCATAAAACCAAGACAGAAGCAATCTCAGAAACTAATGTGTGATGGCTGCATTCCACACACACGGTGGACCATTTCTCTGGATAGAGCAGTTTTGAAACACTCTTTCTGTAGAATCTGCAAGTGGATAATTGGACCTCCTAGAGGCCTTCGTTGGAAACGGGATTTCTTCATCTAAACCTACAGAGAAGAATTCTCAGTAACTTCTTCGGATGTGTGCATTCGACTCACAGAATGGAACATTCCCTTTGATAGAGCAGTTTTGAGACACCGTTTTTGTAGAATTCCCAAGTGGATATTTAGAGCACTTTGAAGTCTCTGCTAGAAAAGGAAACATCTTCATGTAAAAAGTAGATAGAATCGTTCTCAGAAAGTGCTTAGTGACGTGTGTGTTCAACTCACAGAGTTTAACGTTTCTTTTGATAGAGCGTTTCTGAAACACCCTTCTTGTAGTAGCTGCAAGTGGATATTTGGACCTATTTGAGGCCTTCTTTGGAAACGGGATTTCTTCATGTAACTCTAGTTTGAAGAATTTTCAGAACCTCCTTTGTGATGTGTGCATTCAATTCAAAGAGTGAAACGTCCCTTTTCATAGAGCAGTTTTGAAACACTGTTTTTGTAGGATTTTCAAGGGGATATTTATAGCGCATTGAGCCTACGGCAGAAAAAGAAACATCTTCCTATAAAAACTAGACAGAATAATTCTCAGAATCTGCTTTGCGATGTGTGCGTTCAACTCACAGAGTAAAACTTTTCTTTTGATAGAGCAGTTTTGAAACACTCTTTTTGTAGTATTTGCATGTGTATATTTAGAGCGCATTGAAGCCCACAGTAGAAAAGGAAATAACTTCACCTAAAACCTAGACAGAAGCAATCTCAGAAACTACTTTGTGATGTGTACATTCAACTCACAGAGTGGAACTTTCCTCTTTATAGAGCAGTGTTGAAACACTCTTTTTGTAGAAACTGCAAGTGGATATTTGGACCTCTTTGAGGCCTTCGTTGGAAACGGGATTTCTTCCTATAACCCTAGACAGAAGAATTTTCAGAAACCTCATTGTGATGTGTGCGTTCATCTCACAGAGTGGAGTCTTCCGTTTGATAGAGAAGTTTTGAAACCCTGTTCTTGTAGGATTTCCAAGTGGATATTTAGACCACTTTGAAGCCTATGATAGAAAAGGAAACATCTTCATGGAAAACATAGATAGAATCATTGTCAGAAACAACTTTGTGATGTGTGCGTTGAACTCACCGTCTTTAACCTTTCTTTTGGTAGAGAAGTTTTGAAACACTCTCTTTGTAAAGTCTACAAGTGGATATTTTGAGCCCTTGGAGGCATTCTTTGGAAAAGGGAATGTCTTCACATAAAAGGCAGACAGAAGTGTTCTCAGAAACTGCTTTGTGATGTCTGTGTTCAACTCACAGAGTTTAACATTTCCTTTCAGAGAGCGGTTTAGTAACACTCTCTTTGTAGAATTTGGAAGTGTATACTAAGAGCGCTTTGAGGCCTATGGTAGAAAAGGAAATATCTTTCCACAAAAGCTAGACAGAAGCAATCTCAGAAACTCCTTTGTGATGTCTGCATTCAACTCACCGAGTGGAACATTCCTCTTGATAGTGCAGTTTGGAAACACTCTTTCTGTAGAATCAGCTTGTTTGTATTTGGACCTCCTTGAGGCCTTCGTTGGAAACTGGGTTTTCATCTTATAAACCCAGACAGAAGAATTCTCAGAGTCTTCTTTGTGATGTGTGCTTTCAACTCACCGAGATAAAGATTTCTCTTGATAGAGCAATTTGGAAACACTCTTTTTGTAGAATTTGCAAGGGTACATTGAGAGCGCTTTCAGGCCTATGGTAGAAAAGGGAATATCTTTCCATAAAAGGTAGACAGAAGCAATCTCAGAAACTACTTTGTGATGTGTGCATTCAACTCACCGAGTGCAACATTCCTCTTGACCGAGCAGTTTGGAAACATTGTTTCTGTAGAATCTGCAAGTGGATATATGGACCTCTTTGAGGCCTTCGTTGGAAACGGGATTTCTTCCTATAAACCCAGACAGAAAGAATTCTCAGTAGACTTCTTTGTGATGTGTGAATTCAACTCACAGTGTGGATCCTTCCTTTTGATAGAGCAGTTTTGAAACACTGTTTTTGTAGTATTTCCAAGCGGATATTTGGAACGCCTTGAAGCGTATGGTAGAAAAGGAAATATCTTCCCATAAAACCTAGACAGAACCCATCTCAGAAACGACTTTGTGATGTCTGCATTCAACTCACAGAGTTGAACATTTCTCTTGATAGAGCAGTTTTGAAACCCTCTTTCTGAAGGATCTGCAAGTGGATATTTGGAACTCCTTTGGGTCTTCGTTGGAAACGGGATTTCTTCGTATAAATCCAGACAGAAGAATTCTCCGAAACTTCTTTGGTTGTGTGCATTCAAGTCACAGAGTGGAACCTTCCTTTGGATAGAGCAGTTTGAAACGCTGTGGTTGTAGTATTTCCAAGCGGATATTAGAGCGCCTTGAAGCCTATGGTAGAAAAGGAAATATCTTCCCATAAAACCTAGACGGAAGCAATCTCAGAAACTACTGTGTGATGGCTGCATTCCACACACACGGTGGAACATTTCTCTTGATAGAGCAGTTTTGAAACACTCTTTCTGTAGAATCTGCAAGTGGATAATTGGACCGCCTTGAGGCCTTCGTTGGAAACGGGATTTCTTCATGTTACTCTAGACAGAAGAATTCTCAAACACTGCTATGTGATGTTTGCATTCAAGTCACAGAGTGCAACATTCCTCTTGATAGAGCAGTTGGGAAACACTCCTTTTGTAGAATTTGCAATGGGATATTTGGACTTCTTTGAGGCCTTCGTTGGAAACGGGATTTCTTCGTATGAATCTAGACAGAAGAATTCTCAGAAACTTCCTTGTGATGTGTGCATTCAACTCAGCGAGTGGCACCTTCCTTTGGATACAGCAGTTTTGAAACACTGTTTTTGTAGTATTTCCAAGCGGATATTTAGAGCGCCTTGAAGCCTATGCTAGAAATGGAAATATCTCCCCATAAAACCAAGACAGAAGCAATCTCAGAAACTAATGTGTGATGGCTGCATTCCACACACACGGTGGACCATTTCTCTTGATAGAGCAGTTTTGAAACACTCTTTCTGTAGAATCTGCAAGTGGATAATTGGACCTCCTAGAGGCCTTCGTTGGAAACGGGATTTCTTCATCTAAACCTACAGAGAAGAATTCTCAGTAACTTCTTCGGATGTGTGCATTCGACTCACAGAATGGAACATTCCGTTTGATAGAGCAGTTTTGAGACACCGTTTTTGTAGAATTCCCAAGTGGATATTTAGAGCACTTTGAAGTCTCTGCTAGAAAAGGAAACATCTTCATGTAAAAAGTAGATAGAATCGTTCTCAGAAAGTGCTTAGTGACGTGTGTGTTCAACTCACAGAGTTTAACGTTTCTTTTGATAGAGCGTTTCTGAAACACCCTTCTTGTAGTAGCTGCAAGTGGATATTTGGACCTATTTGAGGCCTTCTTTGGAAACGGGATTTCTTCATGTAACTCTAGATTGAAGAATTTTCAGAAACTCCTTTGTGATGTGTGCATTCAATTCAAAGAGTGAAACCTCCCTTTTCACAGAGCAGTTTTGAAACACTGTTTTTGTAGGATTTCCAAGGGGATATTTATAGCGCATTGAGCCTACGGCAGAAAAAGAAACATCTTCCTATAAAAACTAGACAGAATAATTCTCAGAATCTGCTTTGCGATGTGTGCGTTCAACCCACAGAGTAAAACTTTTCTTTTGATAGAGCAGTTTTGAAACACTCTTTTTGTAGTATTTGCATGTGTATATTTAGAGCGCATTGAAGCCCACAGTAGAAAAGGAAATAACTTCACCTAAAACCTAGACAGAAGCAATCTCAGAAACTACTTTGTGATGTGTACATTCAACTCACAGAGTGGAACTTTTCTCTTTATAGAGCAGTGTTGAAACACTCTTTTTGTAGAAACTGCAAGTGGATATTTGGACCTCTTTGAGGCCTTCGTTGGAAACGGGATTTCTTCCTATAACCCTAGACAGAAGAATTTTCAGAAACCTCATTGTGATGTGTGCGTTCATCTCACAGAGTGGAGTCTTCCGTTTGATAGAGAAGTTTTGAAACCCTGTTCTTGTAGGATTTCCAAGTGGATATTTAGACCACTTTGAAGCCTATGATAGAAAAGGAAACATCTTCATGGAAAACATAGATAGAATCATTCTCAGAAACAACTTTGTGATGTGTGCGTTGAACTCACCGTCTTTAACCTTTCTTTTGGTAGAGAAGTTTTGAAACACTCTCTTTGTAAAGTCTACAAGTGGATATTTTGAGCCCTTGGAGGCATTCTTTGGAAAAGGGAATGTCTTCACATAAAAGGCAGACAGAAGTGTTCTCAGAAACTGCTTTGTGATGTCTGTGTTCAACTCACAGAGTTTAACATTTCCTTTGAGAGAGCAGTTTAGTAACACTGTCTTTGTAGAATTTGGAAGTGTATACTAAGAGCGCTTTGAGGCCTATGGTAGAAAAGGAAATATCTTTCCATAAAAGCTAGATAGAAGCAATCTCAGAAACTCCTTTGTGATGTCTGCATTCAACTCACCGAGTGGAACATTCCTCTTGATAGAGCAGTTTGGAAACACTCTTTCTGTAGAATCAGCTTGTTTGTATTTGGACCTCCTTGAGGCCTTCATTGGAAACGGGTTTTCATCGTATAAACCCAGACAGAAGAATTCTCAGAGTCTTCTTTGTGATGTGTGCTTTCAACTCACCGAGATAAAGATTTCTCTTGATAGAGCAATTTGGAAACACTCTTTTTGTAGAATTTGCAAGGGTACATTGAGAGCGCTTTCAGGCCTATGGTAGAAATGGTAGACAGAAGCAATCTCAGAAACTACTTTGTGATGTGTGCATTCAACTCACCGAGTGCAACATTCCTCTTGACCGAGCAGTTTGGAAACATTGTTTCTGTAGAATCTGCAAGTGGATATATGGACCGCTTTGAGGCCTTCGTTGGAAACGGGATTTCTTCCTATAAACCCAGACAGAAGAATTCTCAGAGATTTCTTTGTGATGCGTGAATTCAACTCACAGTGTGGATCCTTCCTTTTGATAGAGCAGTTTTGAAACACCGTTTTTGTAGTATTTCCAAGCGGATATTTGGAACGCCTTGAAGCGTATGGTAGAAAAGGAAATATCTTCCCATAAAACCTAGACAGAACCCATCTCAGAAACGACTTTGTGATGTCTGCATTCAACTCACAGAGTTGAACATTTCTCTTGATAGAGCAGTTTTGAAACCCTCTTTCTGAAGGATCTGCAAGTGGATATTTGGAACTCCTTTGGGTCTTCGTTGGAAACGGGATTTCTTCGTATAAATCCAGACAGAAGAATTCTCCGAAACTTCTTTGGTTGTGTGCATTCAAGTCACAGAGTGGAACCTTCCTTTGGATAGAGCAGTTTGAAACGCTGTGGTTGTAGTATTTCCAAGCGGATATTAGAGCGCCTTGAGGCCTATGGTAGAAAAGGAAATATCTTCCCATAAAACCTAGACGGAAGCAATCTCAGAAACTACTGTGTGATGGCTGCATTCCACACACACGGTGGAACATTTCTCTTGATAGAGCAGTTTTGAAACACTCTTTCTGTAGAATCTGCAAGTGGATAATTGGACCGCCTTGAGGCCTTCGTTGGAAACGGGATTTCTTCATGTTACTCTAGATAGAAGAATTCTCAAACACTACTATGTGATGTTTGCATTCAAGTCACAGAGTGCAACATTCCTCTTGATAGAGCAGTTGGGAAACACTCCTTTTGTAGAATTTGCAATGGGATATTTGGACTTCTTTGAGGCCTTCGTTGGAAACGGGATTTCTTCGTATAAATCTAGACAGAAGAATTCTCAGAAACTTCCTTGTGATGTGTGCATTCAACTCAGCGAGTGGCACCTTCCTTTGGATACAGCAGTTTTGAAACACTGTTTTTGTAGTATTTCCAAGCGGATATTTAGAGCGCCTTGAAGCCTATGCTAGAAATGGAAATATCTCCCCATAAAACCAAGACAGAAGCAATCTCAGAAACTAATGTGTGATGGCTGCATTCCACACACACGGTGGACCATTTCTCTTGATAGAGCAGTTTTGAAACACTCTTTCTGTAGAATCTGCAAGTGGATAATTGGACCTCCTAGAGGCCTTCGTTGGAAACGGGATTTCTTCATCTAAACCTACAGAGAAGAATTCTCAGTAACTTCTTCGGATGTGTGCATTCGACTCACAGAATGGAACATTCCCTTTGATAGAGCAGTTTTGAGACACCGTTTTTGTAGAATTCCCAAGTGGATATTTAGAGCACTTTGAAGTCTCTGCTAGAAAAGGAAACATCTTCATGTAAAAAGTAGATAGAATCGTTCTCAGAAAGTGCTTAGTGACGTGTGTGTTCAACTCACAGAGTTTAACGTTTCTTTTGATAGAGCATTTCTGAAACACCCTTCTTGTAGTAGCTGCAAGTGGATATTTGGACCTATTTGAGGCCTTCTTTGGAAACGGGATTTCTTCATGTAACTCTAGATTGAAGAATTTTCAGAAACTCCTTTGTGATGTGTGCATTCAATTCAAAGAGTGAAACCTCCCTTTTCACAGAGCAGTTTTGAAACACTGTTTTTGTAGGATTTCCAAGGGGATATTTATAGCGCATTGAGCCTATGGCAGAAAAAGAAACATCTTCCTATAAAAACTAGACAGAATAATTCTCAGAATCTGCTTTGCGATGTGTGCGTTCAACCCACAGAGTAAAACTTTTCTTTTGATAGAGCAGTTTTGAAACACTCTTTTTGTAGTATTTGCATGTGTATATTTAGAGCGCATTGAAGCCCACAGTAGAAAAGGAAATAACTTCACCTAAAACCTAGACAGAAGCAATCTCAGAAACTACTTTGTGATGTGTACATTCAACTCACAGAGTGGAACTTTCCTCTTTATAGAGCAGTGTTGAAACACTCTTTTTGTAGAAACTGCAAGTGGATATTTGGACCTCTTTGAGGCCTTCGTTGGAAACGGGATTTCTTCCTATAACCCTAGACAGAAGAATTTTCAGAAACCTCATTGTGTTGTGTGCGTTCATCTCACAGAGTGGAGTCTTCCTTTTGATAGAGAAGTTTTGAAACCCTGTTCTTGTAGGATTTCCAAGTGGATATTTAGACCACTTTGAAGCCTATGATAGAAAAGGAAACATCTTCATGGAAAACATAGATAGAATCATTCTCAGAAAAAACTTTGTGATGTGTGCGTTGAACTCACAGTCTTTAACCATTCTTTTGGTAGAGATGTTTTGAAACACTCTCTTTGTAAAGTCTGCAAGTGGATATTTTGAGCCCTTGGAGGCATTCTTTGGAAAAGGGAATGTCTTCACGTAAAAGGCAGACAGAAGTGTTCTCAGAAACTGCTTTGTGATGTCTGTGTTCAACTCACAGAGTTTAACATTTCCTTTGAGAGAGCGGTTTAGTAACACTCTCTTTGTAGAATTTGGAAGTGTATACTAAGAGCGCTTTGAGGCCTATGGTAGAAAAGGAAATATCTTTCCATAAAAGCTAGACAGAAGCAATCTCAGAAACTCCTTTGTGATGTCTGCATTCAACTCACCGAGTGGAACATTCCTCTTGATAGAGCAGTTTGGAAACACTCTTTCTGTAGAATCAGCTTGTTTGTATTTGGACCTCCTTGAGGCCTTCGTTGGAAACGGGTTTTCATCTTATAAACCCAGACAGAAGAATTCTCAGAGTCTTCTTTGTGATGTGTGCTTTCAACTCACCGAGATAAAGATTTCTCTTGATAGAGCAATTTGGAAACACTCTTTTTGTAGAATTTGCAAGGGTACATTGAGAGCGCTTTCAGGCCTATGGTAGAAAAGGGAATATCTTTCCATAAAAGGTAGACAGAAGCAATCTCAGAAACTACTTTGTGATGTGTGCATTCAACTCACCGAGTGCAACATTCCTCTTGACCGAGCAGTTTGGAAACATTGTTTCTGTAGAATCTGCAAGTGGATATATGGACCGCTTTGAGGCCTTCGTTGGAAACGGGATTTCTTCCTATAAACCCAGACAGAAGAATTCTCAGAGACTTCTTTGTGATGTGTGAATTCAGCTCACAGTGTGGATCCTTCCTTTTGATAGAGCAGTTTTGAAACACTGTTTTTGTAGTATTTCCAAGCGGATATTTGGAACGCCTTGAAGCGCATGGTAGAAAAGGAAATATCTTCCCATAAAACCTAGACAGAACCAATCTCAGAAACGACTTTGTGATGTCTGCATTCAACTCACAGAGTTGAACATTTCTGTTGATAGAGCAGTTTTGAAACCCTCTTTCTGAAGGATCTGCAAGTGGATATTTGGAACTCCTTTGGGTCTTCGTTGGAAACGGGATTTCTTCGTATAAATCTAGACAGAAGAATTCTCCGAAACTTCTTTGGTTGTGTGCATTCAAGTCACAGGGTGGAACCTTCCTTTGGGTAGAGCAGTTTGAAACGCTGTGGTTGTAGTGTTTCCAAGCGGATATTAGAGCGCCTTGAGGCCTATGGTAGAAAAGGAAATATCTTCCCATAAAACCTAGACGGAAGCAATCTCAGAAACTACTGTGTGATGGCTGCATTCCACACACACGGTGGAACATTTCTCTTGATAGAGCAGTTTTGAAACACTCTTTCTGTAGAATCTGCAAGTGGATAATTGGACCGCCTTGAGGCCTTCGTTGGAAACGGGATTTCTTCATGTTACTCTAGATAGAAGAATTCTCAAACACTGCTATGTGATGTTTGCATTCAAGTCACAGAGTGCAACATTCCTCTTGATAGAGTAGTTGGGAAACACTCCTATTGTAGAATTTGCAATGGGATATTTGGACTTCTTTGAGGCCTTCGTTGGAAACGGGATTTCTTCGTATAAAACTAGACAGAAGAATTATCAGAAACTTCTTTGTAATGTGTGCATTCAACTCAGCGAGTGGCACCTTCCTTTGGATACAGCAGTTTTGAAACACTGTTTTTGTAGTATTTCCAAGCGGATATTTAGAGCGCCTTGAAGCCTACGCTAGAAATGGAAATATCTCCCCATAAAACCAAGACAGAAGCAATCTCAGAAACTAATGTGTGATGGCTGCATTCCACACACACGGTGGACCATTTCTCTTGATAGAGCAGTTTTGAAACACTCTTTCTGTAGAATCTGCAAGTGGATAATTGGACCTCCTAGAGGCCTTCGTTGGAAACGGGATTTCTTCATCTAAACCTACAGAGAAGAATTCTCAGTAACTTCTTCGGATGTGTGCATTCGACTCACAGAGTGGAACATTCCCTTCGATAGAGCAGTTTTGAGACACCGTTTTGGTAGAATTCCCAAGTGGATATTTAGAGCACTTTGAAGTCTCTGCTAGAAAAGGAAACATCTTCATGTAAAAAGTAGATAGAATCGTTCTCAGAAAGTGCTTAGTGACGTGTGCGTTCAACTCACAGAGTTTAACGTTTCTTTTGATAGAGCGTTTCTGAAACACCCTTCTTGTAGTAGCTGCAAGTGGATATTTGGACCTATTTGAGGCCTTCTTTGGAAACGGGATTTCTTCATGTAACTCTAGATTGAAGAATTTTCAGAAACTCCTTTGTGATGTGTGCATTCAATTCAAAGAGTGAAACCTCCCTTTTCACAGAGCAGTTTTGAAACACTGTTTTTGTAGGATTTCCAAGGGGATATTTATAGCGCATTGATCCTATGGCAGAAAAAGAAACATCTTCCTATAAAAACTAGACAGAATAATTCTCAGAATCTGCTTTGCGATGTGTGCGTTCAACCCACAGAGTAAAACTTTTCTTTTGATAGAGCAGTTTTGAAACACTCTTTTTGTAGTATTTGCATGTGTATATTTAGAGCGCATTGAAGCCCACAGTAGAAAAGGAAATAACTTCACCTAAAACCTAGACAGAAGCAATCTCAGAAACTACTTTGTGATGTGTACATTCAACTCACAGAGTGGAACTTTCCTCTTTATAGAGCAGTGTTGAAACACTCTTTTTGTAGAAACTGCAAGTGGATATTTGGACCTCTTTGAGGCCTTCGTTGGAAACGGGATTTCTTCCTATAACCCTAGACAGAAGAATTTTCAGAAACCTCATTGTGATGTGTGCGTTCATCTCACAGAGTGGAGTCTTCCGTTTGATAGAGAAGTTTTGAAACCCTGTTCTTGTAGGATTTCCAAGTGGATATTTAGACCACTTTGAAGCCTATGATAGAAAAGGAAACATCTTCATGGAAAACATAGATAGAATCATTGTCAGAAACAACTTTGTGATGTGTGCGTTGAACTCACCGTCTTTAACCTTTCTTTTGGTAGAGAAGTTTTGAAACACTCTCTTTGTAAAGTCTACAAGTGGATATTTTGAGCCCTTGGAGGCATTCTTTGGAAAAGGGAATGTCTTCACATAAAAGGCAGACAGAAATGTTCTCAGAAACTGCTTTGTGATGTCTGTGTTCAACTCACAGAGTTTAACATTTCCTTTGAGAGAGCGGTTTAGTAACACTCTCTTTGTAGAATTTGGAAGTGTATACTAAGAGCGCTTTGAGGCCTATGGTAGAAAAGGAATTATCTTTCCATAAAAGCTAGACAGAAGCAATCTCAGAAACTCCTTTGTGATGTCTGCATTCAACTCACCGAGTGGAACATTCCTCTTGATAGAGCAGTTTGGAAACACTCTTTCTGTAGAATCAGCTTGTTTGTATTTGGACCTCCTTGAGGCCTTCGTTGGAAACGGGTTTTCATCTTATAAACCCAGACAGAAGAATTCTCAGAGTCTTCTTTGTGATGTGTGCTTTCAACTCACCGAGATAAAGATTTCTCTTGATAGAGCAATTTGGAAACACTCTTTTTGTAGAATTTGCAAGGGTACATTGAGAGCGCTTTCAGGCCTATGGTAGAAAAGGGAATATCTTTCCATCAAAGGTAGACAGAAGCAATCTCAGAAACTACTTTGTGATGTGTGCATTCAACTCACCGAGTGCAACATTCCTCTTGATAGAGCAGTTTGGAAACATTGTTTCTGTAGAATCTGCAAGTGGATATATGGACCGCTTTGAGGCCTTCGTTGGAAACGGGATTTCTTCCTATAAACCCAGACAGAAGAATTCTCAGAGATTTCTTTGTGATGTGTGAATTCAACTCACAGTGTGGATCCTTCCTTTTGATAGAGCAGTTTTGAAACACCGTTTTTGTAGTATTTCCAAGCGGATATTTGGAACGCCTTGAAGCGTATGGTAGAAAAAGAAATATCTTCCCATAAAACCTAGACAGAACCCATCTCAGAAACGACTTTGTGATGTCTGCATTCAACTCACAGAGTTGAACATTTCTCTTGATAGAGCAGTTTTGAAACCCTCTTTCTGAAGGATCTGCAAGTGGATATTTGGAACTCCTTTGGGTCTTCGTTGGAAACGGGATTTCTTCGTATAAATCCAGACAGAAGAATTCTCCGAAACTTCTTTGGTTGTGTGCATTCAAGTCACAGAGTGGAACCTTCCTTTGGATAGAGCAGTTTGAAACGCTGTGGTTGTAGTATTTCCAAGCGGATATTAGAGCGCCTTGAAGCCTATGGTAGAAAAGGAAATATCTTCCCATAAAACCTAGACGGAAGCAATCTCAGAAACTACTGTGTGATGGCTGCATTCCACACACAAGGTGGAACATTTCTCTTGATAGAGCAGTTTTGAAACACTCTTTCTGTAGAATCTGCAAGTGGATAATTGGACCGCCTTGAGGCCTTCGTTGGAAACGGTATTTCTTCATGTTACTCTAGATAGAAGAATTCTCAAACACTGCTATGTGATGTTTGCATGCAAGTCACAGAGTGCAACATTCCTCTTGATAGAGCAGTTGGGAAACACTCCTTTTGTAGAATTTGCAATGGGATATTTGGACTTCTTTGAGGCCTTCGTTGGAAACGGGATTTCTTCGTATGAATCTAGACAGAAGAATTCTCAGAAACTTCCTTGTGATGTGTGCATTCAACTCAGCGAGTGGCACCTTCCTTTGGATACAGCAGTTTTGAAACACTATTTTTGTACTATTTCCAAGCGAATATTTAGAGCGCCTGGAAGCCTATGCTAGAAATGGAAATATCTCCCCATAAAACCAAGACAGAAGCAATCTCAGAAACTAATGTGTGATGGCTGCATTCCACACACACGGTGGACCATTTCTCTTGATAGAGCAGTTTTGAAACACTCTTTCTGTAGAATCTGCAAGTGGATAATTGGACCTCCTAGAGGCCTTCTTTGGAAACGGGATTTCTTCATCTAAACCTACAGAGAAGAATTCTCAGTAACTTCTTCGGATGTGTGCATTCGACTCACAGAATGGAACATTCCGTTTGATAGAGCAGTTTTGAGACACCGTTTTTGTAGAATTCCCAAGTGGATATTTAGAGCACTTTGAAGTCTCTGCTAGAAAAGGAAACATCTTCATGTAAAAAGTAGATAGAATCGTTCTCAGAAAGTGCTTAGTGACGTGTGTGTTCAACTCACAGAGTTTAACGTTTCTTTTGATAGAGCGTTTCTGAAACACCCTTCTTGTAGTAGCTGCAAGTGGATATTTGGACCTATTTGAGGCCTTCTTTGGAAACGGGATTTCTTCATGTAACTCTAGATTGAAGAATTTTCAGAAACTCCTTTGTGATGTGTGCATTCAATTCAAAGAGTGAAACCTCCCTTTTCACAGAGCAGTTTTGAAACACTGTTTTTGTAGGATTTCCAAGGGGATATTTATAGCGCATTGATCCTATGGCAGAAAAAGAAACATCTTCCTATAAAAACTAGACAGAATAATTCTCAGAATCTGCTTTGCGATGTGTGCGTTCAACCCACAGAGTAAAACTTTTCTTTTGATAGAGCAGTTTTGAAACACTCTTTTTGTAGTATTTGCATGTGTATATTTAGAGCGCATTGAAGCCCACAGTAGAAAAGGAAATAACTTCACCTAAAACCTAGACAGAAGCAATCTCAGAAACTACTTTGTGATGTGTACATTCAACTCACAGAGTGGAACTTTCCTCTTTATAGAGCAGTGTTGAAACACTCTTTTTGTAGAAACTGCAAGTGGATATTTGGACCTCTTTGAGGCCTTCGTTGGAAACGGGATTTCTTCCTATAACCCTAGACAGAAGAATTTTCAGAAACCTCATTGTGATGTGTGCATTCATCTCACAGAGTGGAGTCTTCCGTTTGATAGAGAAGTTTTGAAACCCTGTTCTTGTAGGATTTCCAAGTGGATATTTAGACCACTTTGAAGCCTATGATACAAAAGGAAACATCTTCATGGAAAACATAGATAGAATCATTCTCAGAAACAACTTTGTGATGTGTGCGTTGAACTCACAGTCTTTAACCTTTCTTTTGGTAGAGAAGTTTTGAAACACTCTCTTTGTAAAGTCTACAAGTGTATATTTTGGGCCCTTGGAGGCATTCTTTGGAAAAGGGAATGTCTTCACATAAAAGGCAGACAGAAGTGTTCTCAAAAACTGCTTTGTGATGTCTGTGTTCAACTCACAGAGTTTAACATTTCCTTTGATAGAGCAGTTTAGTAACACTCTCTTTGTAGAATTTGGAAGTGTATACTAAGAGCGCTTTGAGGCCTATGCTAGAAAAGGAAATATCTTTCCATAAAAGCTAGACAGAAGCAATCTCAGAAACTCCTTTGTGATGTCTGCATTCAACTCACCGAGTGGAACATTCCTCTTGATAGAGCAGTTTGGAAACACTCTTTCTGTAGAATCAGCTTGTTTGTATTTGGACCTCCTTGAGGCCTTCGTTGGAAACGGGTTTTCATCTTATAAACCCAGACAGAAGAATTCTCAGAGTCTTCTTTGTGATGTGTGCTTTCAACTCACCGAGATAAAGATTTCTCTTGATAGAGCAATTTGGAAACACTCTTTTTGTAGAATTTGCAAGGGTACATTGAGAGCGCTTTCAGGCCTATGGTAGAAAAGGGAATATCTTTCCATAAAAGGTAGACAGAAGCAATCTCAGAAACTACTTTGTGATGTGTGCATTCAACTCACCGAGTGCAACATTCCTCTTGACCGAGCAGTTTGGAAACATTGTTTCTGTAGAATCTGCAAGTGGATATATGGACCGCTTTGAGGCCTTCGTTGGAAACGGGATTTCTTCCTATAAACCCAGACAGAAGAATTCTCAGAGATTTCTTTGTGATGTGTGAATTCAACTCACAGTGTGGATCCTTCCTTTTGATAGAGCAGTTTTGAAACACTGTTTTTGTAGTATTTCCAAGCGGATATTTGGAAAGCCTTGAAGCGTATGGTAGAAAAGGAAATATCTTCCCATAAAACCTAGACAGAACCCATCTCAGAAACGACTTTGTGATGTCTGCATTCAACTCACAGAGTTGAACATTTCTCTTGATAGAGCAGTTTTGAAACCCTCTTTCTGAAGGATCTGCAAGTGGATATTTGGAACTCCTTTGGGTCTTCGTTGGAAACGGGATTTCTTCGTATAAATCCAGACAGAAGAATTCTCCGAAACTTCTTTGGTTGTGTGCATTCAAGTCACAGAGTGGAACCTTCCTTTGGATAGAGCAGTTTGAAACGCTGTGGTTGTAGTATTTCCAAGCGGATATTAGAGCGCCTTGAGGCCTATGGTAGAAAAGGAAATATCTTCCCATAAAACCTAGACGGAAGCAATCTCAGAAACTACTGTGTGATGGCTGCATTCCACACACACGGTGGAACATTTCTCTTGATAGAGCAGTTTTGAAACACTCTTTCTGTAGAATCTGCAAGTGGATAATTGGACCGCCTTGAGGCCTTCGTTGGAAACGGGATTTCTTCATGTTACTCTAGATAGAAGAATTCTCAAACACTGCTGTGTGATGTTTGCATGCAAGTCACAGAGTGCAACATTCCTCTTGATAGAGCAGTTGGGAAACACTCCTTTTGTAGAATTTGCAATGGGATATTTGGACTTCTTTGAGGCCTTCGTTGGAAACGGGATTTCTTCGTATGAATCTAGACAGAAGAATTCTCAGAAACTTCCTTGTGATGTGTGCATTCAACTCAGCGAGTGGCACCTTCCTTTGGATACAGCAGTTTTGAAACACTGTTTTTGTACTATTTCCAAGCGGATATTTAGAGCGCCTTGAAGCCTATGCTAGAAATGGAAATATCTCCCCATAAAACCAAGACAGAAGCAATCTCAGAAACTAATGTGTGATGGCTGCATTCCACACACACGGTGGACCATTTCTCTTGATAGAGCAGTTTTGAAACACTCTTTCTGTAGAATCTGCAAGTGGATAATTGGACCTCCTAGAGGCCTTCGTTGGAAACGGGATTTCTTCATCTAAACCTACAGAGAAGAATTCTCAGTAACTTCTTCGGATGTGTGCATTCGACTCACAGAATGGAACATTCCGTTTGATAGAGCAGTTTTGAGACACCGTTTTTGTAGAATTCCCAAGTGGATATTTAGAGCACTTTGAAGTCTCTGCTAGAAAAGGAAACATCTTCATGTAAACAGTAGATAGAATCGTTCTCAGAAAGTGCTTAGTGACGTGTGCGTTCAACTCACAGAGTTTAACGTTTCTTTTGATAGAGCGTTTCTGAAACACCCTTCTTGTAGTAGCTGCAAGTGGATATTTGGACCTATTTGAGGCCTTCTTTGGAAACGGGATTTCTTCATGTAACTCTAGATTGAAGAATTTTCAGAAACTCCTTTGTGATGTGTGCATTCAATTCAAAGAGTGAAACGTCCCTTTTCACAGAGCAGTTTTGAAACACTGTTTTTGTAGGATTTCCAAGGGGATATTTATAGCGCATTGATACCTATGGCAGAAAAAGAAACATCTTCCTATAAAAACTAGACAGAATAATTCTCAGAATCTGCTTTGCGATGTGTGCGTTCAACTCACAGAGTAAAACTTTTCTTTTGATAGAGCAGTTTTGAAACACTCTTTTTGTAGTATTTGCATGTGTATATTTAGAGCGCATTGAAGCCCACAGTAGAAAAGGAAATAACTTCACCTAAAACCTAGACAGAAGCAATCTCAGAAACTACTTTGTGATGTGTACATTCAACTCACCGAGTGGAACTTTCCTCTTTATAGAGCAGTGTTGAAAGACTCTTTTTGTAGAAACTGCAAGTGGATATTTGGACCTCTTTGAGGCCTTCGTTGGAAACGGGATTTCTTCCTATAACCCTAGACAGAAGAATTTTCAGAAACCTCATTGTGATGTGTGCGTTCATCTCACAGAGTGGAGTCTTCCGTTTGATAGAGAAGTTTTGAAACCCTGTTCTTGTAGGATTTCCAAGTGGATATTTAGACCACTTTGAAGCCTATGATAGAAAAGGAAACATCTTCATGGAAAACATAGATAGAATCATTCTCAGAAACAACTTTGTGATGTGTGCGTTGAACTCACCGTCTTTAACCTTTCTTTTGGTAGAGAAGTTTTGAAACACTCTCTTTGTAAAGTCTACAAGTGGATATTTTGAGCCCTTGGAGGCATTCTTTGGAAAAGGGAATGTCTTCACATAAAAGCAGACAGAAGTGTTCTCAGAAACTGCTTTGTGATGTCTGTGTTCAACTCACAGAGTTTAACATTTCCTTTGAGAGAGCGGTTTAGTAACACTCTCTTTGTAGAATTTGGAAGTGTA
Source organism: Homo sapiens (assembly GCF_000001405.40). Taxonomy (NCBI): domain Eukaryota; kingdom Metazoa; phylum Chordata; class Mammalia; order Primates; family Hominidae; genus Homo; species Homo sapiens. The sequence continues at coordinate 59,672,528 of NC_000006.12, forward strand.
TACTAAGAGCGCTTTGAGGCCTATGGTAGAAAAGGAAATATCTTTCCATAAAAGCTAGACAGAAGCAATCTCAGAAACTCCTTTGTGATGTCTGCATTCAGCTCACCGAGTGGAACATTCCTCTTGATAGAGCAGTTTGGAAACACTCTTTCTGTAGAATCAGCTTGTTTGTATTTGGACCTCCTTGAGGCCTTCGTTGGAAACGGGTTTTCATCTTATAAACCCAGACAGAAGAATTCTCAGAGTCTTCTTTGTGATGTGTGCTTTCAACTCACCGAGATAAAGATTTCTCTTGATAGAGCAATTTGGAAACACTCTTTTTGTAGAATTTGCAAGGGTACATTGAGAGCGCTTTCAGGCCTATGGTAGAAAAGGGAATATCTTTCCATAAAAGGTAGACAGAAGCAATCTCAGAAACTACTTTGTGATGTGTGCATTCAACTCACCGAGTGCAACATTCCTCTTGATAGAGCAGTTTGGAAACATTGTTTCTGTAGAATCTGCAAGTGGATATATGGACCGCTTTGAGGCCTTCGTTGGAAACGGGATTTCTTCCTATAAACCCAGACAGAAGAATTCTCAGAGATTTCTTTGTGATGTGTGAATTCAACTCACAGTGTGGATCCTTCCTTTTGATAGAGCAGTTTTGAAACACTGTTTTTGTAGTATTTCCAAGCGGATATTTGGAACGCCTTGAAGCGTAAGGTAGAAAAGGAAATATCTTCCCATAAAACCTAGACAGAACCAATCTCAGAAACGACTTTGTGATGTCTGCATTCAACTCACAGAGTTGAACATTTCTCTTGATAGAGCAGTTTTGAAACCCTCTTTCTGAAGGATCTGCAAGTGGATATTTGGAACTCCTTTGGGTCTTCGTTGGAAACGGGATTTCTTCGTATAAATCTAGACAGAAGAATTCTCCGAAACATCTTTGGTTGTGTGCATTCAACTCACAGAGTGGAACCTTCCTTTGGATAGAGCAGTTTGAAACGCTGTGGTTGTAGTATTTCCAAGCGGATATTAGAGCGCCTTGAGGCCTATGGTAGAAAAGGAAATATCTTCCCATAAAACCTAGACGGAAGCAATCTCAGAAACTACTGTGTGATGGCTGCATTCCACACACACGGTGGAACATTTCTCTTGATAGAGCAGTTTTGAAACACTCTTTCTGTAGAATCTGCAAGTGGATAATTGGACCGCCTTGAGGCCTTCGTTGGAAACGGGATTTCTTCATGTTACTCTAGACAGAAGAATTCTCAAACACTGCTGTGTGATGTTTGCATGCAAGTCACAGAGTGCAACATTCCTCTTGATAGAGCAGTTGGGAAACACTCCTTTTGTAGAATTTGCAATGGGATATTTGGACTTCTTTGAGGCCTTCGTTGGAAACGGGATTTCTTCGTATGAATCTAGACAGAAGAATTCTCAGAAACTTCCTTGTGATGTGTGCATTCAACTCAGCGAGTGGCACCTTCCTTTGGATACAGCAGTTTTGAAACACTGTTTTTGTAGTATTTCCAAGCGGATATTTAGAGCGCCTTGAAGCCTATGCTAGAAATGGAAATATCTCCCCATAAAACCAAGACAGAAGCAATCTCAGAAACTAATGTGTGATGGCTGCATTCCACACACACGGTGGACCATTTCTCTTGATAGAGCAGTTTTGAAACACTCTTTCTGTAGAATCTGCAAGTGGATAATTGGACCTCCTAGAGGCCTTCGTTGGAAACGGGATTTCTTCATCTAAACCTACAGAGAAGAATTCTCAGTAACTTCTTCGGATGTGTGCATTCGACTCACAGAATGGAACATTCCCTTTGGTAGAGCAGTTTTGAGACACCGTTTTTGTAGAATTCCCAAGTGGATATTTAGAGCACTTTGAAGTCTCTGCTAGAAAAGGAAACATCTTCATGTAAAAAGTAGATAGAATCGTTCTCAGAAAGTGCTTAGTGACGTGTGTGTTCAACTCACAGAGTTTAACGTTTCTTTTGATAGAGCGTTTCTGAAACACCCTTCTTGTAGTAGCTGCAAGTGGATATTTGGACCTATCCCTTCTTTGGAAACGGGATTTCTTCATGTAACTCTAGTTTGAAGAATTTTCAGAAACTCCTTTGTGATGTGTGCATTCAATTCAAAGAGTGAAACCTCCCTTTTCACAGAGCAGTTTTGAAACACTGTTTTTGTAGGACTTCCAAGGGGATATTTATAGCGCATTGAGCCTATGGCAGAAAAAGAAACATCTTCCTATAAAAACTAGACAGAATAATTCTCAGAATCTGCTTTGCGATGTGTGCGTTCAACCCACAGAGTAAAACTTTTCTTTTGATAGAGCAGTTTTGAAACACTCTTTTTGTAGTATTTGCATGTGTATATTTAGAGCGCATTGAAGCCCACAGTAGAAAAGGAAATAACTTCACCTAAAACCTAGACAGAAGCAATCTCAGAAACTACTTTGTGATGTGTACATTCAACTCACAGAGTGGAACTTTTCTCTTTATAGAGCAGTGTTGAAACACTCTTTTTGTAGAAACTGCAAGTGGATATTTGGACCTCTTTGAGGCCTTCGTTGGAAACGGGATTTCTTCCTATAACCCTAGACAGAAGAATTTTCAGAAACCTCATTGTGATGTGTGCGTTCATCTCACAGAGTGGAGTCTTCCGTTTGATAGAGAAGTTTTGAAACCCTGTTCTTGTAGGATTTCCAAGTGGATATTTAGACCACTTTGAAGCCTATGATAGAAAAGGAAACATCTTCATGGAAAACATAGATAGAATCATTCTCAGAAACAACTTTGTGATGTGTGCGTTGAACTCACCGTCTTTAACCTTTCTTTTGGTAGAGAAGTTTTGAAACACTCTCTTTGTAAAGTCTACAAGTGGATATTTTGAGCCCTTGGAGGCATTCTTTGGAAAATGGAATGTCTTCACATAAAAGGCAGACAGAAGTGTTCTCAGGAAACTGCTTTGTGATGTCTGTGTTCAACTCACAGAGTTTAACATTTCCTTTGAGAGAGCGGTTTAGTAACACTCTCTTTGTAGAATTTGGAAGTGTATACTAAGAGCGCTTTGAGGCCTATGGTAGAAAAGGAAATATCTTTCCATAAAAGCTAGACAGAAGCAATCTCAGAAACTCCTTTGTGATGTCTGCATTCAACTCACCGAGTGGAACATTCCTCTTGATAGAGCAGTTTGGAAACACTCTTTCTGTAGAATCAGCTTGTTTGTATTTGGACCTCCTTGAGGCCTTCGTTGGAAACGGGTTTTCATCTTATAAACCCAGACAGAAGAATTCTCAGAGTCTTCTTTGTGATGTGTGCTTTCAACTCACCGAGATAAAGATTTCTCTTGATAGAGCAATTTGGAAACACTCTTTTTGTAGAATTTGCAAGGGTACATTGAGAGCGCTTTCAGGCCTATGGTAGAAATGGGAATATCTTTCCATAAAAGGTAGACAGAAGCAATCTCAGAAACTACTTTGTGATGTGTGCATTCAACTCACCGAGTGCAACATTCCTCTTGATAGAGCAGTTTGGAAACATTGTTTCTGTAGAATCTGCAAGTGGATATATGGACCGCTTTGAGGCCTTCGTTGGAAACGGGATTTCTTCCTATAAACCCAGACAGAAGAATTCCCAGAGATTTCTTTGTGATGTGTGAATTCAACTCACAGTGTGGATCCTTCCTTTTGATAGAGCAGTTTTGAAACACCGTTTTTGTAGTATTTCCAAGCGGATATTTGGAACGCCTTGAAGCGTATGGTAGAAAAGGAAATATCTTCCCATAAAACCTAGACAGAACCAATCTCAGAAACGACTTTGTGATGTCTGCATTCAACTCACAGAGTTGAACATTTCTCTTGATAGAGCAGTTTTGAAACCCTCTTTCTGAAGGATCTGCAAGTGGATATTTGGAACTCCTTTGGGTCTTCGTTGGAAACGGGATTTCTTCGTATAAATCCAGACAGAAGAATTCTCCGAAACTTCTTTGGTTGTGTGCATTCAAGTCACAGAGTGGAACCTTCCTTTGGATAGAGCAGTTTGAAACGCTGTGGTTGTAGTATTTCCAAGCGGATATTAGAGCGCCTTGAAGCCTATGGTAGAAAAGGAAATATCTTCCCATAAAACCTAGACGGAAGCAATCTCAGAAACTACTGTGTGATGGCTGCATTCCACACACACGGTGGAACATTTCTCTTGATAGAGCAGTTTTGAAACACTCTTTCTGTAGAATCTGCAAGTGGATAATTGGACCGCCTTGAGGCCTTCGTTGGAAACAGGATTTCTTCATGTTACTCTAGACAGAAGAATTCTCAAACACTGCTATGTGATGTTTGCATGCAAGTCACAGAGTGCAACATTCCTCTTGATAGAGCAGTTGGGAAACACTCCTTTTGTAGAATTTGCAATGGGATATTTGGACTTCTTTGAGGCCTTCGTTGGAAACGGGATTTCTTCGTATGAATCTAGACAGAAGTATTCTCAGAAACTTCCTTGTGATGTGTGCATTCAACTCAGCGAGTGGCACCTTCCTTTGGATACAGCAGTTTTGAAACACTGTTTTTGTAGTATTTCCAAGCGGATATTTAGAGCGCCTTGAAGCCTATGCTAGAAATGGAAATATCTCCCCATAAAACCAAGACAGAAGCAATCTCAGAAACTAATGTGTGATGGCTGCATTCCACACACACGGTGGACCATTTCTCTTGATAGAGCAGTTTTGAAACACTCTTTCTGTAGAATCTGCAAGTGGATAATTGGACCTCCTAGAGGCCTTCGTTGGAAACGGGATTTCTTCATCTAAACCTACAGAGAAGAATTCTCAGTAACTTCTTCGGATGTGTGCATTCGACTCACAGAATGGAACATTCCCTTTGGTAGAGCAGTTTTGAGACACCGTTTTTGTAGAATTCCCAAGTGGATATTTAGAGCACTTTGAAGTCTCTGCTAGAAAAGGAAACATCTTCATGTAAAAAGTAGATAGAATCGTTCTCAGAAAGTGCTTAGTGACGTGTGTGTTCAACTCACAGAGTTTAACGTTTCTTTTGATAGAGCGTTTCTGAAACACCCTTCTTGTAGTAGCTGCAAGTGGATATTTGGACCTATTTGAGGCCTTCTTTGGAAACGGGATTTCTTCATGTAACTCTAGATTGAAGAATTTTCAGAAACTCCTTTGTGATGTGTGCATTCAATTCAAAGAGTGAAACCTCCCTTTTCACAGAGCAGTTTTGAAACACTGTTTTTGTAGGATTTCCAAGGGGATATTTATAGCGCATTGATCCTATGGCAGAAAAAGAAACATCTTCCTATAAAAACTAGACAGAATAATTCTCAGAATCTGCTTTGCGATGTGTGCGTTCAACTCACAGAGTAAAACTTTTCTTTTGATAGAGCAGTTTTGAAACACTCTTTTTGTAGTATTTGCATGTGTATATTTAGAGCGCATTGAAGCCCACAGTAGAAAAGGAAATAACTTCACCTAAAACCTAGACAGAAGCAATCTCAGAAACTACTTTGTGATGTGTACATTCAACTCACAGAGTGGAACTTTCCTCTTTATAGAGCAGTGTTGAAACACTCTTTTTGTAGAAACTGCAAGTGGATATTTGGACCTCTTTGAGGCCTTCGTTGGAAACGGGATTTCTTCCTATAACCCTAGACAGAAGAATTTTCAGAAACCTCATTGTGATGTGTGCGTTCATCTCACAGAGTGGAGTCTTCCGTTTGATAGAGAAGTTTTGAAACCCTGTTCTTGTAGGATTTCCAAGTGGATATTTAGACCACTTTGAAGCCTATGATAGAAAAGGAAACATCTTCATGGAAAACATAGATAGAATCATTCTCAGAAACAACTTTGTGATGTGTGCGTTGAACTCACCGTCTTTAACCTTTCTTTTGGTAGAGAAGTTTTGAAACACTCTCTTTGTAAAGTCTACAAGTGGATATTTTGAGCCCTTGGAGGCATTCTTTGGAAAAGGGAATGTCTTCACATAAAAGGCAGACAGAAGTGTTCTCAGAAACTGCTTTGTGATGTCTGTGTTCAACTCACAGAGTTTAACATTTCCTGTGATGGAGCGGTTTAGTAACCCTCTCATTGTAGAATTTGGAAGTGTATACTAAGAGCGCTTTGAGGCCTATGGTAGAAAAGGAAATATCTTTCCATAAAAGCTAGACAGAAGCAATCTCAGAAACTCCTTTGTGATGTCTGCATTCAACTCACCGAGTGGAACATTCCTCTTGATAGAGCAGTTTGGAAACACTCTTTCTGTAGAATCAGGTTTTTTGTATTTGGACCTCCTTGAGGCCTTCGTTGGAAACGGGTTTTCATCTTATAAACCCAGACAGAAGAATTCTCAGAGTCTTCTTTGTGATGTGTGCTTTCAACTCACCGAGATAAAGATTTCTCTTGATAGAGCAATTTGGAAACACTCTTTTTGTAGAATTTGCAAGGGTACATTGAGAGCGCTTTCAGGCCTATGGTAGAAAAGGGAATATCTTTCCATAAAAGGTAGACAGAAGCAATCTCAGAAACTACTTTGTGATGTGTGCATTCAACTCACCGAGTGCAACATTCCTCTTGATAGAGCAGTTTGGAAACATTGTTTCTGTAGAATCTGCAAGTGGATATATGGACCGGCTTTGAGGCCTTCGTTGGAAACGGGATTTCTTCCTATAAACCCAGACAGAAGAATTCTCAGAGACTACTTTGTGATTTGTGAATTCAACTCACAGAGTGGATCCTTCCTTTTGATAGAGCAGTTTTGAAACACTGTTTTTTTAGTATTTCGAAGCGGATATTTGGAGCGCCTTGAAGCCTACGGTAGAAAAGGAAATATCTTTCCATAAAAGCTAGACAGAACCAATCTCAGAAACGACTTTGTGATGTCTGCATTCAACTCACTGAGTTGAACATTTCTCTTGATAGAGCAGTTTTGAAACCCTCTTTCTGAAGGATCTGCAAGTGGATATTTGGAACTCCTTTGGGTCTTCGTTGGAAACGGGATTTCTTCGTATAAATCTAGACAGAAGAATTCTCCGAAACTTCTTTGGTTGTGTGCATTCAAGTCACAGCGTGGAACCTTCCTTTGGATAGAGCAGTTTGAAACGCTGTGGTTGTAGTATTTCCAAGCGGATATTAGAGCGCCTTGAGGCCTATGGTAGAAAAGGAAATATCTTCCCATAAAACCTAGACGGAAGCAATCTCAGAAACTACTGTGTGATGGCTGCATTCCACACACACGGTGGAACATTTCTCTTGATAGAGCAGTTTTGAAACACTCTTTCTGTAGAATCTGCAAGTGGATAATTGGACCGCCTTGAGGCCTTCGTTGGAAACGGGATTTCTTCATGTTACTCTAGATAGAAGAATTCTCAAACACTGCTGTGTGATGTTTGCATGCAAGTCACAGAGTGCAACATTCCTCTTGATAGAGCAGTTGGGAAACACTCCTTTTGTAGAATTTGCAATGGGATATTTGGACTTCTTTGAGGCCTTCGTTGGAAACGGGATTTCTTCGTATGAATCTAGACAGAAGAATTCTCAGAAACTTCCTTGTGATGTGTGCATTCAACTCAGCGAATGGCACCTTCCTTTGGATACAGCAGTTTTGAAACACTGTTTTTGTAGTATTTCCAAGCGGATATTTAGAGCGCCTTGAAGCCTACGCTAGAAATGGAAATATCTCCCCATAAAACCAAGACAGAAACAATCTCAGAAACTAATGTGTGATGGCTGCATTCCACACACACGGTGGACCATTTCTCTTGATAGAGCAGTTTTGAAACACTCTTTCTGTAGAATCTGCAAGTGGATAATTGGACCTCCTAGAGGCCCTTCGTTGGAAACGGGATTTCTTCATCTAAACCTACAGAGAAGAATTCTCAGTAACTTCTTCGGATGTGTGCATTCGACTCACAGAATGGAACATTCCCTTTGGTAGAGCAGTTTTGAGACACCGTTTTTGTAGAATTCCCAAGTGGATATTTAGAGCACTTTGAAGTCTCTGCTAGAAAAGGAAACATCTTCATGTAAAAAGTAGATAGAATCGTTCTCAGAAAGTGCTTAGTGGCGTGTGTGTTCAACTCACAGAGTTTAACGTTTCTTTTGATAGAGCATTTCTGAAACACCCTTCTTGTAGTAACTGCAAGTGGATATTTGGACCTATTTGAGGCCTTCTTTGGAAACGGGATTTCTTCATGTAACTCTAGATTGAAGAATTTTCAGAAACTCCTTTGTGATGTGTGCATTCAATTCAAAGAGTGAAACGTCCCTTTTCACAGAGCAGTTTTGAAACACTGTTTTTGTAGGATTTCCAAGGGGATATTTATAGCGCATTGATACCTATGGCAGAAAAAGAAACATCTTCCTATAAAAACTAGACAGAATAATTCTCAGAATCTGCTTTGCGATGTGTGCGTTCAACCCACAGAGTAAAACTTTTCTTTTGATAGAGCAGTTTTGAAACACTCTTTTTGTAGTATTTGCATGTGTATATTTAGAGCGCATTGAAGCCCACAGTAGAAAAGGAAATAACTTCACCTAAAACCTAGACAGAAGCAATCTCAGAAACTACTTTGTGATGTGTACATTCAACTCACAGAGTGGAACTTTCCTCTTTATAGAGCAGTGTTGAAACACTCTTTTTGTGGAAACTGCAAGTGGATATTTGGACCTCTTTGAGGCCTTCGTTGGAAACGGGATTTCTTCCTATAACCCTAGACAGAAGAATTTTCAGAAACCTCATTGTGATGTGTGCGTTCATCTCACAGAGTGGAGTCTTCCGTTTGATAGAGAAGTTTTGAAACCCTGTTCTTGTAGGATTTCCAAGTGGATATTTAGACCACTTTGAAGCCTATGATAGAAAAGGAAACATCTTCATGGAAAACATAGATAGAATCATTCTCAGAAACAACTTTGTGATGTGTGCGTTGAACTCACCGTCTTTAACCTTTCTTTTGGTAGAGAAGTTTTGAAACACTCTCTTTGTAAAGTCTACAAGTGGATATTTTGAGCCCTTGGAGGCATTCTTTGGAAAAGGGAATGTCTTCACATAAAAGGCAGACAGAAGTGTTCTCAGAAACTGCTTTGTGATGTCTGTGTTCAACTCACAGAGTTTAACATTTCCTTTGAGAGAGCGGTTTAGTAACACTCTCTTTGTAGAATTTGGAAGTGTATACTAAGAGCGCTTTGAGGCCTATGGTAGAAAAGGAAATATCTTTCCATAAAAGCTAGACAGAAGCAATCTCAGAAACTCCTTTGTGATGTCTGCATTCAACTCACCGAGTGGAACATTCCTCTTGATAGAGCAGTTTGGAAACACTCTTTCTGTAGAATCAGCTTGTTTGTATTTGGACCTCCTTGAGGCCTTCGTTGGAAACGGGTTTTCATCTTATAAACCCAGACAGAAGAATTCTCAGAGTCTTCTTTGTGATGTGTGCTTTCAACTCACCGAGATAAAGATTTCTCTTGATAGAGCAATTTGGAAACACTCTTTTTGTAGAATTTGCAAGGGTACATTGAGAGCGCTTTCAGGCCTATGGTAGAAAAGGGAATATCTTTCCATAAAAGGTAGACAGAAGCAATCTCAGAAACTACTTTGTGATGTGTGCATTCAACTCACCGAGTGCAACATTCCTCTTGACCGAGCAGTTTGGAAACATTGTTTCTGTAGAATCTGCAAGTGGATATTTGGACCTCTTTGAGGCCTTCGTTGGAAACGGGATTTCTTCCTATAAACCCAGACAGAAGAATTCTCAGAGACTTCTTTGTGATGTGTGAATTCAACTCACAGTGTGGATCCTTCCTTTTGATAGAGCAGTTTTGAAACACTGTTTTGGTAGTATTTCCAAGCGGATATTTGGAACGCCTTGAAGCGTATGGTAGAAAAGGAAATATCTTCCCATAAAACCTAGACAGAACCAATCTCAGAAACGACTTTGTGATGTCTGCATTCAACTCACAGAGTTGAACATTTCTCTTGATAGAGCAGTTTTGAAACCCTCTTTCTGAAGGATCTGCAAGTGGATATTTGGAACTCCTTTGGGTCTTCGTTGGAAACGGGATCTCTTCGTATAAATCTAGACAGAAGAATTCTCCGAAACTTCTTTGGTTGTGTGCATTCAAATCACAGAGTGGAACCTTCCTTTGGATAAAGCAGTTTGAAACGCTGTGGTTGTAGTATTTCCAAGCGGATATTAGAGCGCCTTGAGGCCTATGGTAGAAAAGGAAATATCTTCCATTAAAACCTAGACGGAAGCAATCTCAGAAACTACTTTGTGATGGCTGCATTCCACACACACGGTGGAACATTTCTCTTGATAGAGCAGTTTTGAAACACTCTTTCTGTAGAATCTGCAAGTGGATAATTGGACCGCCTTGAGGCCTTCGTTGGAAACGGGATTTCTTCATGTTACTCTAGATAGAAGAATTCTCAAACACTACTATGTGATGTTTGCATGCAAGTCACAGAGTGCAACATTCCTCTTGATAGAGCAGTTGGGAAACACTCCTTTTGTAGAATTTGCAATGGGATATTTGGACTTCTTTGAGGCCTTCGTTGGAAACGGGATTTCTTCGTATGAATCTAGACAGAAGAATTCTCAGAAACTTCCTTGTGATGTGTGCATTCAACTCAGCGAGTGGCACCTTCCTTTGGATACAGCAGTTTTGAAACACTGTTTTTGTAGTATTTCCAAGCGGATATTTAGAGCGCCTTGAAGCCTATGCTAGAAATGGAAATATCTCCCCATAAAACCAAGACAGAAGCAATCTCAGAAACTAATGTGTGATGGCTGCATTCCACACACACGGTGGACCATTTCTCTTGATAGAGCAGTTTTGAAACACTCTTTCTGTAGAATCTGCAAGTGGATAATTGGACCTCCTAGAGGCCTTCGTTGGAAACGGGATTTCTTCATCTAAACCTACAGAGAAGAATTCTCAGTAACTTCTTCGGATGTGTGCATTCGACTCACAGAATGGAACATTCCCTTTGATAGAGCAGTTTTGAGACACCGTTTTTGTAGAATTCCCAAGTGGATATTTAGAGCACTTTGAAGTCTCTGCTAGAAAAGGAAACATCTTCATGTAAAAAGTAGATAGAATCGTTCTCAGAAAGTGCTTAGTGACGTGTGCGTTCAACTCACAGAGTTTAACGTTTCTTTTGATAGAGCGTTTCTGAAACACCCTTCTTGTAGTAGCTGCAAGTGGATATTTGGACCTATTTGAGGCCTTCTTTGGAAACGGGATTTCTTCATGTAACTCTAGTTTGAAGAATTTTCAGAAACTCCTTTGTGATGTGTGCATTCAATTCAAAGAGTGAAACCTCCCTTTTCACAGAGCAGTTTTGAAACACTGTTTTTGTGTGATTTCCAAGGGGATATTTATAGCACATTGAGCCTACGGCAGAAAAAGAAACATCTTCCTATGAAAACTAGACAGAATAATTCTCAGAATCTGGTTTCCCATGTGTGCGTTCAACTCACAGAGTAAAACATTTCTTTTGATAGAGCAGTCTTGAAACACTCTTTTTGTAGTATTTGCATGTGTATATTTAGAGCGCATTGAAGCCCACAGTAGAAAAGGAAATAACTTCACCTAAAACCTAGACAGAAGCAATCTCAGAAACTACTTTGTGATGTGTACATTCAACTCACAGAGTGGAACTTTCCTCTTTATAGAGCAGTGTTGAAACACTCTTTTTGTAGAAACTGCAAGTGGATATGTGGACCTCTTTGAGGCCCTCGTTGGAAACGGGATTTCTTCCTATAACCCTAGACAGAAGAATTTTCAGAAACCTCATTGTGATGTGTGCGTTCATCTCACAGAGTGGAGTCTTCCGTTTGATAGAGAAGTTTTGAAACCCTGTTCTTGTAGGATTTCCAAGTGGATATTTAGACCACCTTGAAGCCTATGATAGAAAAGGAAACATCTTCATGGAAAACATAGATAGAATCATTCTCAGAAACAACTTTGTGATGTGTGCATTGAACTCGCCGTCTTTAACCTTTCTTTTGGTAGAGAAGTTTTGAAACACTCTCTTTGTAAAGTCTACAAGTGGATATTTTGAGCCCTTGGAGGCATTCTTTGGAAAAGGGAATGTCTTCACGTAAAAGGCAGACAGAAGTGTTCTCAGAAACTGCTTTGTGATGTCTGTGTTCAACTCACAGAGTTTAACATTTCCTTTGATAGAGCAGTTTAGTAACACTCTCTTTGTAGAATTTGGAAGTGTATACTAAGAGCGCTTTGAGGCCTATGGTAGAAAAGGAAATATCTTTCCATAAAAGCTAGACAGAAGCAATCTCAGAAACTCCTTTGTGATGTCTGCATTCAACTCACCGAGTGGAACATTCCTCTTGATAGAGCAGTTTGGAAACACTCTTTCTGTAGAATCAGCTTGTTTGTATTTGGACCTCCTTGAGGCCTTCGTTGGAAACGGGTTTTCATCTTATAAACCCAGACAGAAGAATTCTCAGAGTCTTCTTTGTGATGTGTGCTTTCAACTCACCGAGATAAAGATTTCTCTTGATAGAGCAATTTGGAAACACTCTTTTTGTAGAATTTGCAAGGGTACATTGAGAGCGCTTTCAGGCCTATGGTAGAAAAGGGAATATCTTTCCATAAAAGGTAGACAGAAGCAATCTCAGAAACTACTTTGTGATGTGTGCATTCAACTCACCGAGTGCAACGTTCCTCTTGATAGAGCAGTTTGGAAACATTGTTTCTGTAGAATCTGCAAATGGATATTTGGACCTCTTTGAGGCCTTCGTTGGAAACGGGATTTCTTCCTATAAACCCAGACAGAAGAATTCTCAGAGACTTCTTTGTGATGTGTGAATTCAACTCACAGTGTGGATCCTTCCTTTTGATAGAGCAGTTTTGAAACACTGTTTTTGTAGTATTTCCAAGCGGATATTTGGAACGCCTTGAAGCGTATGGTAGAAAAGGAAATATCTTCCCATAAAACCTAGACAGAACCAATCTCAGAAACGACTTTGTGATGTCTGCATTCAACTCACAGAGTTGAACATTTCTCTGGATAGAGCAGTTTTGAAACCCTCTTTCTGAAGGATCTGCAAGTGGATATTTGGAACTCCTTTGGGTCTTCGTTGGTAACGGGATTTCTTCGTACCAATCTAGACAGAAGAATTCTCCGAAACTTCTTTGGTTGTGTGCATTCAAGTCACAGAGTGGAACCTTCCTTTGGATAGAGCAGTTTGAAACGCTGTGGTTGTAGTATTTCCAAGCGGATATTAGAGCGCCTTGAGGCCTATGGTAGAAAAGGAAATATCTTCCCATAAAACCTAGACGGAAGCAATCTCAGAAACTACTGTGTGATGGCTGCATTCCACACACACGGTGGAACATTTCTCTTGATAGAGCAGTTTTGAAACACTCTTTCTGTAGAATCTGCAAGTGGATAATTGGACCGCCTTGAGGCCTTCGTTGGAAACGGGATTTCTTCATGTTACTCTATATAAAAGAATTCTCAAACACTACTATGTGATGTTTGCATGCAAGTCACAGAGTGCAACATTCCTCTTGATAGAGCAGTTGGGAAACACTCCTTTTGTAGAATTTGCAATGGTATATTTGGACTTCTTTGAGGCCTTCGTTGGAAACGGGATTTCTTCGTATGAATCTAGACAGAAGAATTCTCAGAAACTTCCTTGTGATGTGTGTATTCAACTCAGCGAGTGGCACCTTCCTTTGGATACAGCAGTTTTGAAACACTGTTTTTGTAGTATTTCCAAGCGGATATTTAGAGCGCCTTGAAGCCTATGCTAGAAATGGAAATATCTCCCCATAAAACCAAGACAGAAGCAATCTCAGAAACTAATGTGTGATGGCTGCATTCCACACACACGGTGGACCATTTCTCTTGATAGAGCAGTTTTGAAACACTCTTTCTGTAGAATCTGCAAGTGGATAATTGGACCTCCTAGAGGCCTTCGTTGGAAACGGGATTTCTTCATCTAAACCTACAGAGAAGAATTCTCAGTAACTTCTTCGGATGTGTGCATTCGACTCACAGAATGGAACATTCCCTTTGATAGAGCAGTTTTGAGACACCGTTTTTGTAGAATTCCCAAGTGGATATTTAGAGCACTTTGAAGTCTCTGCTAGAAAAGGAAACATCTTCATGTAAAAAGTAGATAGAATCGTTCTCAGAAAGTGCTTAGTGACGTGTGTGTTCAACTCACAGAGTTTAACGTTTCTTTTGATAGAGCGTTTCTGAAACACCCTTCTTGTAGTAGCTGCAAGTGGATATTTGGACCTATTTGAGGCCTTCTTTGGAAACGGGATTTCTTCATGTAACTCTAGATTGAAGAATTTTCAGAAACTCCTTTGTGATGTGTGCATTCAATTCAAAGAGTGAAAACTCCCTTTTCACAGAGCAGTTTTGAAACACTGTTTTTGTAGGACTTCCAAGGGGATATTTATAGCGCATTGATCCTATGGCAGAAAAAGAAACATCTTCCTATAAAAACTAGACAGAATAATTCTCAGAATCTGCTTTGCGATGTGTGCGTTCAACCCACAGAGTAAAACTTTTCTTTTGATAGAGCAGTTTTGAAACACTCTTTTTGTAGTATTTGCATGTGTATATTTAGAGCGCATTGAAGCCCACAGTAGAAAAGGAAATAACTTCACCTAAAACCTAGACAGAAGCAATCTCAGAAACTACTTTGTGATGTGTACATTCAACTCACAGAGTGGAACTTTTCTCTTTATAGAGCAGTGTTGAAACACTCTTTTTGTAGAAACTGCAAGTGGATATTTGGACCTCTTTGAGGCCTTCGTTGGAAACGGGATTTCTTCCTATAACCCTAGACAGAAGAATTTTCAGAAACCTCATTGTGATGTGTGCGTTCATCTCACAGAGTGGAGTCTTCCGTTTGATAGAGAAGCTTTGAAACCCTGTTCTTGTAGGATTTCCAAGTGGATATTTAGACCACTTTGAAGCCTATGATAGAAAAGGAAACATCTTCATGGAAAACATAGATAGAATCATTGTCAGAAACAACTTTGTGATGTGTGCGTTGAACTCACCGTCTTTAACCTTTCTTTTGGTAGAGAAGTTTTGAAACACTCTCTTTGTAAAGTCTACAAGTGGATATATTTAGCCCTTGGAGGCATTCTTTGGAAAAGGGAATGTCTTCACATAAAAGGCAGACAGAAGTGTTCTCAGAAACTGCTTTGTGATGTCTGTGTTCAACTCACAGAGTTTAACATTTCCTTTGAGAGAGCGGTTTAGTAACACTCTCTTTGTAGAATTTGGAAGTGTATACTAAGAGCGCTTTGAGGCCTATGGTAGAAAAGGAATTATCTTTCCATAAAAGCTAGACAGAAGCAATCTCAGAAACTCCTTTGTGATGTCTGCATTCAACTCACCGAGTGGAACATTCCTCTTGATAGAGCAGTTTCGAAACACTCTTTCTGTAGAATCAGCTTGTTTGTATTTGGACCTCCTTGAGGCCTTCGTTGGAAACGGGTTTTCATCTTATAAACCCAGACAGAAGAATTCTCAGAGTCTTCTTTGTGATGTGTGCTTTCAACTCACCGAGATAAAGATTTCTCTTGATAGAGCAATTTGGAAACACTCTTTTTGTAGAATTTGCAAGGGTACATTGAGAGCGCTTTCAGGCCTATGGTAGAAAAGGGAATATCTTTCCATAAAAGGTAGACAGAAGCAATCTCAGAAACTACTTTGTGATGTGTGCATTCAAGTCACCGAGTGCAACGTTCCTCTTGACCGAGCAGTTTGGAAACATTGTTTCTGTAGAATCTGCAAGTGGATATTTGGACCTCTTTGAGGCCTTCGTTGGAAACGGGATTTCTTCCTATAAACCCAGACAGAAGAATTCTCAGAGATTTCTTTGTGATGTGTGAATTCAACTCACAGTGTGGATCCTTCCTTTTGATAGAGCAGTTTTGAAACACCGTTTTTGTAGTATTTCCAAGCGGATATTTGGAACGCCTTGAAGCGTATGGTAGAAAAGGAAATATCTTCCCATAAAACCTAGACAGAACCAATCTCAGAAACGACTTTGTGATGTCTGCATTCAACTCACAGAGTTGAACATTTCTCTTGATAGAGCAGTTTTGAAACCCTCTTTCTGAAGGATCTGCAAGTGGATATTTGGAACTCCTTTGGGTCTTCGTTGGAAACGGGATTTCTTCGTATAAATCTAGACAGAAGAATTCTCCGAAACTTCTTTGGTTGTGTGCATTCAAGTCACAGAGTGGAACCTTCCTTTGGATAGAGCAGTTTGAAACGCTGTGGTTGTAGTATTTCCAAGCGGATATTAGAGCGCCTTGAGGCCTATGGTAGAAAAGGAAATATCTTCCCATAAAACCTAGACGGAAGCAATCTCAGAAACTACTGTGTGATGGCTGCATTCCACACACACGGTGGAACATTTCTCTTGATAGAGCAGTTTTGAAACACTCTTTCTGTAGAATCTGCAAGTGGATAATTGGACCGCCTTGAGGCCTTCGTTGGAAACGGGATTTCTTCATGTTACTCTAGACAGAAGAATTCTCAAACACTGCTATGTGATGTTTGCATGCAAGTCACAGAGTGCAACATTCCTCTTGATAGAGCAGTTGGGAAACACTCCTTTTGTAGAATTTGCAATGGGATATTTGGACTTCTTTGAGGCCTTCGTTGGAAACGGGATTTCTTCGTATGAATCTAGACAGAAGAATTCTCAGAAACTTCCTTGTGATGTGTGCATTCAACTCAGCGAGTGGCACCTTCCTTTGGATACAGCAGTTTTGAAACACTGTTTTTGTAGTATTTCCAAGCGGATATTTAGAGCGCCTTGAAGCCTATGCTAGAAATGGAAATATCTCCCCATAAAACCAAGACAGAAGCAATCTCAGAAACTAATGTGTGATGGCTGCATTCCACACACACGGTGGACCATTTCTCTTGATAGAGCAGTTTTGAAACACTCTTTCTGTAGAATCTGCAAGTGGATAATTGGACCTCCTAGAGGCCTTCGTTGGAAACGGGATTTCTTCATCTAAACCTACAGAGAAGAATTCTCAGTAACTTCTTCGGATGTGTGCATTCGACTCACAGAATGGAACATTCCGTTTGATAGAGCAGTTTTGAGACACCGTTTTTGTAGAATTCCCAAGTGGATATTTAGAGCACTTTGAAGTCTCTGCTAGAAAAGGAAACATCTTCATGTAAAAAGTAGATAGAATCGTTCTCAGAAAGTGCTTAGTGACGTGTGTGTTCAACTCACAGAGTTTAACGTTTCTTTTGATAGAGCGTTTCTGAAACACCCTTCTTGTAGTAGCTGCAAGTGGATATTTGGACCTATTTGAGGCCTTCTTTGGAAACGGGATTTCTTCATGTAACTCTAGATTGAAGAATTTTCAGAAACTCCTTTGTGATGTGTGCATTCAATTCAAAGAGTGAAACCTCCCTTTTCACAGAGCAGTTTTGAAACACTGTTTTTGTAGGATTTCCAAGGGGATATTTATAGCGCATTGAGCCTATGGCAGAAAAAGAAACATCTTCCTATAAAAACTAGACAGAATAATTCTCAGAATCTGCTTTGCGATGTGTGCGTTCATCTCACAGAGTAAAACTTTTCTTTTGATAGAGCAGTTTTGAAACACTCTTTTTGTAGTATTTGCATGTGTATATTTAGAGCGCATTGAAGCCCACAGTAGAAAAGGAAATAACTTCACCTAAAACCTAGACAGAAGCAATCTCAGAAACTACTTTGTGATGTGTACATTCAACTCACAGAGTGGAACTTTTCTCTTTATAGAGCAGTGTTGAAACACTCTTTTTGTAGAAACTGCAAGTGGATATTTGGACCTCTTTGAGGCCTTCGTTGGAAACGGGATTTCTTCCTATAACCCTAGACAGAAGAATTTTCAGAAACCTCATTGTGATGTGTGCGTTCATCTCACAGAGTGGAGTCTTCCGTTTGATAGAGAAGTTTTGAAACCCTGTTCTTGTAGGATTTCCAAGTGGATATTTAGACCACTTTGAAGCCTATGATAGAAAAGGAAACATCTTCATGGAAAACATAGATAGAATCATTCTCAGAAACAACTTTGTGATGTGTGCGTTGAACTCACCGTCTTTAACCTTTCTTTTGGTAGAGAAGTTTTGAAACACTCTCTTTGTAAAGTCTACAAGTGGATATTTTGAGCCCTTGGAGGCATTCTTTGGAAAAGGGAATGTCTTCACATAAAAGGCAGACAGAAGTGTTCTCAGAAACTGCTTTGTGATGTCTGTGTTCAACTCACAGAGTTTAACATTTCCTTTGAGAGAGCGGTTTAGTAACACTCTCTTTGTAGAATTTGGAAGTGTATACTAAGAGCGCTTTGAGGCCTATGGTAGAAAAGGAAATATCTTTCCATAAAAGCTAGACAGAAGCAATCTCAGAAACTCCTTTGTGATGTCTGCATTCAACTCACCGAGTGGAACATTCCTCTTGATAGAGCAGTTTGGAAACACTCTTTCTGTAGAATCAGCTTGTTTGTATTTGGACCTCCTTGAGGCCTTCGTTGGAAACGGGTTTTCATCTTATAAACCCAGACAGAAGAATTCTCAGAGTCTTCTTTGTGATGTGTGCTTTCAACTCACCGAGATAAAGATTTCTCTTGATAGAGCAATTTGGAAACACTCTTTTTGTAGAATTTGCAAGGGTACATTGAGAGCGCTTTCAGGCCTATGGTAGAAAAGGGAATATCTTTCCATAAAAGGTAGACAGAAGCAATCTCAGAAACTACTTTGTGATGTGTGCATTCAACTCACCGAGTGCAACATTCCTCTTGACCGAGCAGTTTGGAAACATTGTTTCTGTAGAATCTGCAAGTGGATATTTGGACCTCTTTGAGGCCTTCGTTGGAAACGGGATTTCTTCCTATAAACCCAGACAGAAGAATTCTCAGAGATTTCTTTGTGATGTGTGAATTCAACTCACAGTGTGGATCCTTCCTTTTGATAGAGCAGTTTTGAAACACTGTTTTTGTAGTATTTCCAAGCGGATATTTGGAACGCCTTGAAGCGTATGGTAGAAAAGGAAATATCTTCCCATAAAACCTAGACAGAACCAATCTCAGAAACGACTTTGTGATGTCTGCATTCAACTCACAGAGTTGAACATTTCTCTTGATAGAGCAGTTTTGAAACCCTCTTTCTGAAGGATCTGCAAGTGGATATTTGGAACTCCTTTGGGTCTTCGTTGGAAACGGGATTTCTTCGTATAAATCCAGACAGAAGAATTCTCTGAAACATCTTTGGTTGTGTGCATTCAACTCACAGAGTGGAACCTTCCTTTGGATAGAGCAGTTTGAAACGCTGTGGTTGTAGTATTTCCAAGCGGATATTAGAGCGCCTTGAGGCCTATGGTAGAAAAGGAAATATCTTCCCATAAAACCTAGACGGAAGCAATCTCAGAAACTACTGTGTGATGGCTGCATTCCACACACACGGTGGAACATTTCTCTTGATAGAGCAGTTTTGAAACACTCTTTCTGTAGAATCTGCAAGTGGATAATTGGACCGCCTTGAGGCCTTCGTTGGAAACGGGATTTCTTCATGTTACTCTAGACAGAAGAATTCTCAAACACTGCTATGTGATGTTTGCATTCAAGTCACAGAGTGCAACATTCCTCTTGATAGAGCAGTTGGGAAACACTCCTTTTGTAGAATTTGCAATGGGATATTTGGACTTCTTTGAGGCCTTCGTTGGAAACGGGATTTCTTCGTATGAATCTAGACAGAAGAATTCTCAGAAACTTCTTTGTGATGTGTGCATTCAACTCAGCGAGTGGCACCTTCCTTTGCATACAGCAGTTTTGAAACACTGTTTTTGTAGTATTTCCAAGCGGATATTTAGAGCGCCTTGAAGCCTATGCTAGAAATGGAAATATCTCCCCATAAAACCAAGACAGAAACAATCTCAGAAACTAATGTGTGATGGCTGCATTCCACACACAAGGTGGACCATTTCTCTTGATAGAGCAGTTTTGAAACACTCTTTCTGTAGAATCTGCAAGTGGATAATTGGACCTCCTAGAGGCCTTCGTTGGACACCGGATTTCTTCATCTAAACCTACAGAGAAGAATTCTCAGTAACTTCTTCGGATGTGTGCATTCGACTCACAGAATGGAACATTCCCTTTGATAGAGCAGTTTTGAGACACCGTTTTTGTAGAATTCCCAAGTGGATATTTAGAGCACTTTGAAGTCTCTGCTAGAAAAGGAAACATCTTCATGTTAAAAGTAGATAGAATCGTTCTCAGAAAGTGCTTAGTGACGTGTGTGTTCAACTCACAGAGTTTAACGTTTCTTTTGATAGAGCGTTTCTGAAACACCCTTCTTGTAGTAGCTGCAAGTGGATATTTGGACCTATTTGAGGCCTTCTTTGGAAACGGGATTTCTTCATGTAACTCTAGATTGAAGAATTTTCAGAAACTCCTTTGTGATGTGTGCATTCAATTCAAAGAGTGAAACCTCCCTTTTCACAGAGCAGTTTTGAAACACTGTTTTTGTAGGATTTCCAAGGGGATATTTATAGCGCATTGAGCCTACGGCAGAAAAAGAAACATCTTCCTATAAAAACTAGACAGAATAATTCTCAGAATCTGCTTTGCGATGTGTGCGTTCAACTCACAGAGTAAAACTTTTCTTTTGATAGAGCAGTTTTGAAACACTCTTTTTGTAGTATTTGCATGTGTATATTTAGAGCGCATTGAAGCCCACAGTAGAAAAGGAAATAACTTCACCTAAAACCTAGACAGAAGCAATCTCAGAAACTACTTTGTGATGTGTACATTCAACTCACAGAGTGGAACTTTTCTCTTTATAGAGCAGTGTTGAAACACTCTTTTTGTAGAAACTGCAAGTGGATATTTGGACCTCTTTGAGGCCTTCGTTGGAAACGGGATTTCTTCCTATAACCCTAGACAGAAGAATTTTCAGAAACCTCATTGTGATGTGTGCGTTCATCTCACAGAGTGGAGTCTTCCGTTTGATAGAGAAGTTTTGAAACCCTGTTCTTGTAGGATTTCCAAGTGGATATTTAGACCACTTTGAAGCCTATGATAGAAAAGGAAACATCTTCATGGAAAACATAGATAGAATCATTCTCAGAAACAACTTTGTGATGTGTGCGTTGAACTCACCGTCTTTAACCTTTCTTTTGGTAGAGAAGTTTTGAAACACTCTCTTTGTAAAGTCTACAAGTGGATATTTTGAGCCCTTGGAGGCATTCTTTGGAAAAGGGAATGTCTTCACATAAAAGGCAGACAGAAGTGTTCTCAGAAACTGCTTTGTGATGTCTGTGTTCAACTCACAGAGTTTAACATTTCCTTTGAGAGAGCAGTTTAGTAACACTCTCTTTGTAGAATTTGGAAGTGTATACTAAGAGCGCTTTGAGACCTATGGTAGAAAAGGAAATATCTTTCCATAAAAGCTAGACAGAAGCAATCTCAGAAACTCCTTTGTGATGTCTGCATTCAACTCACCGAGTGGAACATTCCTCTTGATAGAGCAGTTTGGAAACACTCTTTCTGTAGAATCAGCTTGTTTGTATTTGGACCTCCTTGAGGCCTTCGTTGGAAACGGGTTTTCATCTTATAAACCCAGACAGAAGAATTCTCAGAGTCTTCTTTGTGATGTGTGCTTTCAACTCACCGAGATAAAGATTTCTCTTGATAGAGCAATTTGGAAACACTCTTTTTGTAGAATTTGCAAGGGTACATTGAGAGCGCTTTCAGGCCTATGGTAGAAAAGGGAATATCTTTCCATAAAAGGTAGACAGAAGCAATCTCAGAAACTACTTTGTGATGTGTGCATTCAACTCACCGAGTGCAACATTCCTCTTGATAGAGCAGTTTGGAAACATTGTTTCTGTAGAATCTGCAAGTGGATATATGGACCGCTTTGAGGCCTTCGTTGGAAACGGGATTTCTTCCTATAAACCCAGACAGAAGAATTCCCAGAGATTTCTTTGTGATGTGTGAATTCAACTCACAGTGTGGATCCCTCCTTTTGATAGAGCAGTTTTGAAACACCGTTTTTGTAGTATTTCCAAGCGGATATTTGGAACGCCTTGAAGCGTATGGTAGAAAAGGAAATATCTTCCCATAAAACCTAGACGGAACCAATCTCAGAAACGACTTTGTGATGTCTGCATTCAACTCACAGAGTTGAACATTTCTCTTGATAGAGCAGTTTTGAAACCCTCTTTCTGAAGGATCTGCAAGTGGATATTTGGAACTCCTTTGGGTCTTCGTTGGAAACGGGATTTCTTCGTATAAATCCAGACAGAAGAATTCTCCGAAACTTCTTTGGTTGTGTGCATTCAAGTCACAGAGTGGAACCTTCCTTTGGATAGAGCAGTTTGAAACGCTGTGGTTGTAGTATTTCCAAGCGGATATTAGAGCGCCTTGAGGCCTATGGTAGAAAAGGAAATATCTTCCCATAAAACCTAGACGGAAGCAATCTCAGAAACTACTGTGTGATGGCTGCATTCCACACACACGGTGGAACATTTCTCTTGATAGAGCAGTTTTGAAACACTCTTTCTGTAGAATCTGCAAGTGGATAATTGGACCGCCTTGAGGCCTTCGTTGGAAACGGGATTTCTTCATGTTACTCTAGACAGAAAGAATTCTCAAACACTGCTGTGTGATGTTTGCATGCAAGTCACAGAGTGCAACATTCCTCTTGATAGAGCAGTTGGGAAACACTCCTTTTGTAGAATTTGCAATGGGATATTTGGACTTCTTTGAGGCCTTCGTTGGAAACGGGATTTCTTCGTATGAATCTAGACAGAAGAATTCTCAGAAACTTCCTTGTGATGTGTGCATTCAACTCAGCGAGTGGCACCTTCCTTTGGATACAGCAGTTTTGAAACACTGTTTTTGTAGTATTTCCAAGCGGATATTTAGAGCGCCTTGAAGCCTATGCTAGAAATGGAAATATCTCCCCATAAAACCAAGACAGAAGCAATCTCAGAAACTAATGTGTGATGGCTGCATTCCACACACACGGTGGACCATTTCTCTTGATAGAGCAGTTTTGAAACACTCTTTCTGTAGAATCTGCAAGTGGATAATTGGACCTCCTAGAGGCCTTCGTTGGAAACGGGATTTCTTCATCTAAACCTACAGAGAAGAATTCTCAGTAACTTCTTCGGATGTGTGCATTCGACTCACAGAATGGAACATTCCCTTTGATAGAGCAGTTTTGAGACACCGTTTTTGTAGAATTCCCAAGTGGATATTTAGAGCACTTTGAAGTCTCTGCTAGAAAAGGAAACATCTTCATGTAAAAAGTAGATAGAATCGTTCTCAGAAAGTGCTTAGTGACGTGTGCGTTCAACTCACAGAGTTTAACGTTTCTTTTGATAGAGCGTTTCTGAAACACCCTTCTTGTAGTAGCTGCAAGTGGATATTTGGACCTATTTGAGGCCTTCTTTGGAAACGGGATTTCTTCATGTAACTCTAGATTGAAGAATTTTCAGAAACTCCTTTGTGATGTGTGCATTCAATCCAAAGAGTGAAACCTCCCTTTTCACAGAGCAGTTTTGAAACACTGTTTTTGTAGGATTTCCAAGGGGATATTTATAGCGCATTGAGCCTACGGCAGAAAAAGAAACATCTTCCTATAAAAACTAGACAGAATAATTCTCAGAATCTGCTTTGCGATGTGTGCGTTCAACCCACAGAGTAAAACTTTTCTTTTGATAGAGCAGTTTTGAAACACTCTTTTTGTAGTATTTGCATGTGTATATTTAGAGCGCATTGAAGCCCACAGTAGAAAAGGAAATAACTTCACCTAAAACCTAGACAGAAGCAATCTCAGAAACTACTTTGTGATGTGTACATTCAACTCACAGAGTGGAACTTTCCTCTTTATAGAGCAGTGTTGAAACACTCTTTTTGTAGAAACTGCAAGTGGATATTTGGACCTCTTTGAGGCCTTCGTTGGAAACGGGATTTCTTCCTATAACCCTAGACAGAAGAATTTTCAGAAACCTCATTGTGATGTGTGCGTTCATCTCACAGAGTGGAGTCTTCCGTTTGATAGAGAAGTTTTGAAACCCTGTTCTTGTAGGATTTCCAAGTGGATATTTAGACCACTTTGAAGCCTATGATAGAAAAGGAAACATCTTCATGGAAAACATAGATAGAATCATTCTCAGAAACAACTTTGTGATGTGTGCGTTGAACTCACCGTCTTTAACCTTTCTTTTGGTAGAGAAGTTTTGAAACACTCTCTTTGTAAAGTCTACAAGTGGATATTTTGAGCCCTTGGAGGCATTCTTTGGAAAAGGGAATGTCTTCACATAAAAGGCAGACAGAAGTGTTCTCAGAAACTGCTTTGTGATGTCTGTGTTCAACTCACAGAGTTTAACATTTCCTTTGAGAGAGCGGTTTAGTAACACTCTCTTTGTAGAATTTGGAAGTGTATACTAAGAGCGCTTTGAGGCCTATGGTAGAAAAGGAAATATCTTTCCATAAAAGCTAGACAGAAGCAATCTCAGAAACTCCTTTGTGATGTCTGCATTCAACTCACCGAGTGGAACATTCCTCTTGATAGAGCAGTTTGGAAACACTCTTTCTGTAGAATCAGCTTGTTTGTATTTGGACCTCCTTGAGGCCTTCGTTGGAAACGGGTTTTCATCTTATAAACCCAGACAGAAGAATTCTCAGAGTCTTCTTTGTGATGTGTGCTTTCAACTCACCGAGATAAAGATTTCTCTTGATAGAGCAATTTGGAAACACTCTTTTTGTAGAATTTGCAAGGGTACATTGAGAGCGCTTTCAGGCCTATGGTAGAAAAGGGAATATCTTTCCATAAAAGGTAGACAGAAGCAATCTCAGAAACTACTTTGTGATGTGTGCATTCAACTCACCGAGTGCAACATTCCTCTTCACCGAGCAGTTTGGAAACATTGTTTCAGTAGAATCTGCAAGTGGATATTTTGACCTCTTTGAGGCCTTCGTTGGAAACGGGATTTCTTCCTATAAACCCAGACAGAAGAATTCTCAGAGATTTCTTTGTGATGTGTGAATTCAACTCACAGTGTGGATCCTTCCTTTTGATAGAGCAGTTTTGAAACACCGTTTTTGTAGTATTTCCAAGCGGATATTTGGAACGCCTTGAAGCGTATGGTAGAAAAGGAAATATCTTCCCATAAAACCTAGACAGAACCAATCTCAGAAACGACTTTGTGATGTCTGCATTCAACTCACAGAGTTGAACATTTCTCTTGATAGAGCAGTTTTGAAACCCTCTTTCTGAAGGATCTGCAAGTGGATATTTGGAACTCCTTTGGGTCTTCGTTGGAAACGGGATTTCTTCGTATAAATCTAGACAGAAGAATTCTCCGAAACATCTTTGGTTGTGTGCATTCAACTCACAGAGTGGAACCTTCCTTTGGATAGAGCAGTTTGAAACGCTGTGGTTGTAGTATTTCCAAGCGGATATTAGAGCGCCTTGAGGCCTATGGTAGAAAAGGAAATATCTTCCCATAAAACCTAGACGGAAGCAATCTCAGAAACTACTGTGTGATGGCTGCATTCCACACACACGGTGGAACATTTCTCTTGATAGAGCAGTTTTGAAACACTCTTTCTGTAGAATCTGCAAGTGGATAATTGGACCGCCTTGAGGCCTTCGTTGGAAACGGGATTTCTTCATGTTACTCTAGACAGAAGAATTCTCAAACACTGCTGTGTGATGTTTGCATGCAAGTCACAGAGTGCAACATTCCTCTTGATAGAGCAGTTGGGAAACACTCCTTTTGTAGAATTCGCAATGGGATATTTGGACTTCTTTGAGGCCTTCGTTGGAAACGGGATTTCTTCGTATGAATCTAGACAGAAGAATTCTCAGAAACTTCCTTGTGATGTGTGCATTCAACTCAGCGAGTGGCACCTTCCTTTGGATACAGCAGTTTTGAAACACTGTTTTTGTAGTATTTCCAAGCGGATATTTAGAGCGCCTTGAAGCCTATGCTAGAAATGGAAATATCTCCCCATAAAACCAGGACAGAAGCCATCTCAGAAACTAATGTGTGATGGCTGCATTCCACACACACGGTGGCCCATTTCTCTTGATAGAGCAGTTTTGAAACACTCTTTCTGTAGAATCTGCAAGTGGATAATTGGACCTCCTAGAGGCCTTCGTTGGAAACGGGATTTCTTCATCTAAACCTACAGAGAAGAATTCTCAGTAACTTCTTCGGATGTGTGCATTCGACTCACAGAATGGAACATTCCCTTTGATAGAGCAGTTTTGAGACACCGTTTTTGTAGAATTCCCAAGTGGATATTTAGAGCACTTTGAAGTCTCTGCTAGAAAAGGAAACATCTTCATGTAAAAAGGAGATAGAATCGTTCTCAGAAAGTGCTTAGTGACGTGTGTGTTCAACTCACAGAGTTTAACGTTTCTTTTGATAGAATGTTTCTGAAACACCCTTCTTGTAGTAGCTGCAAGTGGATATTTGGACCTATTTGAGGCCTTCTTTGGAAACGGGATTTCTTCATGTAACTCTAGATTGAAGAATTTTCAGAAACTCCTTTGTGAAGTGTGCATTCAATTCAAAGAGTGAAACCTCCCTTTTCACAGAGCAGTTTTGAAACTCTGTTTTTGTAGGATTTCCAAGGGGATATTTATAGCGCATTGATCCTATGGCAGAAAAAGAAACATCTTCCTATAAAAACTAGACAGAATAATTCTCAGAATCTGCTTTGCGATGTGTGCGTTCAACCCACAGAGTAAAACTTTTCTTTTGATAGAGCAGTTTTGAAACACTCTTTTTGTAGTATTTGCATGTGTATATTTAGAGCGCATTGAAGCCCACAGTAGAAAAGGAAATAACTTCACCTAAAACCTAGACAGAAGCAATCTCAGAAACTATTTTGTGATGTGTACATTCAACTCACAGAGTGGAACTTTCCTCTTTATAGAGCAGTGTTGAAACACTCTTTTTGTAGAAACTGCAAGTGGATATTTGGACCTCTTTGAGGCCTTCGTTGGAAACGGGATTTCTTCCTATAACCCTAGACAGAAGAATTTTCAGAAACCTCATTGTGATGTGTGCGTTCATCTCACAGAGTGGAGTCTTCCGTTTGATAGAGAAGTTTTGAAACCCTGTTCTTGTAGGATTTCCAAGTGGATATTTAGACCACTTTGAAGCCTATGATAGAAAAGGAAACATCTTCATGGAAAACATAGATAGAGTCATTCTCAGAAACAACTTTGTGATGTGTGCGTTGAACTCACAGTCTTTAACCTTTCTTTTGGTAGAGAAGTTTTGAAACACTCTCTTTGTAAAGTCTACAAGTGGATACTTTGAGCCCTTGGAGGCATTCTTTGGAAAAGGGAATGTCTTCACGTAAAAGGCAGACAGAAGTGTTCTCAGAAACTGCTTTGTGATGTCTGTGTTCAACTCACAGAGTTTAACATTTCCTTTGAGAGAGCGGTTTAGTACCAATCTCTTTGTAGAATTTGGAAGTGTATACTAAGAGCGCTTTGAGGCCTATGGTAGAAAAGGAATTATCTTTCCATAAAAGCTAGACAGAAGCAATCTCAGAAACTCCTTTGTGATGTCTGCATTCAACTCACCGAGTGGAACATTCCTCTTGATAGAGCAGTTTGGAAACACTCTTTCTGTAGAATCAGCTTGTTTGTATTTGGACCTCCTTGAGGCCTTCGTTGGAAACGGGTTTTCATCTTATAAACCCAGACAGAAGAATTCTCAGAGTCTTCTTTGTGATGTGTGCTTTCAACTCACCGAGATAAAGATTTCTCTTGATAGAGCAATTTGGAAACACTCTTTTTGTAGAATTTGCAAGGGTACATTGAGAGCGCTTTCAGGCCTATGGTAGAAAAGGGAATATCTTTCCATAAAAGGTAGACAGAAGCAATCTCAGAAACTACTTTGTGATGTGTGCATTCAACTCACCGAGTGCAACATTCCTCTTGATAGAGCAGTTTGGAAACATTGTTTCTGTAGAATCTGCAAGTGGATATATGGACCGCTTTGAGGCCTTCGTTGGAAACGGGATTTCTTCCTATAAACCCAGACAGAAGTATTCTCAGAGACTTCTTTGTGATGTGTGAATTCAACTCACAGTGTGGATCCTTCCTTTTGATAGAGCAGTTTTGAAACACCGTTTTTGTAGTATTTCCAAGCGGATATTTGGAACGCCTTGAAGCGTATGGTAGAAAAGGAAATATCTTCCCATAAAACCTAGACAGAACCCATCTCAGAAACGACTTTGTGATGTCTGCATTCAACTCACAGAGTTGAACATTTCTCTTGATAGAGCAGTTTTGAAACCCTCTTTCTGAAGGATCTGCAAGTGGATATTTGGAACTCCTTTGGGTCTTCGTTGGAAACGGGATTTCTTCGTATAAATCCAGACAGAAGAATTCTCCGAAAATTCTTTGGCTGTGTGCATTCAAGTCACAGAGTGGAACCTTCCTTTGGATAGAGCAGTTTGAAATGCTGTGGTTGTAGTATTTCCAAGCGGATATTAGAGCGCCTTGAGGCCTATGGTAGAAAAGGAAATATCTTCCCATAAAACCTAGACGGAAGCAATCTCAGAAACTACTGTGTGATGGCTGCATTCCACACACACGGTGGAACATTTCTCTTGATAGAGCAGTTTTGAAACACTCTTTCTGTAGAATCTGCAAGTGGATAATTGGACCGCCTTGAGGCCTTCGTTGGAAACGGGATTTCTTCATGTTACTCTAGACAGAAGAATTCTCAAACACTGCTATGTGATGTTTGCATTCAAGTCACAGAGTGCAACATTCCTCTTGATAGAGCAGTTGGGAAACACTCCTTTTGTAGAATTTGCAATGGGATATTTGGACTTCTTTGAGGCCTTCGTTGGAAACGGGATTTCTTCGTTTGAATCTAGACAGAAGAATTCTCAGAAACTTCCTTGTGATGTGTGCATTCAACTCAGCGAGTGGCACCTTCCTTTGGATACAGCAGTTTTGAAACACTGTTTTTGTACTATTTCCAAGCGGATATTTAGAGCGCCTTGAAGCCTATGCTAGAAATGGAAATATCTCCCCATAAAACCAAGACAGAAGCAATCTCAGAAACAAATGTGTGATGGCTGCATTCCACACACACGGTGGACCATTTCTCTTGATAGAGCAGTTTTGAAACACTCTTTCTGTAGAATCTGCAAGTGGATAATTGGACCTCCTAGAGGCCTTCGTTGGAAACGGGATTTCTTCATCAAAACCTACAGAGAAGAATTCTCAGTAACTTCTTCGGATGTGTGCATTCGACTCACAGAGTGGAACATTCCCTTCGATAGAGCAGTTTTGAGACACCGTTTTGGTAGAATTCCGAAGTGGATATTTAGAGCACTTTAAAGTCTCTGCTAGAAAAGGAAACATCTTCATGTAAAAAGTAGATAGAATCGTTCTCAGAAAGTGCTTAGTGACGTGTGCGTTCAACTCACAGAGTTTAACGTTTCTTTTGATAGAGCGTTTCTGAAACACCCTTCTTGTAGTAGCTGCAAGTGGATATTTGGACCTATTTGAGGCCTTCTTTGGAAACGGGATTTCTTCATGTAACTCTAGATTGAAGAATTTTCAGAAACTCCTTTGTGAAGTGTGCATTCAATTCAAAGAGTGAAACCTCCCTTTTCACAGAGCAGTTTTGAAACACTGTTTTTGTAGGATTTCCAAGGGGATATTTATAGCGCATTGATCCTATGGCAGAAAAAGAAACATCTTCCTATAAAAACTAGACAGAATAATTCTCAGAATCTGCTTTGCGATGTGTGCGTTCAACTCACAGAGTAAAACTTTTCTTTTGATAGAGCAGTTTTGAAACACTCTTTTTGTAGTATTTGCATGTGTATATTTAGAGCGCATTGAAGCCCACAGTAGAAAAGGAAATAACTTCACCTAAAACCTAGACAGAAGCAATCTCAGAAACTACTTTGTGATGTGTACATTCAACTCACAGAGTGGAACTTTCCTCTTTATAGAGCAGTGTTGAAACACTCTTTTTGTAGAAACGGCAAGTGGATATTTGGACCTCTTTGAGGCCTTCGTTGGAAACGGGATTTCTTCCTATAACCCTAGACAGAAGAATTTTCAGAAACCTCATTGTGATGTGTGCGTTCATCTCACAGAGTGGAGTCTTCCGTTTGATAGAGAAGTTTTGAAACCCTGTTCTTGTAGGATTTCCAAGTGGATATTTAGACCACTTTGAAGCCTATGATAGAAAAGGAAACATCTTCATGGAAAACATAGATAGAATCATTCTCAGAAACAACTTTGTGATGTGTGCGTTGAACTCACCGTCTTTAACCTTTCTTTTGGTAGAGAAGTTTTGAAACACTCTCTTTGTAAAGTCTACAAGTGGATATTTTGAGCCCTTGGAGGCATTCTTTGGAAAAGGGAATGTCTTCACATAAAAGGCAGACAGAAGTGTTCTCAGAAACTGCTTTGTGATGTCTGTGTTCAACTCACAGAGTTTAACATTTCCTTTGAGAGAGCGGTTTAGTAACACTCTCTTTGTAGAATTTGGAAGTGTATACTAAGAGCGCTTTGAGGCCTATGGTAGAAAAGGAAATATCTTTCCATAAAAGCTAGACAGAAGCAATCTCAGAAACTCCTTTGTGATGTCTGCATTCAACTCACCGAGTGGAACATTCCTCTTGATAGAGCAGTTTGGAAACACTCTTTCTGTAGAATCAGCTTGTTTGTATTTGGACCTCCTTGAGGCCTTCGTTGGAAACGGGTTTTCATCTTATAAACCCAGACAGAAGAATTCTCAGAGTCTTCTTTGTGATGTGTGCTTTCAACTCACCGAGATAAAGATTTCTCTTGATAGAGCAATTTGGAAACACTCTTTTTGTAGAATTTGCAAGGGTACATTGAGAGCGCTTTCAGGCCTATGGTAGAAAAGGGAATATCTTTCCATAAAAGGTAGACAGAAGCAATCTCAGAAACTACTTTGTGATGTGTGCATTCAACTCACCGAGTGCAACATTCCTCTTGATAGAGCAGTTTGGAAACATTGTTTCTGTAGAATCTGCAAGTGGATATATGGACCGCTTTGAGGCCTTCGTTGGAAACGGGATTTCTTCCTATAAACCCAGACAGAAGAATTCTCAGAGACTTCTTTGTGATGTGTGAATTCAACTCACAGTGTGGATCCTTCCTTTTGATAGAGCAGTTTTGAAACACCGTTTTTGTAGTATTTCCAAGCGGATATTTGGAACGCCTTGAAGCGTATGGTAGAAAAGGAAATATCTTCCCATAAAACCTAGACAGAACCAATCTCAGAAACGACTTTGTGATGTCTGCATTCAACTCACAGAGTTGAACATTTCTCTTGATAGAGCAGTTTTGAAACCCTCTTTCTGAAGGATCTGCAAGTGGATATTTGGAACTCCTTTGGGTCTTCGTTGGAAACGGGATTTCTTCGTATAAATCCAGACAGAAGAATTCTCCGAAACTTCTTTGGTTGTGTGCATTCAAGTCACAGAGTGGAACCTTCCTTTGGATAGAGCAGTTTGAAACGCTGTGGTTGTAGTATTTCCAAGCGGATATTAGAGCGCCTTGAGGCCTATGGTAGAAAAGGAAATATCTTCCCATAAAACCTAGACGGAAGCAATCTCAGAAACTACTGTGTGATGGCTGCATTCCACACACATGGTGGAACATTTCTCTTGATAGAGCAGTTTTGAAACACTCTTTCTGTAGAATCTGCAAGTGGATAATTGGACCGCCTTGAGGCCTTCGTTGGAAACGGGATTTCTTCATGTTACTCTAGATAGAAGAATTCTCAAACACTGCTATGTGATGTTTGCATGCAAGTCAGAGAGTGCAACATTCCTCTTGATAGAGCAGTTGGGAAACACTCCTTTTGTAGAATTTGCAATGGGATATTTGGACTTCTTTGAGGCCTTTGTTGGAAACGGGATTTCTTCGTATGAATCTAGACAGAAGATTCTCAGAAACTTCCTTGTGATGTGTGCATTCAACTCAGCGAGTGGCACCTTCCTTTGGATACAGCAGTTTTGAAACACTGTTTTTGTAGTATTTCCAAGCGGATATTTAGAGCGCCTTGAAGCCTATGCTAGAAATGGAAATATCTCCCCATAAAACCAAGACAGAAGCAATCTCAGAAACTAATGTGTGATGGCTGCATTCCACACACACGGTGGACCATTTCTCTTGATAGAGCAGTTTTGAAACACTCTTTCTGTAGAATCTGCAAGTGGATAATTGGACGTCCTAGAGGCCTTCATTGGAAATGGGATTTCTTCATCTAAACCTACAGAGAAGAATTCTCAGTAACTTCTTCGGATGTGTGCATTCGACTCACAGAATGGAACATTCCCTTTGATAGAGCAGTTTTGAGACACCGTTTTTGTAGAATTCCCAAGTGGATATTTAGAGCACTTTGAAGTCTCTGCTAGAAAAGGAAACATCTTCATGTAAAAAGTAGATAGAATCGTTCTCAGAAAGTGCTTAGTGAAGTGTGTGTTCAACTCACAGAGTTTAACGTTTCTTTTGATAGAGCGTTTCTGAAACACCCTGCTTGTAGTAGCTGCAAGTGGATATTTGGACCTATTTGAGGCCTTCTTTGGAAACGGGATTTCTTCATGTAACTCTAGTTTGAAGAATTTTCAGAAACTCCTTTGTGATGTGTGCATTCAATCCAAAGAGTTAAACCTCCCTTTTCACAGAGCAGTTTTGAAACACTGTTTTTGTAGGATTTCCAAGGGGATATTTATAGCGCATTGAGCCTACGGCAGAAAAAGAAACATCTTCCTATAAAAACTAGACAGAATAATTCTCAGAATCTGCTTTGCGATGTGTGCGTTCAACCCACAGAGTAAAACTTTTCTTTTGATAGAGCAGTTTTGAAACACTCTTTTTGTAGTATTTGCATGTGTATATTTAGAGCGCATTGAAGCCCACAGTAGAAAAGGAAATAACTTCACCTAAAACCTAGACAGAAGCAATCTCAGAAACTATTTTGTGATGTGTACATTCAACTCACAGAGTGGAACTTTCCTCTTTATAGAGCAGTGTTGAAACACTCTTTTTGTAGAAACTGCAAGTGGATATTTGGACCTCTTTGAGGCCTTCGTTGGAAACGGGATTTCTTCCTATAACCCTAGACAGAAGAATTTTCAGAAACCTCATTGTGATGTGTGCATTCATCTCACAGAGTGGAGTCTTCCGTTTGATAGAGAAGTTTTGAAACCCTGTTCTTGTAGGATTTCCAAGTGGATATTTAGACCACTTTGAAGCCTATGATAGAAAAGGAAACATCTTCATGGAAAACATAGATAGAATCATTCTCAGAAACAACTTTGTGATGTGTGCGTTGAACTCACCGTCTTTAACCTTTCTTTTGGTAGAGAAGTTTTGAAACACTCTCTTTGTAAAGTCTACAAGTGGATATTTTGAGCCCTTGGAGGCATTCTTTGGAAAAGGGAATGTCTTCACATAAAAGGCAGACAGAAGTGTTCTCAGAAACTGCTTTGTGATGTCTGTGTTCAACTCACAGAGTTTAACATTTCCTTTGAGAGAGCGGTTTAGTAACACTCTCTTTGTAGAATTTGGAAGTGTATACTAAGAGCGCTTTGAGGCCTATGGTAGAAAAGGAAATATCTTTCCATAAAAGCTAGACAGAAGCAATCTCAGAAACTCCTTTGTGATGTCTGCATTCAACTCACCGAGTGGAACATTCCTCTTGATAGAGCAGTTTGGAAACACTCTTTCTGTAGAATCAGCTTGTTTGTATTTGGACCTCCTTGAGGCCTTCGTTGGAAACGGGTTTTCATCTTATAAACCCAGACAGAAGAATTCTCAGAGTCTTCTTTGTGATGTGTGCTTTCAACTCACCGAGATAAAGATTTCTCTTGATAGAGCAATTTGGAAACACTCTTTTTGTAGAATTTGCAAGGGTACATTGAGAGCGCTTTCAGGCCTATGGTAGAAAAGGGAATATCTTTCCATAAAAGGTAGACAGAAGCAATCTCAGAAACTACTTTGTGATGTCTGCATTCAACTCACCGAGTGCAACATTCCTCTTGACCGAGCAGTTTGGAAACATTGTTTCTGTAGAATCTGCAAGTGGATATATGGACCGCTTTGAGGCCTTCGTTGGAAACGGGATTTCTTCCTATAAACCCAGACAGAAGAATTCTCAGAGATTTCTTTGTGATGTGTGAATTCAACTCACAGTGTGGATCCTTCCTTTTGATAGAGCAGTTTTGAAACACCGTTTTTGTAGTATTTCCAAGCGGATATTTGGAACGCCTTGAAGCGTATGGTAGAAAAGGAAATATCTTCCCATAAAACCTAGACAGAACCCATCTCAGAAACGACTTTGTGATGTCTGCATTCAACTCACAGAGTTGAACATTTCTCTTGATAGAGCAGTTTTGAAACCCTCTTTCTGAAGGATCTGCAAGTGGATATTTGGAACTCCTTTGGGTCTTCGTTGGAAACGGGATTTCTTCGTATAAATCCAGACAGAGAATTCTCCGAAACTTCTTTGGTTGTGTGCATTCAAGTCACAGAGTGGAACCTTCCTTTGGATAGAGCAGTTTGAAACGCTGTGGTTGTAGTATTTCCAAGCGGATATTAGAGCGCCTTGAGGCCTATGGTAGAAAAGGAAATATCTTCCCATAAAACCTAGACGGAAGCAATCTCAGAAACTACTGTGTGATGGCTGCATTCCACACACACGGTGGAACATTTCTCTTGATAGAGCAGTTTTGAAACACTCTTTCTGTAGAATCTGCAAGTGGATAATTGGACCGCCTTGAGGCCTTCGTTGGAAACGGGATTTCTTCATGTTACTCTAGACAGAAGAATTCTCAAACACTACTATGTGATGTCTGCATTCAAGTCACAGAGTGCAACATTCCTCTTGATAGAGCAGTTGGCAAAGACTCCTTTGTAGAATTTGCAATGGGATATTTGGACTTCTTTGAGGCCTTCGTTGGAAACGGGATTTCTTCGTATAAATCTAGACAGAAGAATTCTCAGAAACTTCTTTGTGATGTGTGCATTCAACTCAGCGAGTGGCACCTTCCTTTGGATACAGCAGTTTTGAAACACTGTTTTTGTAGTATTTCCAAGCGGATATTTAGAGCGCCTTGAAGCCTACGCTAGAAATGGAAATATCTCCCCATAAAACCAAGACAGAAGCAATCTCAGAAACTAATGTGTGATGGCTGCATTCCACACACACGGTGGACCATTTCTCTTGATAGAGCAGTTTTGAAACACTCTTTCTGTAGAATCTGCAAGTGGATAATTGGACCTCCTAGAGGCCTTCGTTGGAAACGGGATTTCTTCATCTAAACCTACAGAGAAGAATTCTCAGTAACTTCTTCGGATGTGTGCATTCGACTCACAGAATGGAACATTCCCTTTGATAGAGCAGTTTTGAGACACCGTTTTTGTAGAATTCCCAAGTGGATATTTAGAGCACTTTGAAGTCTCTGCTAGAAAAGGAAAGATCTTTCATGTAAAAAGTAGATAGAATCGTTCTCAGAAAGTGCTTAGTGACGTGTGTGTTCAACTCACAGAGTTTAACGGTTTCTTTTGATAGAGCGTTTCTGAAACACCCTTCTTGTAGTAGCTGCAAGTGGATATTTGGACCTATTTGAGGCCTTCTTTGGAAACGGGATTTCTTCATGTAACTCTAGTTTGAAGAATTTTCAGAAACTCCTTTGTGATGTGTGCATTCAATTCAAAGAGTGAAACCTCCCTTTTCACAGAGCAGTTTTGAAACACTGTTTTTGTAGGATTTCCAAGGGGATATTTATAGCGCATTGAGCCTACGGCAGAAAAAGAAACATCTTCCTATAAAAACTAGACAGAATAATTCTCAGAATCTGCTTTGCGATGTGTGCGTTCAACCCACAGAGTAAAACTTTTCTTTTGATAGAGCAGTTTTGAAACACTCTTTTTGTAGTATTTGCATGTGTATATTTAGAGCGCATTGAAGCACACAGTAGAAAAGGAAATAACTTCACCTAAAACCTAGACAGAAGCAATCTCAGAAACTACTTTGTGATGTGTACATTCAACTCACAGAGTGGAACTTTCCTCTTTATAGAGCAGTGTTGAAACACTCTTTTTGTAGAAACTGCAAGTGGATATTTGGACCTCTTTGAGGCCTTCGTTGGAAACGGGATTTCTTCCTATAACCCTAGACAGAAGAATTTTCAGAAACCTCATTGTGATGTGTGCGTTCATCTCACAGAGTGGAGTCTTCCGTTTGATAGAGAAGTTTTGAAACCCTGATTTGTAGGACTTCCAAGTGGATATTTAGACCACTTTGAAGCCTATGATAGAAAAGGAAACATCTTCATGGAAAACATAGATAGAATCATTCTCAGAAACAACTTTGTGATGTGTGCGTTGAACTCACCGTCTTTAACCTTTCTTTTGGTAGAGAAGTTTTGAAACACTCTCTTTGTAAAGTCTACAAGTGGATATTTTGAGCCCTTGGAGGCATTCTTTGGAAAAGGGAATGTCTTCACATAAAAGGCAGACAGAAGTGTTCTCAGAAACTGCTTTGTGATGTCTGTGTTCAACTCACAGAGTTTAACATTTCCTTTGAGAGAGCGGTTTAGTAACACTCTCTTTGTAGAATTTGGAAGTGTATACTAAGAGCGCTTTGAGGCCTATGGTAGAAAAGGAAATATCTTTCCATAAAAGCTAGACAGAAGCAATCTCAGAAACTCCTTTGTGATGTCTGCATTCAACTCACCGAGTGGAACATTCCTCTTGATAGAGCAGTTTGGAAACACTCTTTCTGTAGAATCAGCTTGTTTGTATTTGGACCTCCTTGAGGCCTTCGTTGGAAACGGGTTTTCATCTTATAAACCCAGACAGAAGAATTCTCAGAGTCTTCTTTGTGATGTGTGCTTTCAACTCACCGAGATAAAGATTTCTCTTGATAGAGCAATTTGGAAACACTCTTTTTGTAGAATTTGCAAGGGTACATTGAGAGCGCTTTCAGGCCTATGGTAGAAAAGGGAATATCTTTCCATAAAAGGTAGACAGAAGCAATCTCAGAAACTACTTTGTGATGTGTGCATTCAACTCACCGAGTGCAACATTCCTCTTGACCGAGCAGTTTGGAAACATTGTTTCTGTAGAATCTGCAAGTGGATATTTGGACCTCTTTGAGGCCTTCGTTGGAAACGGGATTTCTTCCTATAAACCCAGACAGAAGAATTCTCAGAGATTTCTTTGTGATGTGTGAATTCAACTCACAGTGTGGATCCTTCCTTTTGATAGAGCAGTTTTGAAACACTGTTTTTGTAGTATTTCCAAGCGGATATTTGGAAAGCCTTGAAGCGTATGGTAGAAAAGGAAATATCTTCCCATAAAACCTAGACAGAACCCATCTCAGAAACGACTTTGTGATGTCTGCATTCAACTCACAGAGTTGAACATTTCTCTTGATAGAGCAGTTTTGAAACCCTCTTTCTGAAGGATCTGCAAGTGGATATTTGGAACTCCTTTGGGTCTTCGTTGGAAACGGGATTTCTTCGTATAAATCCAGACAGAAGAATTCTCCGAAACTTCTTTGGTTGTGTGCATTCAAGTCACAGAGTGGAACCTTCCTTTGGATAGAGCAGTTTGAAACGCTGTGGTTGTAGTATTTCCAAGCGGATATTAGAGCGCCTTGAAGCCTATGGTAGAAAAGGAAATATCTTCCCATAAAACCTAGACGGAAGCAATCTCAGAAACTACTGTGTGATGGCTGCATTCCACACACACGGTGGAACATTTCTCTTGATAGAGCAGTTTTGAAACACTCTTTCTGTAGAATCTGCAAGTGGATAATTGGACCGCCTTGAGGCCTTCGTTGGAAACGGGATTTCTTCATGTTACTCTAGACAGAAGAATTCTCAAACACTGCTGTGTGATGTTTGCATGCAAGTCACAGAGTGCAACATTCCTCTTGATAGAGCAGTTGGGAAACACTCCTTTTGTAGAATTTGCAATGGGATATTTGGACTTCTTTGAGGCCTTCGTTGGAAACGGGATTTCTTCGTATGAATCTAGACAGAAGAATTCTCAGAAACTTCCTTGTGATGTGTGCATTCAACTCAGCGAGTGGCACCTTCCTTTGGATACAGCAGTTTTGAAACACTGTTTTTGTAGTATTTCCAAGCGGATATTTAGAGCGCCTTGAAGCCTATGCTAGAAATGGAAATATCTCCCCATAAAACCAAGACAGAAGCAATCTCAGAAACTAATGTGTGATGGCTGCATTCCACACACACGGTGGACCATTTCTCTTGATAGAGCAGTTTTGAAACACTCTTTCTGTAGAATCTGCAAGTGGATAATTGGACCTCCTAGAGGCCTTCGTTGGAAACGGGATTTCTTCATCTAAACCTACAGAGAAGAATTCTCAGTAACTTCTTCGGATGTGTGCATTCGACTCACAGAATGGAACATTCCCTTTGGTAGAGCAGTTTTGAGACACCGTTTTTGTAGAATTCCCAAGTGGATATTTAGAGCACTTTGAAGTCTCTGCTAGAAAAGGAAACATCTTCATGTAAAAAGTAGATAGAATCGTTCTCAGAAAGTGCTTAGTGACGTGTGCGTTCAACTCACAGAGTTTAACGTTTCTTTTGATAGAGCGTTTCTGAAACACCCTTCTTGTAGTAGCTGCAAGTGGATATTTGGACCTATTTGAGGCCTTCTTTGGAAACGGGATTTCTTCATGTAACTCTAGTTTGAAGAATTTTCAGAAACTCCTTTGTGATGTGTGCATTCAATTCAAAGAGTGAAACCTCCCTTTTCACAGAGCAGTTTTGAAACACTGTTTTTGTAGGATTTCCAAGGGGATATTTATAGCGCATTGATCCTATGGCAGAAAAAGAAACATCTTCCTATAAAAACTAGACAGAATAATTCTCAGAATCTGCTTTGCGATGTGTGCGTTCAACCCACAGAGTAAAACTTTTCTTTTGATAGAGCAGTTTTGAAACACTCTTTTTGTAGTATTTGCATGTGTATATTTAGAGCGCATTGAAGCCCAAAGTAGAAAAGGAAATAACTTCACCTAAAACCTAGACAGAAGCAATCTCAGAAACTACTTTGTGATGTGTACATTCAACTCACAGAGCGGAACTTTCCTCTTTATAGAGCAGTGTTGAAACACTCTTTTTGTAGAAACTGCAAGTGGATATTTGGACCTCTTTGAGGCCTTCGTTGGAAACGGGATTTCTTCCTATAACCCTAGACAGAAGAATTTTCAGAAACCTCATTGTGATGTGTGCGTTCATCTCACAGAGTGGAGTGTTCCGTTTGATAGAGAAGTTTTGAAACCCTGTTCTTGTAGGATTTCCAAGTGGATATTTAGACCACTTTGAAGCCTATGATAGAAAAGGAAACATCTTCATGGAAAACATAGATAGAATCATTCTCAGAAACAACTTTGTGATGTGTGCGTTGAACTCACCGTCTTTAACCTTTCTTTTGGTAGAGAAGTTTTGAAACACTCTCTTTGTAAAGTCTACAAGTGGATATTTTGAGCCCTTGGAGGCATTCTTTGGAAAAGGGAATGTCTTCACATAAAAGGCAGACAGAAGTGTTCTCAGAAACTGCTTTGTGATGTCTGTGTTCAACTCACAGAGTTTAACATTTCCTTTGAGAGAGCGGTTTAGTAACACTCTCTTTGTAGAATTTGGAAGTGTATACTAAGAGCGCTTTGAGGCCTATGGTAGAAAAGGAAATATCTTTCCATAAAAGCTAGACAGAAGCAATCTCAGAAACTCCTTTGTGATGTCTGCATTCAACTCACCGAGTGGAACATTCCTCTTGATAGAGCAGTTTGGAAACACTCTTTCTGTAGAATCAGCTTGTTTGTATTTGGACCTCCTTGAGGCCTTCGTTGGAAACGGGTTTTCATCTTATAAACCCAGACAGAAGAATTCTCAGAGTCTTCTTTGTGATGTGTGCTTTCAACTCACCGAGATAAAGATTTCTCTTGATAGAGCAATTTGGAAACACTCTTTTTGTAGAATTTGCAAGGGTACATTGAGAGCGCTTTCAGGCCTATGGTAGAAAAGGGAATATCTTTCCATAAAAGGTAGACAGAAGCAATCTCAGAAACTACTTTGTGATGTGTGCATTCAACTCACCTAGTGCAACGTTCCTCTTGATAGAGCAGTTTGGAAACATTGTTTCTGTAGAATCTGCAAGTGGATATTTGGACCTCTTTGAGGCCTTCGTTGGAAACGGGATTTCTTCCTATAAACCCAGACAGAAGAATTCTCAGAGACTTCTTTGTGATGTGTGAATTCAACTCACAGTGTGGTTCCTTCCTTTTGATAGAGCAGTTTCGAAACACTGTTTTTGTAGTATTTCCAAGCGGATATTTGGAACGCCTTGAAGCGTATGGTAGAAAAGGAAATATCTTCCCATAAAACCTAGACAGAACCAATCTCAGAAACGACTTTGTGATGTCTGCATTCAACTCACAGAGTTGAACATTTCTCTTGATAGAGCAGTTTTGAAACCCTCTTTCTGAAGGATCTGCAAGTGGATATTTGGAACTCCTTTGGGTCTTCGTTGGAAACGGGATTTCTTCGTATAAATCTAGACAGAAGAATTCTCCGAAACTTCTTTGGTTGTGTGCATTCAAGTCACAGAGTGGAACCTTCCTTTGGATAGAGCAGTTTGAAACGCTGTGGTTGTAGTATTTCCAAGCGGATATTAGAGCGCCTTGAAGCCTATGGTAGAAAAGGAAATATCTTCCCATAAAACCTAGACGGAAGCAATCTCAGAAACTACTGTGTGATGGCTGCATTCCACACA
Organism: Homo sapiens; assembly: GCF_000001405.40. NCBI lineage: Eukaryota > Metazoa > Chordata > Mammalia > Primates > Hominidae > Homo > Homo sapiens. Next base: position 59,713,389 of record NC_000006.12, read on the forward strand.
CACGGTGGAACATTTCTCTTGATAGAGCAGTTTTGAAACACTCTTTCTGTAGAATCTGCAAGTGGATAATTGGACCGCCTTGAGGCCTTCGTTGGAAACGGGATTTCTTCATGTTACTCTAGACAGAAGAATTCTCAAACACTGCTATGTGATGTTTGCATTCAAGTCACAGAGTGCAACATTCCTCTTGATAGAGCAGTTGGGAAACACTCCTTTTGTAGAATTTGCAATGGGATATTTGGACTTCTTTGAGGCCTTCGTTGGAAACGGGATTTCTTCGTATGAATCTAGACAGAAGAATTCTCAGAAACTTCCTTGTGATGTGTGCATTCAACTCAGCGAGTGGCACCTTCCTTTGGATACAGCAGTTTTGAAACACTGTTTTTGTAGTATTTCCAAGCGGATATTTAGAGCGCCTTGAAGCCTATGCTAGAAATGGAAATATCTCCCCATAAAACCAAGACAGAAGCAATCTCAGAAACTAATGTGTGATGGCTGCATTCCACACACACGGTGGACCATTTCTCTTGATAGAGCAGTTTTGAAACACTCTTTCTGTAGAATCTGCAAGTGGATAATTGGACCTCCTAGAGGCCTTCGTTGGAAACGGGATTTCTTCATCTAAACCTACAGAGAAGAATTCTCAGTAACTTCTTCGGATGTGTGCATTCGACTCACAGAATGGAACATTCTGTTTGATAGAGCAGTTTTGAGACACCGTTTTTGTAGAATTCCCAAGTGGATATTTAGAGCACTTTGAAGTCTCTGCTAGAAAAGGAAACATCTTCATGTAAAAAGTAGATAGAATCGTTCTCAGAAAGTGCTTAGTGACGTGTGCGTTCAACTCACAGAGTTTAACGTTTCTTTTGATAGAGCGTTTCTGAAACACCCTTCTTGTAGTAGCTGCAAGTGGATATTTGGACCTATTTGAGGCCTTCTTTGGAAACGGGATTTCTTCATGTAACTCTAGTTTGAAGAATTTTCAGAAACTCCTTTGTGATGTGTGCATTCAATTCAAAGAGTGAAACCTCCCTTTTCACAGAGCAGTTTTGAAACACTGTTTTTGTAGGATTTCCAAGGGGATATTTACAGCGCATTGAGCCTATGGCAGAAAAAGAAACATCTTCCTATAAAAACTAGACAGAATAATTCTCAGAATCTGCTTTGCGATGTGTGCGTTCAACCCACAGAGTAAAACTTTTCTTTTGATAGAGCAGTTTTGAAACACTCTTTTTGTAGTATTTGCATGTGTATATTTAGAGCGCATTGAAGCCCACAGTAGAAAAGGAAATAACTTCACCTAAAACCTAGACAGAAGCAATCTCAGAAACTACTTTGTGATGTGTACATTCAACTCACAGAGTGGAACTTTCCTCTTTATAGAGCAGTGTTGAAACACTCTTTTTGTAGAAACTGCAAGTGGATATTTGGACCTCTTTGAGGCCTTCGTTGGAAACGGGATTTCTTCCTATAACCCTAGACAGAAGAATTTTCAGAAACCTCATTGTGATGTGTGCGTTCATCTCACAGAGTGGGGTCTTCCGTTTGATAGAGAAGCTTTGAAACCCTGTTCTTGTAGGATTTCCAAGTGGATATTTAGACCACTTTGAAGCCTATGATAGAAAAGGAAACATCTTCATGGAAAACATAGATAGAAATCATTCTCAGAAACAACTTTGTGATGTGTGCGTTGAACTCACCGTCTTTAACCTTTCTTTTGGTAGAGAAGTTTTGAAACACTCTCTTTGTAAAGTCTACAAGTGGATATTTTGAGCCCTTGGAGGCATTCTTTGGAAAAGGGAATGTCTTCACATAAAAGGCAGATAGAAGTGTTCTCAGAAACTGCTTTGTGATGTCTGTGTTCAACTCACAGAGTTTAACATTTCCTTTGAGAGAGCGGTTTAGTAACACTCTCTTTGTAGAATTTGGAAGTGTATACTAAGAGCGCTTTGAGGCCTATGGTAGAAAAGGAAATATCTTTCCATAAAAGCTAGACAGAAGCAATCTCAGAAACTCCTTTGTGATGTCTGCATTCAACTCACCGAGTGGAACATTCCTCTTGATAGAGCAGTTTGGAAACACTCTTTCTGTAGAATCAGCTTGTTTGTATTTGGACCTCCTTGAGGCCTTCGTTGGAAACGGGTTTTCATCTTATAAACCCAGACAGAAGAATTCTCAGAGTCTTCTTTGTGATGTGTGCTTTCAACTCACCGAGATAAAGATTTCTCTTGATAGAGCAATTTGGAAACACTCTTTTTGTAGAATTTGCAAGGGTACATTGAGAGCGCTTTCAGGCCTATGGTAGAAAAGGGAATATCTTTCCATAAAAGGTAGACAGAAGCAATCTCAGAAACTACTTTGTGATGTGTGCATTCAACTCACCGAGTGCAACATTCCTCTTGACCGAGCAGTTTGGAAACATTGTTTCTGTAGAATCTGCAAGTGGATATTTGGACCTCTTTGAGGCCTTCGTTGGAAACGGGATTTCTTCCTATAAACCCAGACAGAAGAATTCTCAGAGACTTCTTTGTGATGTGTGAATTCAACTCACAGTGTGGATCCTTCCTTTTGATAGAGCAGTTTTGAAACACTGTTTTTGTAGTATTTCCAAGCGGATATTTGGAACGCCTTGAAGCGTATGGTAGAAAAGGAAATATCTTCCCATAAAACCTAGACAGAACCAATCTCAGAAACGACTTTGTGATGTCTGCATTCAACTCACAGTAGTTGAACATTTCTCTTGATAGAGCAGTTTTGAAACCCTCTTTCTGAAGGATCTGCAAGTGGATATTTGGAACTCCTTTGGGTCTTCGTTGGAAACGGGATTTCTTCGTATAAATCTAGACAGAAGAATTCTCCGAAACTTCTTTGGTTGTGTGCATTCAAGTCACAGAGTGGAACCTTCCTTTGGATAGAGCAGTTTGAAACGCTGTGGTTGTAGTATTTCCAAGCGGATATTAGAGCGCCTTGAGGCCTATGGTAGAAAAGGAAATATCTTCCCATAAAACCTAGACGGAAGCAATCTCAGAAACTACTGTGTGATGGCTGCATTCCACACACACGGTGGAACATTTCTCTTGATAGAGCAGTTTTGAAACACTCTTTCTGTAGAATCTGCAAGTGGATAATTGGACCGCCTTGAGGCCTTCGTTGGAAACGGGATTTCTTCATGTTACTCTAGACAGAAGAATTCTCAAACACTACTATGTGATGTTTGCATTCAAGTCACAGAGTGCAACATTCCTCTTGATAGAGCAGTTGGCAAAGACTCCTTTGTAGAATTTGCAATGGGATATTTGGACTTTTTCGAGGCCTTCGTTGGAAACGGGATTTCTTCGTATAAATCTAGACAGAAGAATTCTCAGAAACTTCCTTGTGATGTGTGCATTCAACTCAGCGAGTGGCACCTTCCTTTGGATACAGCAGTTTTGAAACACTGTTTTTGTAGTATTTCCAAGCGGATATTTAGAGCGCCTTGAAGCCTATGCTAGAAATGGAAATATCTCCCCATAAAACCAAGACAGAAGCAATCTCAGAAACTAATGTGTGATGGCTGCATTCCACACACACGGTGGACCATTTCTCTTGATAGAGCAGTTTTGAAACACTCTTTCTGTAGAATCTGCAAGTGGATAATTGGACCTCCTAGAGGCCTTCGTTGGAAACGGGATTTCTTCATCTAAACCTACAGAGAAGAATTCTCAGTAACTTCTTCGGATGTGTGCATTCGACTCACAGAATGGAACATTCCGTTTGATAGAGCAGTTTTGAGACACCGTTTTTGTAGAATTCCCAAGTGGATATTTAGAGCACTTTGAAGTCTCTGCTAGAAAAGGAAACATCTTCATGTAAAAAGTAGATAGAATCGTTCTCAGAAAGTGCTTAGTGACGTGTGTGTTCAACTCACAGAGTTTAACGTTTCTTTTGATAGAGCGTTTCTGAAACACCCTGCTTGTAGTAGCTGCAAGTGGATATTTGGACCTATTTGAGGCCTTCTTTGGAAACGGGATTTCTTCATGTAACTCTAGATTGAAGAATTTTCAGAAACTCCTTTGTGATGTGTGCATTCAATTCAAAGAGTGAAACCTCCCTTTTCACAGAGCAGTTTTGAAACACTGTTTTTGTAGGATTTCCAAGGGGATATTTATAGCGCATTGAGCCTATGGCAGAAAAAGAAACATCTTCCTATAAAAACTAGACAGAATAATTCTCAGAATCTGCTTTGCGATGTGTGCGTTCAACTCACAGAGTAAAACTTTTCTTTTGATAGAGCAGTTTTGAAACACTCTTTTTGTAGTATTTGCATGTGTATATTTAGAGCGCATTGAAGCCCACAGTAGAAAAGGAAATAACTTCACCTAAAACCTAGACAGAAGCAATCTCAGAAACTACTTTGTGATGTGTACATTCAACTCACAGAGTGGAACTTTCCTCTTTATAGAGCAGTGTTGAAACACTCTTTTTGTAGAAACTGCAAGTGGATATTTGGACCTCTTTGAGGCCTTCGTTGGAAACGGGATTTCTTCCTATAACCCTAGACAGAAGAATTTTCAGAAACCTCATTGTGATGTGTGCGTTCATCTCACAGAGTGGAGTCTTCCGTTTGATAGAGAAGTTTTGAAACCCTGTTCTTGTAGGATTTCCAAGTGGATATTTAGACCACTTTGAAGCCTATGATAGAAAAGGAAACATCTTCATGGAAAACATAGATAGAATCATTCTCAGAAACAACTTTGTGATGTGTGCGTTGAACTCACCGTCTTTAACCTTTCTTTTGGTAGAGAAGTTTTGAAACACTCTAAGTCTACAAGTGGATATTTTGAGCCCTTGGAGGCATTCTTTGGAAAAGGGAATGTCTTCACATAAAAGGCAGACAGAAGTGTTCTCAGAAACTGCTTTGTGATGTCTGTGTTCAACTCACAGAGTTTAACATTTCCTTTGAGAGAGCGGTTTAGTAACACTCTCTTTGTAGAATTTGGAAGTGTATACTAAGAGCGCTTTGAGGCCTATGGTAGAAAAGGAAATATCTTTCCATAAAAGCTAGACAGAAGCAATCTCAGAAACTCCTTTGTGATGTCTGCATTCAACTCACCGAGTGGAACATTCCTCTTGATAGAGCAGTTTGGAAACACTCTTTCTGTAGAATCAGCTTGTTTGTATTTGGACCTCCTTGAGGCCTTCGTTGGAAACGGGTTTTCATCTTATAAACCCAGACAGAAGAATTCTCAGAGTCTTCTTTGTGATGTGTGCTTTCAACTCACCGAGATAAAGATTTCTCTTGATAGAGCAATTTGGAAACACTCTTTTTGTAGAATTTGCAAGGGTACATTGAGAGCGCTTTCAGGCCTATGGTAGAAAAGGGAATATCTTTCCATCAAAGGTAGACAGAAGCAATCTCAGAAACTACTTTGTGATGTGTGCATTCAACTCACCGAGTGCAACATTCCTCTTGATAGAGCAGTTTGGAAACATTGTTTCTGTAGAATCTGCAAGTGGATATATGGACCGTTTTGAGGCCTTCGTTGGAAACGGGATTTCTTCCTATAAACCCAGACAGAAGAATTCTCAGAGACTTCTTTGTGATGTGTGAATTCAACTCACAGTGTGGATCCTTCCTTTTGATAGAGCAGTTTTGAAACACTGTTTTTGTAGTATTTCCAAGCGGATATTTGGAACGCCTTGAAGCGTATGGTAGAAAAGGAAATATCTTCCCATAAAACCTAGACAGAACCAATCTCAGAAACGACTTTGTGATGTCTGCATTCAACTCACAGAGTTGAACATTTCTCTTGATAGAGCAGTTTTGAAACCCTCTTTCTGAAGGATCTGCAAGTGGATATTTGGAACTCCTTTGGGTCTTCGTTGGAAACGGGATTTCTTCGTATAAATCTAGACAGAAGAATTCTCCGAAACTTCTTTGGTTGTGTGCATTCAAGTCACAGAGTGGAACCTTCCTTTGGATAGAGCAGTTTGAAACGCTGTGGTTGTAGTATTTCCAAGCGGATATTAGAGCGCCTTGAAGCCTATGGTAGAAAAGGAAATATCTTCCCATAAAACCTAGACGGAAGCAATCTCAGAAACTACTGTGTGATGGCTGCATTCCACACACACGGTGGAACATTTCTCTTGATAGAGCAGTTTTGAAACACTCTTTCTGTAGAATCTGCAAGTGGATAATTGGACCGCCTTGAGGCCTTCGTTGGAAACGGGATTTCTTCATGTTACTCTAGACAGAAGAATTCTCAAACACTGCTATGTGATGTTTGCATTCAAGTCACAGAGTGCAACATTCCTCTTGATAGAGTAGTTGGGAAACACTCCTATTGTAGAATTTGCAATGGGATATTTGGAATTCTTTGAGGCCTTCGTTGGAAACGGGATTTCTTCGTATAAAACTAGACAGAAGAATTCTCAGAAACTTCCTTGTGATGTGTGCATTCAACTCAGCGAGTGGCACCTTCCTTTGGATACAGCAGTTTTGAAACACTGTTTTTGTAGTATTTCCAAACGGATATTTAGAGCGCCTTGAAGCCTATGCTAGAAATGGAAATATCTCCCCATAAAACCAAGACAGAAGCAATCTCAGAAACTAATGTGTGATGGCTGCATTCCACACACACGGTGGACCATTTCTCTTGATAGAGCAGTTTTGAAACACTCTTTCTGTAGAATCTGCAAGTGGATAATTGGACCTCCTAGAGGCCTTCGTTGGAAACGGGATTTCTTCACCTAAACCTACAGAGAAGAATTCTCAGTAACTTCTTCGGATGTGTGCATTCGACTCACAGAATGGAACATTCCCTTTGATAGAGCAGTTTTGAGACACCGTTTTTGTAGAATTCCCAAGTGGATATTTAGAGCACTTTGAAGTCTCTGCTAGAAAAGGAAACATCTTCATGTAAAAAGTAGATAGAATCGTTCTCAGAAAGTGCTTAGTGACGTGTGTGTTCAACTCACAGAGTTTATCGTTTCTTTTGATAGAGCGTTTCTGAAACACCCTTCTTGTAGTAGCTGCAAGTGGATATTTGGACCTATTTGAGGCCTTCTTTGGAAACGGGATTTCTTCATGTAACTCTAGATTGAAGAATTTTCAGAAACTCCTTTGTGATGTGTGCATTCAATTCAAAGAGTGAAACCTCCCTTTTCACAGAGCAGTTTTGAAACACTGTTTTTGTAGGATTTCCAAGGGGATATTTATAGCGCATTGATCCTATGGCAGAAAAAGAAACATCTTCCTATAAAATCTAGACAGAATAATTCTCAGAATCTGCTTTGCGATGTGTGCGTTCAACTCACAGAGTAAAACTTTTCTTTTGATAGAGCAGTTTTGAAACACTCTTTTTGTAGTATTTGCATGTGTATATTTAGAGCGCATTGAAGCCCACAGTAGAAAAGGAAATAACTTCACCTAAAACCTAGACAGGAGCAATCTCAGAAACTACTTTGTGATGTGTACATTCAACTCACAGAGTGGAACTTTCCTCTTTATAGAGCAGTGTTGAAACACTCTTTTTGTAGAAACTGCAAGTGGATATTTGGACCTCTTTGAGGCCTTCGTTGGAAACGGGATTTCTTCCTATAACCCTAGACAGAAGAATTTTCAGAAACCTCATTGTGATGTGTGCGTTCATCTCACAGAGTGGAGTCTTCCGTTTGATAGAGAAGTTTTGAAACCCTGTTCTTGTAGGATTTCCAAGTGGATATTTAGACCACTTTGAAGCCTATGATAGAAAAGGAAACATCTTCATGGAAAACATAGATAGAATCATTCTCAGAAACAACTTTGTGATGTGTGCGTTGAACTCACCGTCTTTAACCTTTCTTTTGGTAGAGAAGTTTTGAAACACTCTCTTTGTAAAGTCTACAAGTGGATATTTTGAGCCCTTGGAGGCATTCTTTGGAAAAGGGAATGTCTTCACATAAAAGGCAGACAGAAGTGTTCTCAGAAACTGCTTTGTGATGTCTGTGTTCAACTCACAGAGTTTAACATTTCCTTTGAGAGAGCGGTTTAGTAACACTCTCTTTGTAGAATTTGGAAGTGTATACTAAGAGCGCTTTGAGGCCTATGGTAGAAAAGGAATTATCTTTCCATAAAAGCTAGACAGAAGCAATCTCAGAAACTCCTTTGTGATGTCTGCATTCAACTCACCGAGTGGAACATTCCTCTTGATAGAGCAGTTTGGAAACACTCTTTCTGTAGAATCAGCTTGTTTGTATTTGGACCTCCTTGAGGCCTTCATTGGAAACGGGTTTTCATCTTATAAACCCAGACAGAAGAATTCTCAGAGTCTTCTTTGTGATGTGTGCTTTCAACTCACCGAGATAAAGATTTCTCTTGATAGAGCAATTTGGAAACACTCTTTTTGTAGAATTTGCAAGGGTACATTGAGAGCGCTTTCAGGCCTATGGTAGAAAAGGGAATATCTTTCCATAAAAGGTAGACAGAAGCAATCTCAGAAACTACTTTGTGATGTGTGCATTCAACTCACCGAGTGCAACATTCCTCTTGATAGAGCAGTTTGGAAACATTGTTTCTGTAGAATCTGCAAGTGGATATATGGACCGCTTTGAGGCCTTCGTTGGAAACGGGATTTCTTCCTATAAACCCAGACAGAAGAATTCTCAGAGACTTCTTTGTGATGTGTGAATTCAACTCACAGTGTGGATCCTTCCTTTTGATAGAGCAGTTTTGAAACACTGTTTTTGTAGTATTTCCAAGCGGATATTTGGAACGCCTTGAAGCGTATGGTAGAAAAGGAAATATCTTCCCATAAAACCTAGACAGAACCCATCTCAGAAACGACTTTGTGATGTCTTGTCTGCATTCAACTCACAGAGTTGAACATTTCTCTTGATAGAGCAGTTTTGAAACCCTCTTTCTGAAGGATCTGCAAGTGGATATTTGGAACTCCTTTGGGTCTTCGTTGGAAACGGGATTTCTTCGTATAAATCCAGACAGAAGAATTCTCCGAAACTTCTTTGGTTGTGTGCATTCAAGTCACAGAGTGGAACCTTCCTTTGGATAGAGCAGTTTGAAACGCTGTGGTTGTAGTATTTCCAAGCGGATATTAGAGCGCCTTGAAGCCTATGGTAGAAAAGGAAATATCTTCCCATAAAACCTAGACGGAAGCAATCTCAGAAACTACTGTGTGATGGCTGCATTCCACACACACGGTGGAACATTTCTCTTGATAGAGCAGTTTTGAAACACTCTTTCTGTAGAATCTGCAAGTGGATAATTGGACCGCCTTGAGGCCTTCGTTGGAAACAGGATTTCTTCATGTTACTCTAGACAGAAGAATTCTCAAACACTGCTATGTGATGTTTGCATTCAAGTCACAGAGTGCAACATTCCTCTTGATAGAGCAGTTGGGAAACACTCCTTTTGTAGAATTTGCAATGGGATATTTGGACTTCTTTGAGGCCTTCGTTGGAAACGGGATTTCTTCGTATGAATCTAGACAGAAGAATTCTCAGAAACTTCCTTGTGATGTGTGCATTCAACTCAGCGAGTGGCACCTTCCTTTGGATACAGCAGTTTTGAAACACTGTTTTTGTAGTATTTCCAAGCGGATATTTAGAGCGCCTTGAAGCCTATGCTAGAAATGGAAATATCTCCCCATAAAACCAAGACAGAAGCAATCTCAGAAACTAATGTGTGATGGCTGCATTCCACACACACGGTGGACCATTTCTCTTGATAGAGCAGTTTTGAAACACTCTTTCTGTAGAATCTGCAAGTGGATAATTGGACCTCCTAGAGGCCTTCGTTGGAAACGGGATTTCTTCATCTAAACCTACAGAGAAGAATTCTCAGTAACTTCTTCGGATGTGTGCATTCGACTCACAGAATGGAACATTCCCTTTGATAGAGCAGTTTTGAGACACCGTTTTTGTAGAATTCCCAAGTGGATATTTAGAGCACTTTGAAGTCTCTGCTAGAAAAGGAAACATCTTCATGTAAAAAGTAGATAGAATCGTTCTCAGAAAGTGCTTAGTGACGTGTGCGTTCAACTCACAGAGTTTAACGTTTCTTTTGATAGAGCGTTTCTGAAACACCCTTCTTGTAGTAGCTGCAAGTGGATATTTGGACCTATTTGAGGCCTTCTTTGGAAACGGGATTTCTTCATGTAACTCTAGATTGAAGAATTTTCAGAAACTCCTTTGTGAAGTGTGCATTCAATTCAAAGAGTGAAACGTCCCTTTTCACAGAGCAGTTTTGAAACACTGTTTTTGTAGGATTTCCAAGGGGATATTTATAGCGCATTGAGCCTATGGCAGAAAAAGAAACATCTTCCTATAAAAACTAGACAGAATAATTCTCAGAATCTGCTTTGCGATGTGTGCGTTCAACTCACAGAGTAAAACTTTTCTTTTGATAGAGCAGTTTTGAAACACTCTTTTTGTAGTATTTGCATGTGTATATTTAGAGCGCATTGAAGCCCACAGTAGAAAAGGAAATAACTTCACCTAAAACCTAGACAGAAGCAATCTCAGAAACTACTTTGTGATGTGTACATTCAACTCACAGAGTGGAACTTTCCTCTTTATAGAGCAGTGTTGAAACACTCTTTTTGTAGAAACTGCAAGTGGATATTTGGACCTCTTTGAGGCCTTCGTTGGAAACGGGATTTCTTCCTATAACCCTAGACAGAAGAATTTTCAGAAACCTCATTGTGATGTGTGCGTTCATCTCACAGAGTGGAGTCTTCCGTTTGATAGAGAAGTTTTGAAACCCTGTTCTTGTAGGATTTCCAAGTGGATATTTAGACCACTTTGAAGCCTATGATAGAAAAGGAAACATCTTCATGGAAAACATAGATAGAATCATTCTCAGAAACAACTTTGTGATGTGTGCGTTGAACTCACCGTCTTTAACCTTTCTTTTGGTAGAGAAGTTTTGAAACACTCTCTTTGTAAAGTCTACAAGTGGATATTTTGAGCCCTTGGAGGCATTCTTTGGAAAAGGGAATGTCTTCACATAAAAGGCAGACAGAAGTGTTCTCAGAAACTGCTTTGTGATGTCTGTGTTCAACTCACAGAGTTTAACATTTCCTTTGAGAGAGCGGTTTAGTAACACTCTCTTTGTAGAATTTGGAAGTGTATACTAAGAGCGCTTTGAGGCCTATGGTAGAAAAGGAAATATCTTTCCATAAAAGCTAGACAGAAGCAATCTCAGAAACCTCCTTTGTGATGTCTGCATTCAACTCACCGAGTGGAACATTCCTCTTGATAGAGCAGTTTGGAAACACTCTTTCTGTAGAATCAGCTTGTTTGTATTTGGACCTCCTTGAGGCCTTCGTTGGAAACGGGTTTTCATCTTATAAACCCAGACAGAAGAATTCTCAGAGTCTTCTTTGTGATGTGTGCTTTCAACTCACCGAGATAAAGATTTCTCTTGATAGAGCAATTTGGAAACACTCTTTTTGTAGAATTTGCAAGGGTACATTGAGAGCGCTTTCAGGCCTATGGTAGAAAAGGGAATATCTTTCCATAAAAGGTAGACAGAAGCAATCTCAGAAACTACTTTGTGATGTGTGCATTCAACTCACCGAGTGCAACATTCCTCTTGACCGAGCAGTTTGGAAACATTGTTTCTGTAGAATCTGCAAGTGGATATTTGGACCTCTTTGAGGCCTTCGTTGGAAACGGGATTTCTTCCTATAAACCCAGACAGAAGAATTCTCAGAGACTTCTTTGTGATGTGTGAATTCAACTCACAGTGTGGATCCTTCCTTTTGATAGAGCAGTTTTGAAACACTGTTTTTGTAGTATTTCCAAGCGGATATTTGGAACGCCTTGAAGCGTATGGTAGAAAAGGAAATATCTTCCCATAAAACCTAGACAGAACCAATCTCAGAAACGACTTTGTGATGTCTGCATTCAACTCACAGAGTTGAACATTTCTCTTGATAGAGCAGTTTTGAAACCTTCTTTCTGAAGGATCTGCAAGTGGATATTTGGAACTCCTTTGGGTCTTCGTTGGAAACGGGATTTCTTCGTATAAATCCAGAGAGAAGAATTCTCCGAAACTTCTTTGGTTGTGTGCATTCAAGTCACAGAGTGGAACCTTCCTTTGGATAGAGCAGTTTGAAACGCTGTGGTTGTAGTATTTTCAAGCGGATATTAGAGCGCCTTGAAGCCTATGGTAGAAAAGGAAATATCTTCCCATAAAACCTAGACGGAAGCAATCTCAGAAACTACTGTGTGATGGCTGCATTCCACACACACGGTGGAACATTTCTCTTGATAGAGCAGTTTTGAAACACTCTTTCTGTAGAATCTGCAAGTGGATAATTGGACCGCCTTGAGGCCTTCGTTGGAAACGGGATTTCTTCATGTTACTCTAGACAGAAGAATTCTCAAACACTGCTGTGTGATGTTTGCATGCAAGTCACAGAGTGCAACATTCCTCTTGATAGAGCAGTTGGGAAACACTCCTTTTGTAGAATTTGCAATGGGATATTTGGACTTCTTTGAGGCCTTCGTTGGAAACGGGATTTCTTCGTATGAATCTAGACAGAAGAATTCTCAGAAACTTCCTTGTGATGTGTGCATTCAACTCAGCGAGTGGCACCTTCCTTTGGATACAGCAGTTTTGAAACACTGTTTTTGTAGTATTTCCAAGCGGATATTTAGAGCGCCTTGAAGCCTATGCTAGAAATGGAAATATCTCCCCATAAAACCAAGACAGAAGCAATCTCAGAAACTAATGTGTGATGGCTGCATTCCACACACACGGTGGACCATTTCTCTTGATAGAGCAGTTTTGAAACACTCTTTCTGTAGAATCTGCAAGTGGATAATTGGACCTCCTAGAGGCCTTCGTTGGAAACGGGATTTCTTCATCTAAACCTACAGAGAAGAATTCTCAGTAACTTCTTCGGATGTGTGCATTCGACTCACAGAATGGAACATTCCCTTTGATAGAGCAGTTTTGAGACACCGTTTTTGTAGAATTCCCAAGTGGATATTTAGAGCACTTTGAAGTCTCTGCTAGAAAAGGAAACATCTTCATGTAAAAAGTAGATACAATCGTTCTCAGAAAGTGCTTAGTGACGTGTGTGTTCAACTCACAGAGTTTAACGTTTCTTTTGATAGAGCGTTTCTGAAACACCCTTCTTGTAGTAGCTGCAAGTGGATATTTGGACCTATTTGAGGCCTTCTTTGGAAACGGGATTTCTTCATGTAACTCTAGTTTGAAGAATTTTCAGAAACTCCTTTGTGATGTGTGCATTCAATTCAAAGAGTGAAACCTCCCTTTTCACAGAGCAGTTTTGAAACACTGTTTTTGTAGGATTTCCAAGGGGATATTTATAGCGCATTGATCCTACGGCAGAAAAAGAAACATCTTCCTATAAAAACTAGACAGAATAATTCTCAGAATCTGCTTTGCGATGTGTGCGTTCAACCCACAGAGTAAAACTTTTCTTTTGATAGAGCAGTTTTGAAACACTCTTTTTGTAGTATTTGCATGTGTATATTTAGAGCGCATTGAAGCCCACAGTAGAAAAGGAAATAACTTCACCTAAAACCTAGACAGAAGCAATCTCAGAAACTACTTTGTGATGTGTACATTCAACTCACAGAGTGGAACTTTTCTCTTTATAGAGCAGTGTTGAAACACTCTTTTTGTAGAAACTGCAAGTGGATATTTGGACCTCTTTGAGGCCTTCGTTGGAAACGGGATTTCTTCCTATAACCCTAGACAGAAGAATTTTCAGAAACCTCATTGTGATGTGTGCGTTCATCTCACAGAGTGGAGTCTTCCGTTTGATAGAGAAGTTTTGAAACCCTGTTCTTGTAGGATTTCCAAGTGGATATTTAGACCACTTTGAAGCCTATGATAGAAAAGGAAACATCTTCATGGAAAACATAGATAGAATCATTCTCAGAAACAACTTTGTGATGTGTGCGTTGAACTCGCCGTCTTTAACCTTTCTTTTGGTAGAGAAGTTTTGAAACACTCTCTTTGTAAAGTCTACAAGTGGATATTTTGAGCCCTTGGAGGCATTCTTCGGAAAAGGGAATGTCTTCACGTAAAAGGCAGACAGAAGTGTTCTCAGAAACTGCTTTGTGATGTCTGTGTTCAACTCACAGAGTTTAACATTTCCTTTGATAGAGCAGTTTAGTAACACTGTCTTTGTAGAATTTGGAAGTGTATACTAAGAGCGCTTTGAGGCCTATGGTAGAAAAGGAAACATCTTTCCATAAAAGCTAGACAGAAGCAATCTCAGAAACTCCTTTGTGATGTCTGCATTCAACTCACCGAGTGGAACATTCCTCTTGATAGAGCAGTTTGGAAACACTCTTTCTGTAGAATCAGCTTGTTTGTATTTGGACCTCCTTGAGGCCTTCGTTGGAAACGGGTTTTCATCTTATAAACCCAGACAGAAGAATTCTCAGAGTCTTCTTTGTGATGTGTGCTTTCAACTCACCGAGATAAAGATTTCTCTTGATAGAGCAATTTGGAAACACTCTTTTTGTAGAATTTGCAAGGGTACATTGAGAGCGCTTTCAGGCCTATGGTAGAAAAGGGAATATCTTTCCATAAAAGGTAGACAGAAGCAATCTCAGAAACTACTTTGTGATGTGTGCATTCAACTCACCGAGTGCAACATTCCTCTTGACCGAGCAGTTTGGAAACATTGTTTCTGTAGAATCTGCAAGTGGATATATGGACCGCTTTGAGGCCTTCGTTGGAAACGGGATTTCTTCCTATAAACCCAGACAGAAGAATTCTCAGAGACTTCTTTGTGATGTGTGAATTCAACTCACAGTGTGGATCCTTCCTTTTGATAGAGCAGTTTTGAAACACTGTTTTTGTAGTATTTCCAAGCGGATATTTGGAACGCCTTGAAGCGTATGGTAGAAAAGGAAATATCTTCCCATAAAACCTAGACAGAACCAATCTCAGAAACGACTTTGTGATGTCTGCATTCAACTCACAGAGTTGAACATTTCTCTTGATAGAGCAGTTTTGAAACCCTCTTTCTGAAGGATCTGCAAGTGGATATTTGGAACTCCTTTGGGTCTTCGTTGGAAACGGGATTTCTTCGTATAAATCTAGACAGAAGAATTCTCCGAAACTTCTTTGGTTGTGTGCATTCAAGTCACAGAGTGGAACCTTCCTTTGGATAGAGCAGTTTGAAACGCTGTGGTTGTAGTATTTCCAAGCGGATATTAGAGCGCCTTGAGGCCTATGGTAGAAAAGGAAATATCTTCCCATAAAACCTAGACGGAAGCAATCTCAGAAACTACTGTGTGATGGCTGCATTCCACACACACGGTGGAACATTTCTCTTGATAGAGCAGTTTTGAAACACTCTTTCTGTAGAATCTGCAAGTGGATAATTGGACCGCCTTGAGGCCTTCGTTGGAAACGGGATTTCTTCATGTTACTCTAGACAGAAGAATTCTCAAACACTGCTGTGTGATGTTTGCATGCAAGTCACAGAGTGCAACATTCCTCTTGATAGAGCAGTTGGGAAACACTCCTTTTGTAGAATTTGCAATGGGATATTTGGACTTCTTTGAGGCCTTCGTTGGAAACGGGATTTCTTCGTATGAATCTAGACAGAAGAATTCTCAGAAACTTCCTTGTGATGTGTGCATTCAACTCAGCGAGTGGCACCTTCCTTTGGATACAGCAGTTTTGAAACACTGTTTTTGTACTATTTCCAAGCGGATATTTAGAGCGCCTTGAAGCCTATGCTAGAAATGGAAATATCTCCCCATAAAACCAAGACAGAAGCAATCTCAGAAACTAATGTGTGATGGCTGCATTCCACACACACGGTGGACCATTTCTCTTGATAGAGCAGTTTTGAAACACTCTTTCTGTAGAATCTGCAAGTGGATAATTGGACGTCCTAGAGGCCTTCATTGGAAATGGGATTTCTTCATCTAAACCTACAGAGAAGAATTCTCAGTAACTTCTTCGGATGTGTGCATTCGACTCACAGAATGGAACATTCCGTTTGATAGAGCAGTTTTGAGACACCGTTTTTGTAGAATTCCCAAGTGGATATTTAGAGCACTTTGAAGTCTCTGCTAGAAAAGGAAACACCTTCATGTAAAAAGTAGATAGAATCGTTCTCAGAAAGTGCTTAGTGACGTGTGCGTTCAACTCACAGAGTTTAACGTTTCTTTTGATAGAGCGTTTCTGAAACACCCTTCTTGTAGTAGCTGCAAGTGGATATTTGGACCTATTTGAGGCCTTCTTTGGAAACGGGATTTCTTCATGTAACTCTCGTTTGAAGAATTTTCAAAAACTCCTTTGTGATGTGTGCATTCAATTCAAAGAGTGAAACCTCCCTTTTCACAGAGCAGTTTTGAAACACTGTTTTTGTAGGATTTCCAAGGGGATATTTATAGCGCATTGAGCCTACGGCAGAAAAAGAAACATCTTCCTATAAAAACTAGACAGAATAATTCTCAGAATCTGCTTTGCGATGTGTGCGTTCAACCCACAGATTAAAACTTTTCTTTTGATAGAACAGTTTTGAAACACTCTTTTTGTAGTATTTGCATGTGTATATTGAGAGCGCATTGAAGCCCACAGTAGAAAAGGAAATAACTTCACCTAAAACCTAGACAGAAGCAATCTCAGAAACTACTTTGTGATGTGTACATTCAACTCACAGAGTGGAACTTTCCTCTTTATAGAGCAGTGTTGAAACACTCTTTTTGTAGAAACTGCAAGTGGATATTTGGACCTCTTTGAGGCCTTCGTTGGAAACGGGATTTCTTCCTATAACCCTAGACAGAAGAATTTTCAGAAACCTCATTGTGATGTGTGCGTTCATCTCACAGAGTGGAGTCTTCCGTTTGATAGAGAAGTTTTGAAACCCTGTTCTTGTAGGATTTCCAAGTGGATATTTAGACCACTTTGAAGCCTATGATAGAAAAGGAAACATCTTCATGGAAAACATAGATAGAATCATTCTCAGAAACAACTTTGTGATGTGTGCGTTGAACTCACCGTCTTTAACCTTTCTTTTGGTAGAGAAGTTTTGAAACACTCTCTTTGTAAAGTCTACAAGTGGATATTTTGAGCCCTTGGAGGCATTCTTTGGAAAAGGGAATGTCTTCACATAAAAGGCAGACAGAAGTGTTCTCAGAAACTGCTTTGTGATGTCTGTGTTCAACTCACAGAGTTTAACATTTCCTTTGAGAGAGCGGTTTAGTAACACTCTCTTTGTAGAATTTGGAAGTGTATACTAAGAGCGCTTTGAGGCCTATGGTAGAAAAGGAAATATCTTTCCATAAAAGCTAGACAGAAGCAATCTCAGAAACTCCTTTGTGATGTCTGCATTCAACTCACCGAGTGGAACATTCCTCTTGATAGAGCAGTTTGGAAACACTCTTTCTGTAGAATCAGCTTGTTTGTATTTGGACCTCCTTGAGGCCTTCGTTGGAAACGGGTTTTCATCTTATAAACCCAGACAGAAGAATTCTCAGAGTCTTCTTTGTGATGTGTGCTTTCAACTCACCGAGATAAAGATTTCTCTTGATAGAGCAATTTGGAAACACTCTTTTTGTAGAATTTGCAAGGGTACATTGAGAGCGCTTTCAGGCCTATGGTAGAAAAGGGAATATCTTTCCATAAAAGGTAGACAGAAGCAATCTCAGAAACTACTTTGTGATGTGTGCATTCAACTCACCGAGTGCAACATTCCTCTTGATAGAGCAGTTTGGAAACATTGTTTCTGTAGAATCTGCAAGTGGATATATGGACCGCTTTGAGGCCTTCGTTGGAAACGGGATTTCTTCCTATAAACCCAGACAGAAGAATTCTCAGAGATTTCTTTGTGATGTGTGAATTCAACTCACAGTGTGGATCCTTCCTTTTGATAGAGCAGTTTTGAAACACCGTTTTTGTAGTATTTCCAAGCAGATATTTGGAACGCCTTGAAGCGTATGGTAGAAAAGGAAATATCTTCCCATAAAACCTAGACAGAACCAATCTCAGAAACGACTTTGTGATGTCTGCATTCAACTCACAGAGTTGAACATTTCTCTTGATAGAGCAGTTTTGAAACCCTCTTTCTGAAGGATCTGCAAGTGGATATTTGGAACTCCTTTGGGTCTTCGTTGGAAACGGGATTTCTTCGTATAAATCCAGACAGAAGAATTCTCCGAAACTTCTTTGGTTGTGTGCATTCAAGTCACAGGGTGGAACCTTCCTTTGGGTAGAGCAGTTTGAAACGCTGTGGTTGTAGTGTTTCCAAGCGGATATTAGAGCGCCTTGAGGCCTATGGTAGAAAAGGAAATATCTTCCCATAAAACCTAGACGGAAGCAATCTCAGAAACTACTGTGTGATGACTGCATTCCACACACACGGTGGAACATTTCTCTTGATAGAGCAGTTTTGAAACACTCTTTCTGTAGAATCTGCAAGTGGATAATTGGACGGCCTTGAGGCCTTCGTTGGAAACGGGATTTCTTCATGTTACTCTAGACAGAAGAATTCTCAAACACTGCTATGTGATGTTTGCATTCAAGTCACAGAGTGCAACATTCCTCTTGATAGAGCAGTTGGGAAACACTCCTTTTGTAGAATTTGCAATGGGATATTTGGACTTCTTTGAGGCCTTCGTTGGAAACGGGATTTCTTCGTATGAATCTAGACAGAAGAATTCTCAGAAACTTCCTTGTGATGTGTGCATTCAACTCAGCGAGTGGCACCTTCCTTTGGATACAGCAGTTTTGAAACACTGTTTTTGTAGTATTTCCAAGCGGATATTTAGAGCGCCTTGAAGCCTATGCTAGAAATGGAAATATCTCCCCATAAAACCAAGACAGAAGCAATCTCAGAAACTAATGTGTGATGGCTGCATTCCACACACACGGTGGACCATTTCTCTTGATAGAGCAGTTTTGAAACACTCTTTCTGTAGAATCTGCAAGTGGATAATTGGACCTCCTAGAGGCCTTCGTTGGAAACGGGATTTCTTCATCTAAACCTACAGAGAAGAATTCTCAGTAACTTCTTCGGATGTGTGCATTCGACTCACAGAATGGAACATTCCGTTTGATAGAGCAGTTTTGAGACACCGTTTTTGTAGAATTCCCAAGTGGATATTTAGAGCACTTTGAAGTCTCTGCTAGAAAAGGAAACATCTTCATGTAAAAAGTAGATAGAATCGTTCTCAGAAAGTGCTTAGTGACGTGTGTGTTCAACTCACAGAGTTTAACGTTTCTTTTGATAGAGCGTTTCTGAAACACCCTTCTTGTAGTAGCTGCAAGTGGATATTTGGACCTATCCCTTCTTTGGAAACGGGATTTCTTCATGTAACTCTAGTTTGAAGAATTTTCAGAAACTCCTTTGTGAAGTGTGCATTCAATTCAAAGAGTGAAACGTCCCTTTTCACAGAGCAGTTTTGAAACACTGTTTTTGTAGGATTTCCAAGGGGATATTTATAGCGCATTGAGCCTATGGCAGAAAAAGAAACATCTTCCTATAAAAACTAGACAGAATAATTCTCAGAATCTGCTTTGCGATGTGTGCGTTCAACTCACAGAGTAAAACTTTTCTTTTGATAGAGCAGTTTTGAAACACTCTTTTTGTAGTATTTGCATGTGTATATTTAGAGCGCATTGAAGCCCACAGTAGAAAAGGAAATAACTTCACCTAAAACCTAGACAGAAGCAATCTCAGAAACTACTTTGTGATGTGTACATTCAACTCACAGAGTGGAACTTTCCTCTTTATAGAGCAGTGTTGAAACACTCTTTTTGTAGAAACTGCAAGTGGATATTTGGACCTCTTTGAGGCCTTCGTTGGAAACGGGATTTCTTCCTATAACCCTAGACAGAAGAATTTTCAGAAACCTCATTGTGATGTGTGCGTTCATCTCACAGAGTGGAGTCTTCCGTTTGATAGAGAAGTTTTGAAACCCTGTTCTTGTAGGATTTCCAAGTGGATATTTAGACCACTTTGAAGCCTATGATAGAAAAGGAAACATCTTCATGGAAAACATAGATAGAATCATTCTCAGAAACAACTTTGTGATGTGTGCGTTGAACTCACCGTCTTTAACCTTTCTTTTGGTAGAGAAGTTTTGAAACACTCTCTTTGTAAAGTCTACAAGTGGATATTTTGAGCCCTTGGAGGCATTCTTTGGAAAAGGGAATGTCTTCACATAAAAGGCAGACAGAAGTGTTCTCAGAAACTGCTTTGTGATGTCTGTGTTCAACTCACAGAGTTTAACATTTCCTTTGAGAGAGCGGTTTAGTAACACTCTCTTTGTAGAATTTGGAAGTGTATACTAAGAGCGCTTTGAGGCCTATGGTAGAAAAGGAAATATCTTTCCATAAAAGCTAGACAGAAGCAATCCCAGAAACTCCTTTGTGATGTCTGCATTCAACTCACCGAGTGGAACATTCCTCTTGATAGAGCAGTTTGGAAACACTCTTTCTGTAGAATCAGCTTGTTTGTATTTGGACCTCCTTGAGGCCTTCGTTGGAAACGGGTTTTCATCTTATAAACCCAGACAGAAGAATTCTCAGAGTCTTCTTTGTGATGTGTGCTTTCAACTCACCGAGATAAAGATTTCTCTTGATAGAGCAATTTGGAAACACTCTTTTTGTAGAATTTGCAAGGGTACATTGAGAGCGCTTTCAGGCCTATGGTAGAAAAGGGAATATCTTTCCATAAAAGGTAGACAGAAGCAATCTCAGAAACTACTTTGTGATGTGTGCATTCAACTCACCGAGTGCAACATTCCTCTTGACCGAGCAGTTTGGAAACATTGTTTCTGTAGAATCTGCAAGTGGATATATGGACCGCTTTGAGGCCTTCGTTGGAAACGGGATTTCTTCCTATAAACCCAGACAGAAGAATTCTCAGAGACTTCTTTGTGATGTGTGAATTCAACTCACAGTGTGGATCCTTCCTTTTGATAGAGCAGTTTTGAAACACTGTTTTTGTAGTATTTCCAAGCAGATATATGGAACGCCTTGAAGCGTATGGTAGAAAAGGAAATATCTTCCCATAAAACCTAGACAGAACCAATCTCAGAAACGACTTTGTGATGTCTGCATTCAACTCACAGAGTTGAACATTTCTCTTGATAGAGCAGTTTTGAAACCCTCTTTCTGAAGGATCTGCAAGTGGATATTTGGAACTCCTTTGGGTCTTCGTTGGAAACGGGATTTCTTCGTATAAATCCAGACAGAAGATTCTCCGAAACTTCTTTGGTTGTGTGCATTCAAGTCACAGAGTGGAACCTTCCTTTGGATAGAGCAGTTTGAAACGCTGTGGTTGTAGTATTTCCAAGCGGATATTAGAGCGCCTTGAAGCCTATGGTAGAAAAGGAAATATCTTCCCATAAAACCTAGACGGAAGCAATCTCAGAAACTACTGTGTGATGGCTGCATTCCACACACACGGTGGAACATTTCTCTTGATAGAGCAGTTTTGAAACACTCTTTCTGTAGAATCTGCAAGTGGATAATTGGACCGCCTTGAGGCCTTCGTTGGAAACGGGATTTCTTCATGTTACTCTAGACAGAAGAATTCTCAAACACTGCTATGTGATGTTTGCATTCAAGTCACAGAGTGCAACATTCCTCTTGATAGAGCAGTTGGGAAACACTCCTTTTGTAGAATTTGCAATGGGATATTTGGACTTCTTTGAGGCCTTCGTTGGAAACGGGATTTCTTCGTATGAATCTAGACAGAAGAATTCTCAGAAACTTCCTTGTGATGTGTGCATTCAACTCAGCGAGTGGCACCTTCCTTTGGATACAGCAGTTTTGAAACACTGTTTTTGTAGTATTTCCAAGCGGATATTTAGAGCGCCTTGAAGCCTATGCTAGAAATGGAAATATCTCCCCATAAAACCAAGACAGAAGCAATCTCAGAAACTAATGTGTGATGGCTGCATTCCACACACACGGTGGACCATTTCTCTTGATAGAGCAGTTTTGAAACACTCTTTCTGTAGAATCTGCAAGTGGATAATTGGACCTCCTAGAGGCCTTCGTTGGAAACGGGATTTCTTCATCTAAACCTACAGAGAAGAATTCTCAGTAACTTCTTCGGATGTGTGCATTCGACTCACAGAATGGAACATTCCCTTTGATAGAGCAGTTTTGAGACACCGTTTTTGTAGATTTCCCAAGTGGATATTTAGAGCACTTTGAAGTCTCTGCTAGAAAAGGAAACATCTTCATGTAAAAAGTAGATAGAATCGTTCTCAGAAAGTGCTTAGTGACGTGTGCGTTCAACTCACAGAGTTTAACGTTTCTTTTGATAGAGCGTTTCTGAAACACCCTTCTTGTAGTAGCTGCAAGTGGATATTTGGACCTATTTGAGGCCTTCTTTGGAAACGGGATTTCTTCATGTAACTCTAGATTGAAGAATTTTCAGAAACTCCTTTGTGAAGTGTGCATTCAATTCAAAGAGTGAAACCTCCCTTTTCACAGAGCAGTTTTGAAACTCTGTTTTTGTAGGATTTCCAAGGGGATATTTATAGCGCATTGATCCTATGGCAGAAAAAGAAACATCTTCCTATAAAAACTAGACAGAATAATTCTCAGAATCTGCTTTGCGATGTGTGCGTTCAACCCACAGAGTAAAACTTTTCTTTTGATAGAGCAGTTTTGAAACACTCTTTTTGTAGTATTTGCATGTGTATATTTAGAGCGCATTGAAGCCCACAGTAGAAAAGGAAATAACTTCACCTAAAACCTAGACAGAAGCAATCTCAGAAACTACTTTGTGATGTGTACATTCAACTCACAGAGTGGAACTTTCCTCTTTATAGAGCAGTGTTGAAACACTCTTTTTGTAGAAACTGCAAGTGGATATTTGGACCTCTTTCAGGCCTTCGTTGGAAAGGGGATTTCTTCCTATAACCCTAGACAGAAGAATTTTCAGAAACCTCATTGTGATGTGTGCGTTCATCTCACAGAGTGGAGTCTTCCGTTTGATAGAGAAGTTTTGAAACCGTGTTCTTGTAGGATTTCCAAGTGGATATTTAGACCACTTTGAAGCCTATGATAGAAAAGGAAACATCTTCATGGAAAACATAGATAGAATCATTCTCAGAAACAACTTTGTGATGTGTGCGTTGAACTCACCGTCTTTAACCTTTCTTTTGGTAGAGAAGTTTTGAAACACTCTCTTTGTAAAGTCTACAAGTGGATATTTTGAGCCCTTGGAGGCATTCTTTGGAAAAGGGAATGTCTTCACATAAAAGGCAGACAGAAGTGTTCTCAGAAACTGCTTTGTGATGTCTGTGTTCAACTCACAGAGTTTAACATTTCCTTTGAGAGAGCGGTTTAGTAACACTCTCTTTGTAGAATTTGGAAGTGTATACTAAGAGCGCTTTGAGGCCTATGGTAGAAAAGGAAATATCTTTCCATAAAAGCTAGACAGAAGCAATCTCAGAAACTCCTTTGTGATGTCTGCATTCAACTCACCGAGTGGAACATTCCTCTTGATAGAGCAGTTTGGAAACACTCTTTCTGTAGAATCAGCTTGTTTGTATTTGGACCTCCTTGAGGCCTTCGTTGGAAACGGGTTTTCATCTTATAAACCCAGACAGAAGAATTCTCAGAGTCTTCTTTGTGATGTGTGCTTTCAACTCACCGAGATAAAGATTTCTCTTGATAGAGCAATTTGGAAACACTCTTTTTGTAGAATTTGCAAGGGTACATTGAGAGCGCTTTCAGGCCTATGGTAGAAAAGGGAATATCTTTCCATAAAAGGTAGACAGAAGCAATCTCAGAAACTACTTTGTGATGTGTGCATTCAACTCACCGAGTGCAACATTCCTCTTGATAGAGCAGTTTGGAAACATTGTTTCTGTAGAATCTGCAAGTGGATATATGGACCGCTTTGAGGCCTTCGTTGGAAACGGGATTTCTTCCTATAAACCCAGACAGAAGAATTCTCAGAGACTTCTTTGTGATGTGTGAATTCAACTCACAGTGTGGATCCTTCCTTTTGATAGAGCAGTTTTGAAACACTGTTTTTGTAGTATTTCCAAGCGGATATTTGGAACGCCTTGAAGCGTATGGTAGAAAAGGAAATATCTTCCCATAAAACCTAGACAGAACCCATCTCAGAAACGACTTTGTGATGTCTGCATTCAACTCACAGAGTTGAACATTTCTCTTGATAGAGCAGTTTTGAAACCCTCTTTCTGAAGGATCTGCAAGTGGATATTTGGAACTCCTTTGGGTCTTCGTTGGAAACGGGATTTCTTCGTATAAATCCAGACAGAAGAATTCTCCGAAACTTCTTTGGTTGTGTGCATTCAAGTCACAGAGTGGAACCTTCCTTTGGATAGAGCAGTTTGAAACGCTGTGGTTGTAGTATTTCCAAGCGGATATTAGAGCGCCTTGAAGCCTATGGTAGAAAAGGAAATATCTTCCCATAAAACCTAGACGGAAGCAATCTCAGAAACTACTGTGTGATGGCTGCATTCCACACACACGGTGGAACATTTCTCTTGATAGAGCAGTTTTGAAACACTCTTTCTGTAGAATCTGCAAGTGGATAATTGGACCGCCTTGAGGCCTTCGTTGGAAACGGGATTTCTTCATGTTACTCTAGACAGAAGAATTCTCAAACACTGCTATGTGATGTTTGCATTCAAGTCACAGAGTGCAACATTCCTCTTGATAGAGCAGTTGGGAAACACTCCTTTTGTAGAATTTGCAATGGGATATTTGGACTTCTTTGAGGCCTTCGTTGGAAACGGGATTTCTTCGTATGAATCTAGACAGAAGAATTCTCAGAAACTTCCTTGTGATGTGTGCATTCAACTCAGCGAGTGGCACCTTCCTTTGGATACAGCAGTTTTGAAACACTGTTTTTGTAGTATTTCCAAGCGGATATTTAGAGCGCCTTGAAGCCTATGCTAGAAATGGAAATATCTCCCCATAAAACCAAGACAGAAGCAATCTCAGAAACTAATGTGTGATGGCTGCATTCCACACACACGGTGGACCATTTCTCTTGATAGAGCAGTTTTGAAACACTCTTTCTGTAGAATCTGCAAGTGGATAATTGGACCTCCTAGAGGCCTTCGTTGGAAACGGGATTTCTTCATCTAAACCTACAGAGAAGAATTCTCAGTAACTTCTTCGGATGTGTGCATTCGACTCACAGAATGGAACATTCCCTTTGATAGAGCAGTTTTGAGACACCGTTTTTGTAGAATTGCCAAGTGGATATTTAGAGCACTTTGAAGTCTCTGCTAGAAAAGGAAACATCTTCATGTAAAAAGTAGATAGAATCGTTCTCAGAAAGTGCTTAGTGACGTGTGCGTTCAACTCACAGAGTTTAACGTTTCTTTTGATAGAGCGTTTCTGAAACACCCTTCTTGTAGTAGCTGCAAGTGGATATTTGGACCTATTTGAGGCCTTCTTTGGAAACGGGATTTCTTCATGTAACTCTAGATTGAAGAATTTTCAGAAACTCCTTTGTGATGTGTGCATTCAATTCAAAGAGTGAAACCTCCCTTTTCACAGAGCAGTTTTGAAACACTGTTTTTGTAGGATTTCCAAGGGGATATTTATAGCGCATTGAGCCTATGGCAGAAAAAGAAACATCTTCCTATAAAAACTAGACAGAATAATTCTCAGAATCTGCTTTGCGATGTGTGCGTTCAACTCACAGAGTAAAACTTTTCTTTTGATAGAGCAGTTTTGAAACACTCTTTTTGTAGTATTTGCATGTGTATATTTAGAGCGCATTGAAGCCCACAGTAGAAAAGGAAATAACTTCACCTAAAACCTAGACAGAAGCAATCTCAGAAACTACTTTGTGATGTGTACATTCAACTCACAGAGTGGAACTTTCCTCTTTATAGAGCAGTGTTGAAACACTCTTTTTGTAGAAACTGCAAGTGGATATTTGGACCTCTTTGAGGCCTTCGTTGGAAACGGGATTTCTTCCTATAACCCTAGACAGAAGAATTTTCAGAAACCTCATTGTGATGTGTGCGTTCATCTCACAGGAGTGGAGTCTTCCGTTTGATAGAGAAGTTTTGAAACCCTGTTCTTGTAGGATTTCCAAGTGGATATTTAGACCACTTTGAAGCCTATGATAGAAAAGGAAACATCTTCATGGAAAACATAGATAGAATCATTCTCAGAAACAACT